>NC_000008.11:138432922-138735000 GCF_000001405.40 Homo sapiens | reverse complement strand
TGTGATGTTCCCCTCCCTGTGTCCATGTGTTCTCATTGTTCAACTCCCACTTATGAGTGAGAACATGTGGTATTTGGTTTTCTGTTCCAGTGTTAGTTTGCTGAGAATGATGATTTCCAGCTTCATCCATGTCCCTACAAAGGACATGAACTCATCCTTTTTTATGGCTGCATAGTTTTCCATATGCTACCTTTTCTTTATCCAGTCTATCATTGATGGGCATTTGGGTTGGTTCCAAGTCTTTGCTATTGTAAATAGTGCTGCAATAAACATGCGTGTGCATGTGTCTTTACGGTAGAATGATTTATAATCCTTTGGGTATATACCCAGTAATGGGATTGCTGGGTCAAATGGTATTTCTGGTTCTAGATCCTTGAGGAATTGCCACACTGTCTTCCACAGTGGTTGAACTAATTTACACTCCCACCAACAGTGTAAAAGCGTTCCTGTTTCTCCACGGCCAGAGCCTGGGTTTCTATGCATCTCAGCCATTTCCTCTAATTCACTCTTCCTGACATATCCATGTGTCTACCTTGCCTGGGCCTGGCCTCTGTTTTCTCCTGCTTACTATCATGCATTTGCTTATTCATTCATGGATTTATTCATTCAACAGTTTTTTATTAAGTACGCACTGGGTACCAAATTCAGCCCTGGGGACGTAAAATCTAAGTAACTGCAGTCTATGCCATGAGAATTCGTACATTAATGGGCCAGAAAGAGACACAGATAGAGGAGGTGTTTTCATCTGAACCCTAAATCTCATATTTATTCAGGCAAGGTGAGGCCAACAGATCAGAAGACGACTGTCATTGAAGACAGTTTTGCTCCTCACAGTTTCCATGGATGGGAGCGTCTATTTCCCGCAGAGCTTTCGGGGAGCAACAGAGGCAGTTTGGAGGCAGAAAGGGTGAAAGGCAAACTTGGGCAGGAGCCACTACTGGTCAAGGGCGAGGCAGGGTCAGTTGCTGAGCAGGCTTAGGATTGGACAGTTTGAATAATTTCCGCAGGCTCCAAGCTGTACAGGTGGTTTCTCACGGTCTAGTACCTGGTCCAGGGGTGATTTAGGGCAGAGAGGTAGTGTCCTGTCCCACACCACAGGGGCCTGATTGAAGAAGGTGGACTAGGGATGGGCTAATTTGCAGATCAGGGTCCTACTCTCAAGCAAGTCCTTTGCTATCTCTAGGTAGCTAATCCTGGAAGGGGAAGGCCCTCCCTGCATCCACAAGGCCTCAAGATGTGAAAGCATCATCAAACAAAAGCACAGGATTAATCTGGAAGGAGAATCCACTGAGCTGAGCTTTGGAGAGGAGGTCAGGGCTCTGTGGAGGCCCAGAGCAGGATCTTGACACTGACCTGGAAAACCGAGGTTGATCCCATGGCAGCCTATCCCTGAAAGAGCAGTGGGGAGAAGTAAAGGGAAACATGTGTGTTTAGTTTCTGCTGTTGCCAAGCATTCTCTTTAGCTTTCATATATAATCGTGTCTATTCTTTATAACTGCCTGTGAGCAAAATTGCTTACCCTCATTTAAAATCTAGAGAAACCAAGCTCAGAGAGTTTAATTAGCTTTGCGTTATGGGAAGAGCCAGCACTGCCATCTTGGAGCGTGCAAAGCCCCAGGGTGGCTGGGATCCTATAAGATGCTTTTTATGCCTGTCTTTCAGAATGAAATATTCCACCTGCTAGAAAATTTTACAATAAATCTATACATCCATGATGTCCTATGTGGTGACTCCTGTATCCTGGCAGCCTTTTAGGAAAATTGGAAATCTGGTGTCTGGGCTGGCCAAGTGTTTATGTGCAGGCAGTGCGGCTTGGTGCTGTGCTCAGGACAAAGTCCCTTGAATTGGTGGAAATGCAGGCAGGGGAGGGCTTGGCCCGAGAAGAGGCTGGGTGGGCTGTGGGCCTGGGCCTCTGTGCAGAAACCCCTTGAAGTGGGAAGTCATAGGGTTAGTGCCACAGGGATCTACCATCTCAGAGGAAGACTCCCAAATTATGAACTGCTTCCCCCCAAAATAAACATGTCCAAGTCACGAAGGAATTTGATTGTCATGCTAATTTATGCAAGTAATTTTCATGCATCTTCAAATTCCATCTAACTTTATAAATCCAATTGGAACTAGGTGGTTATTAGGAATAATTATTCTTTACTAATGATAATTAGGTTAATTAGTCATTCATGCATCATCATTGTAACTACTAATCATATTAAATAGTCACTGTAGTATTAGAGGGACCAAGTGTTTCTTCATTAGTAATTGGACTGGTTAATTAATAAGTGGTTAATTACTTGTTTTCATTACTAATAATGAGAACAGTCATATTTTGTTGTTAATATTTATGTCTGTTGACTAATTTGTTACTCATTAATAATTAGATGATTTGGTTGTTTAGATATTTTGTTAACAATTAAATGAGAAGAAAGAAAAGTAACATTTGTGAAGTCCTCTGAGTTCTGGCCTAGTTCACACTTCTTTAATTCACACGTAGTGATTTGAAGAAGGGGCCTCCAACCGTTTTATGGCAGCTGGAATGAGGCTCTGAGAGAAGTCCATTGTCCAAGTCCATTGACATAGTATGAGGCCACCTGGGATTTGACCCAGGTCATCCTCAACCAAAGTCCCAGATTTTTCTTACGTAAATTTCTACCTATCTGTTCCCTGGCCCACAGGGGAAGAGTGACTTGCCCGCAGCACCTGTGAGTGCTCCTGACAGTGTCGCTTCTTGCGTTTTATTCTTGGCCTTCCTGTAGTCCCATTCTTTCTTGAAAGACTGGAAACTCTAATATTCTCATCTATAAAAGGACAATAATGTGTAGAATCTTTGGCTTTCTAGACATTTTTTGGCGGGAGAAAGTGGAGGAGAGGAAGGGAAAGGGGCTTTCTAGTCCTAGAAAACCCAAATGCCATTCAAGTATTTGCAGAAAAAGATAGAAAATGAGTTCAATATTGCTCTCCTATGATTTGGCAATTAGTCTTCTGGTTTCATTGGGAAACTTACCAGTGAGGTAACTCAAATGGCTGTTCTGTTTGAGGTATTGTTCAACTTGATTTCCAGAAGAAAAAAGGACATAAAATGAGGGTACTGATTTATCAGAAGGCCAAAGAAGATTGGTCCAAACTCAACAGTAGCTATTGAGCCTCACGGTAAGGTCCCCCAAGGCCATGGAAGATGCTGAAGTGCCATTATGTCATCCAGGAAAGCTGAGATGATGTGGAGCCTCTGTTACAGAGTGTTCTCTTATCTGGAAAATGCAAGAGCTTTCTGGGATCCCTCAGCCAACAGCAGCACGGGTAGACCAGCACTCTGTTTACATTCACAGTTACCCCCAGAACTCACTCTCTCTCTCTCTCTCAGGCCCTGTAGACTTTTTAACTAAACACATCAAATAGATCAAAACTGAATCCATCATGCCCCACAGCAACCCCACACACCTGCCCATTCCCCTGCAAGGCCCTCCCCTTTTGAGTATCAGGTTGTGTCCCAGTCCCAATCCAGCTGGTCACCGCATCACCACTGAGCTCTGGCTCAGACCTGCCCCTGGTCTGCCTGCATCCCTCCCCCTATCACCTTCTTCCAGTGCTGGCGCTGGCTGCCTTCTGCCTGCTCTCATATTTGTCTCATGGTCTCTCATCTTGCAAGTTTTCCTCCTACCATTGGCTGCTAAGGACACTAGAAATGTGTCTTTATTTATTTTTTTTGAGACGGAGTTTTGCTCTTGTTGCCCAGGCTGGAGTGCAATGGTGCAATCTTGGATCACTGCAACCTCTGCCTCCCAGGTTCAAGCGATTCTCCTGCCTCAGCCTCCCTAGTAGCTGTGATTACAGGCATGCGTCACCACACCTGGCTCATTTTGTATTTTTAGTAGAGATGGGGTTTCTCCATGTTGGCCAGGCTGGTCTTGAACTCCCGACCTCAGGTGATCTGCCCGCCTCGGCCTCCCAAAGTGCTGGGATTACAGGTGTGAGCCAATGCGCCCAGCCTAGAAATGTGTCTTTCTAAGCATAAGTCTTTTTGTGTCACTCTTTGATGCCACCTCTATTATTTTTGTGCTCCCTCGAAGACAAAGCCTTGTTTTCTTGCCCCGGGTGTGTGTGTCTCTTCCTCCCCTCCCCCTCCCATCTAGCCATGGCTCAGCAGCTCCATCCTCCTGTGGCTTCCTTCCTCTCCTATTCCACTCCCCTCTGTTCAGGCCCTACTAAGCCCTTCCACAGCAAGCTCACCCCACTTTTCGAGATGCTCCTGATTTCTCTACCATGCCTTCCTCTGAGCTCCGTGGCCTTCGAGCACCTCTTTTGTCTCTCTGTTTTCATTCTTTTCAACAGGTATCTCATGAATTCTGCTACATGCCGGAAGCCATGGTTTTTATACAAAACAATTCTGCACAGAAAGTATTTTTGTACCTACTATATATTTTTAGAAACCCTTGCCGTAAGTCACACAGCTGCTCAAAATATAACCCTGCCTTCGATCCTAAGCCCTCTGATGCTTTTCCCGGGACACCAGAGGCCTGTGTTTTATGTGTCTTACTAGGCTGTAATTTTCTGGAGTGGAGGGCTGAGTTGTCTTAAGACCCCAGAGAGAACACAGCGGTACGTAGTAGGCGTTGGCTGGGGGAAGGAGCCCTGCCCACCGCCATACTGGGTCTCCAGGGATAACTTCTTCCAGGTGCTCCAGGATAGTGCAGGTCCTTGGCTTTAAGGATCAAAGCTGTGCCTGCCCACTGCCCCTCTCCCTTTAAAGGCATCACCCACACCCTGTCACCTGTTGACACCCTCTTCCATCCAAGGTGTGAATCTTCCCAGACCCTGAGTGCAGGGACCTGCACATGGGCAGGGAGACAGATACTGTCCAGGGGCCTTGTGGTAATATGGACAAAATCCTTGTAGGATGCCAAGCATATAGTCAGTGCTTTAGGAAATTCAGTTTTCTCCCTTCCTTTTGGGGGAGTGCCAAAGTAGAAATAGCTATCCTAGCCGTGGGCTGAAAGGCCCTCACGTCCAGGTCCTCACAGGATGCTCCTGTCCTCCTACCCCTCCCTCACCAGCCCTCCCCACAGCTGGCCTGAGGCTGTGTCAGAAACAAAGCGAGTTATGCCAGAGCTGAAGTCCCAGCTTCAGCACCTGTGTGGTAATCAGGACAAGGCTGAATGTAACCCCCAAGGCGAGGCGGCTGCTCTATTTAGAGTTTCTGCCCACACTGTGTGGCTCTCTGTGGCCATCTGAAGGCAGAGCATGGCCAAGAGACCAGGGTCTGGGGTAGGTTGGCTGCAGCTGGATCCTGAGGGCTGTTCCCTCCTGCCACCACACCTGGCGTTTCCCACTTGGACTTGTGAGCACGTCCCCTGTAAATTGGAAAAGAGGCTGGAAGCAAATCACCTCACCCTTTTTGTGATCCCTCCTGGAAGAGCTTTCCAGACTTTCAGACAGTTGCTTCCAGCTGCTTCCAGCTTCTCTCTCTCTGTAAATGGCTACGGCAGTTGCTAGGTTTAATGACTGGGTAGGCTTTCCCTCTCTTTCCGAAGTGTACAGCATCAAACAAGCAGACAGTGACTCAACCTCTGCTGTGTGCATAGCATGGAACCAGTTGCTGTGGTCTTACCAGGGAGATAGACTTTGAGATCTTCAAACCCATATTTAGAGCCCTAAGTTCTAGTCTCCCTTAACATGCAGAGTCTTTTAGGAGATCTCATTGTGTTAAAGGGTGGAAAGGGGCTGTAACAGCAGGGTGAGACCCGTGTCCTTGAGTGGGGACTGTACAGACAGTTTGCAAGGCTGGGGTACTGGGCTTGGGAGGAGAGAAGGGATCAGGGTGCTGTATCCATATATGAGCTTTATCTAATATCAGTTCATTTTCCTCCTCTGTAAATTTAATGAAAAAGCCCAGCCTCCCATGGCCAGTGGAGGGCTGGAATGAGCTGGTGTATGAAACACAGGTGGAGCATACACTGAATGGAGGTGGCCGAGCCCCTTGTCCTGCCTTTCTGGTTTTTTTCTCTCTCCCGGGTTGTGCTTCTTCCTGGGATGTTATGCTCACGGGCTCATCAGCAGTGCTAGTGGTGGTGGTGATGGAATACGGAGCTGGCCTGGACGAGTCATGCCCAAACCTGGCAGCTCATCAGAATTACCTGGTGTCTCAAAAGTCACTGACCCTTGGGGCCTGTCCCTGACCTGCTGTCTCTGAATCTAAACAAGGGTTCTGTGTACCTGCATTTGTGACAGGCCCTCCAGGTGTATCTGCAGCAGCCAGAGATGATGGCTGTGTGACCTAAAGTGGGTCCTGACCCTCTTTGGGCCTCAGTTTTCTTCATTGTCAGACAAGGAGGTTTAATTTCCACTAGGAGACCGCTAAAGAGCCATCACCTCTAACGTGCTATGAGACTCCAAAACTAGCAAGCAGCAGCAGGGCAAGGGTGTTCGCAAGGGGCAAAGGAGGAAGGCAAGCAGGGCCAGAGCGAGGGGCTGGTCAGGGGGCCGGCTTCCTGGGCTCACCTTTTTTGAAAAAGCATAAAACACTCCAGAGGTCATCGGCATCCTTAGACATGTAAGGAGGGAAGGGAACTGAATTGTTCATTCAGACTGCTAACAAAGAGACTCCTGTATGCTTGGGAAGGGCCTTCGGATATGCTCTGTGGGCTTGGGGTGCTATGAGGCCCTCAAAGACCGTGTTGAGGTAAAATTAGATCACCTGTCACCCCCATAACCCCAGTGCTTTGGGAGGCTGAGGCAGAGGATTGCTTGAGCCCAGGAGTTCAAGATCGGCCTGTGCAATATAGCAAGTCCCTGTTTCTACAAAAAAATCATAAAATTAGGCATGGTAGCACACGCCTGTAGTCTCAGCTACTCAGGAGGCTGAGGCAGGAGGATCACTTGAGCCAAGGAATTGGAGGCTGCAGTGAGCTATGATTGCACCCCTGCACTCCAGCCTGGGCAACAGAGCAAGACCCTATCTCAAAAAACAAAAACAAAAACAAAAAAACATTGCCTGGAATGTGCCTCTGGAGTGTGTGGGAGCTGTGAGTGTCACTGCAGGGCTCTTGCTTTGCTGAGAGAAGTGAGGGGCCAAGCTGGAGCAGTCTGTGGAGGTAGTAAGGCTCAGCCCACGATACAGCAAGGCCGGGAGGCTTCTTTAAAGCCTTCCAGCAGCCCTCGTCCATTAGGGAGGACCCAGGTTGGAACCTGCCCAGGGCACCCTGCAGCCCTGCCCTGCCCCTCCGTTGCTCCAGCTGTGAACAAATGTGTCTGATGAGGGAAGATGCTACCCCTAAGACTTGCCAGGACGGAGCGAGCTGCCGAGAAAACTAGGTCCAGGTGCCCCCAAATCCTGTTCAGTAAATGGTCCTGGTCTATGCCTGTTTTCTGACTCACGGGTGCCCCCAGAGGGAGAAAGGGGAACAGTTCACCGATGCGGCCACCTCTGCCATTTTTTGGTATTTCTCGCCCTCTAGTGGCCATGCAGTGTTGTTCTTTCTGAATGCAAACCCAGGCTCTCGGCTTCTGGCTCAATTCAGGAGATTGCCTCAAGCATTTACTGAGCGCCTGCTGGATGCCACACCCTAGGATAATCACTGTGTGAGGTGCAGGGGGAACAAGAAGGGCCTGCCCTCGAGGATCTGTGGATCAGATCAGCACAGTTAAGTTGGTTTTGAGCACGGAGCAGGGAGAGTTTAATTCCACTGGGGAATTGGAGACCATCTCAGAAAGGTGGAGATGGCTCAGAAGGGAGGTGTGGGAGGAGGGGAGGGGAGGGGGTATCCAGAGAGAAACCTGAGCTAGAAAAGTCATCTGCACCTTCTGGACGCTGTGGTGCTGGAGCTGAGGGAGGAGGGCGTGGTGAACTCGCTTGGAAGAGCACTACCCTTTAGAAAATCAGAGCCACTGAAGGTGGTTCAGCTGTGGGATCACTGGCTGTTCTAAAATGAGCGGGTCCCTGCGTGAGGACTATCAGGAACCTGGATATATGCAGAACGCCACATCCACTCTCCCTCCCAGCCCTGGTGTTGTGTGATTCCAGCTCGCCCCTGCTTATAACCCCATGTCCACCCTTCCTCCCTCTGGTCACCCCAGACTGCAGGCTGCTTTCCTGGACACACGTGTGACCATACACGTCTTCTTGTGCTCCTTCAGTTACTTCCAAGACCTTCACGGCAAAGTCGCTCCTCCTCACTATGACAGCCCGTGGCCTCTGAGGTCCTGGCTCAGCCTCCATCTGCCCTGTGCAGGCCCACACTCTCTTCATGTGGAACTGTTGGCTGTCATTCAAAACGCAATACCTTCAACAGCAGCCGGCCTTTATGAATGCAGCCCACCTGCCTTGTTGTTTATTTCTCGGGCTTTCTTCAGTACTCAGGTGCCTTCTCTGCCCACTTGCCTTCATCCCTCTGAGTGCAGCATCACTCCCAGGTGCAAGAACGACCTGGTGTCCCAGGACCCCCTGGACCTAGATCTGTGCTCATAGGTTTAGTTGGGCCATTTGTCTTTTTTTCTTTCTTTTTTTTTTTTTTTGTAGATACAGGATATTGCTCTGCACCCAGGCCAGAGTACAATGGCACAATCACAGCTCACTGCAGCCTCAAACTCCCAGTCTCAAACAATCCTCTCGCCTCAGCCTTCTGAGTAGCTGGGACTACAGGCAAGAGCCCCTATGACCAGTTAATTTTTATTTTTTTATTTCTAGGGAGATAGGGTCTTGCTATTTTGCCCAGTCTAGTCTCAAACTCCTGGCCTGTAGTGATCCTTTTGCCTCAGCCTTCCAAAGTCCTGTGATTACAGTTGTGAGCCACCATGCCCAGCCCTTTTCTACCGTAATTATTTGTCTACATGTTTCTCCCCTCCCCAGCCCTCCCCCTCAACCAAGACAGGAGCTTGGAAACGGGTCTTACGTTTCTGTTTGCTAACAGTACCTGCTTCTGTTCCTGGCCCGTGAAGATGCCCCAAAGTTTAAGTGTAGACCATGAATGATTTAAATAGCACAAGAATCTACATCTGTCAAGCAGCTGTGAGGACTGATCTCCATAGAATCACGGGGGAACCTTCACAAGTACAGATGCGAGACCCACTCACCCCATACCTAGAGAACCAGAAGGCCTGGGCGTGAGATCTTTTTACTCACCCCTGGTGATTCTGATCCTGGCGCCAGCCCTGCTCAATGACTCATGATTGAGAAGCACTCTTCTGGAAGGCCTTTATGCATGGGTCAGACTATGTGTGTGTGTGTGTGTGTGTGTGTGTGTGTGTGTGTGTGTGTGTGTCTGCACATGTGCACACATATATGTATTTACATTAAATGTTCAAACATTTTGAATATATAGCAGAATAGATAATATTACAGGCGATGGCATGCCCATCACCCAAATATGAAATGTTAGCATTTTGCAAATTTTGGTTCCAATCTTTTCCTTTTGCTTTTGCTTATTTTTGTTTGAAAAATCAGGCATTACAAATAAAGTTAAAATCCCACCTCATCCTCCTGTCCCCTTCCCTTTGCCTCTTTCAAATGCCCACTGTCCCTAGGAGGCTCATCAGGACCCATCTGTAGCCCACCAAATGCTCTTTCTCTACAGGGCCCTCCAGGACCCCCTGGTGTCCCAGGCCCCCCTGGACCGGGAGGTTCTCCGGTAAGACTGGCTTTGATTTTCTACAGGGGCTCTTAGATGGTGGTTTCCTGGCCTGTGGGACCTGGGGACATCTTTGTGAATGGCCTCTTGTCTTTTATCCACCCAAGTCCAGTGCAAAAACACACACAGGAGGACCCCGACACGTAGAACCGCCAGCTTCTGGACTCTCCGACCTTCGGAACCCTTAGGTTAGAGTATCACTGGAGCTAATGTGGCACTTTGGTGGCTGCCTCCAGAGTCCAGCATGTAGAAGGCATGTTAGCCTGGGGTTGCCCATTCGGATGTCTTTTTGTAGTTTGTGATTTGGCTTTGAGGCAAAACAGAGGACCCGGGCAAGCATTTGCTAACATTTCCCCTCCCATCTTTTGGGGCTGCTGAAAAAGTGTCCTGAAAGTGGGCATGGGGGAGTGGGGAGAATCCACACCCACCTACGGAGTGGGTCAGGCCCTGCCATCAGCAGAGGGAGGCAGCTCCCTCTGTCCCGGCAGGTGGCATTGGATAGGAAGGACGCCCCGACTGCAGGCCGCACAAGCCACGGACGTGTCAACTTCAGAGGTGCAACAACTCCGCGTTTCACAGCGGATGACCAAGGACAGTAGAGGCCCCAGGGTGCCCTCCTCAGACCCAGAGGCCTGGGCCCATGCCAGGAAAGAGGTTGAGTCAATGATCTGATCTCTGAACAGGCCAGGCTAACAGGGTCCATGTGGTCCCCTTTCAGGGTTTGCCTGGAGAGATCGGCTTCCCGGGAAAGCCTGGACCTCCTGGGCCCACGGTGAGTGTTCGGAAACATCTTCCTGCTCCCCTCCTCCCTCTCCCCATTGCTCTGGGGGGAGCACTGAGCCCTTGCAGCTGGCCCAGAGCCACTTTCCTAGAGCTGAGGACTCCTTGGCCAGCAAGGCCTGCAGCCCCGGAGCTCAGCTGGGTCTTCTTTCTGTGGTGGCTCACTCGTGCTAGTGCCCTGTCTGTGGGAAGGCTCCCTGGGTGCCCTGGCCAGGGTGCGGATTAGGACCACAGTCCCTAGGCCACTGACCTTTCTCTTTTCACCAAAAGACACATTCAAGAGTCCTTTGCTGCTGAAGGCATGACCGCTTGTCCTTGAGGAATACCCAGAGGGGACCAGAAGCAACAGGCGGGGAGCTGTGTGGCAGCCCTTCCCATTACGATCCTGATCATGTTTTCTCCCTTGCAAACTGAGAGACCTGGGGGATCTTAGGGGGCAGGTGGAGCTTAGAAAACATTAATGTCTCCCCAGATAGGAGGGGCACAGTTAAAGTTGGCTTGCAGCTCTTTAGGGCAGGATGATGGATGACGTGGGCTGAGACCTGGGTAGATCTCATGATCTACCCTCAGGGAGGCCCCTGGGCCACCTTAAAGGGATTTCCTTACAGCTAGTTCTCCCTCATTGAGCCCAGATGGGGAAGGCCCCAGCTGGAAGGCTCCTGATGCTGGAGGAGGGGTGAGGCGGAGGTGAAGCAGATTGGGTAACACATGGGGCAGGTCTCCCCACTTCTCCATGGAGCACAGATCCATGGGAGAATGTGGATCAAGGCGCCCAGGGGGCCTGTGGTCGTGGTAACACCAGCGTCCTCCCCAGCTCTGTTGCTCCCCAGTGCAGCATGCCAAAGGGTACTGGACATGAATTCAGTGCCGCGCTGGGCACTCAGGTGATCTGATTGCGTGTGGGAGGAACACTGGCTGAATGGCACCATCACCGGCAAACGTTTCTAAACACACAGTCAACTGCAACGTCACCAATAAACATTTTCCATGAGTGACGGGATCATCTGAAAGCTCAAACACATGAGCAATCCCATCCGATCCAAAGGGCTCATCAGAAAGTATGCAGATCGGTGTGAACATTCAGAGGAGGGGAGCGTGTTAGAGGAAGAAAGACACTGTGAGCATTTCTCATCTGTCAAGATGCAGCTGTAGCCACAGAAGGTTTGAAGCACAGCTTCTGGCCTTGGCATTTGCTCCTGGTCAAGATCCTGCTTTCATTGACTCAGGCAGCCTTAATCCCCTCAAAAGCCCTTCCTCCTGCCTTCCTAAAGCCTTGGCTTCCAGGACACCTGCTCTGTGCAGGCGGGGCTGTCTTTTCACTAGTCGCCAGTCCAAGCTGGAGGCACAGGGAGAGATGAGTCAAATTGGGTGGCAGCAGGTTCTGTGGGTGGAAGAATCACCAGGGTTATAAAAAACGTTCACTTTTGAACAGCACTAATAGCTCTGAAAGCAATAGCACAGAAGATATTCCGCTGGGGGAAATGATTTCCCTAATGTCAGTCATGGGGAAGAGTGTGTGTGCCTGACACATTTTTTTTTTCCTTCAACTTTTAAGTTCCAGGGTACGTGTGCAGGATGTGCAAGCTTGTTACATAGGTAAACATGTGCCATGGTGGTTTGCTGCATAGATCAACCCATCACCTGGGTATTAAGCCCAGCATACATTAGCTATTCTTCCTGATGCTCTCCCTCCCCCTGCACACCTCCCTCCACACCCCAACAGGCCCCAGGGTGTGTTTTCCACCACCCCCCCCCCGCCCCCATGTGACCCGATATCATTTAAGGCACAGAGGAAAAGGAGAAGATGAAGTGTCTCTGGTGTAGTGGAAGGAGCCTGGAGGTGGAGTCCGTTAAACCTTGCAGGTCCCAGTCACCAGCTCTGTGACCTTGAGTGAGTCACTCAGCCTGCAGAGCCTTCGTCTCCTCACCTGCAAACAGCTGCAGTAACACCTGTCCTGCCATATCCTCATGGTAGAAGGAAACTCCTGGTGTTGGAAAGTATAACGTGGAGCTCCTCAGTGCTGGCATTCGAAATAACAGGCAGTAATGCCAAACCATGCTGAGAGATTGAGGTTTTGCTTTTTTGAAGGACAAGAGGAAGGGAGGATAGCAGTGGGAAGGAAGATACAAGATGGCAAAAAGATTCTGGAGAGGAGAGAGGAGGAGCAGTGTGGACATTGTTGTCCCCAGGGCCTCCTGGAAGCTGAGGGTAGAAATAGAACCATCAGAGCAAGATTTGGCAGATGTCCTCCCACGCCCCCACCCTCCATGCATGGCCAGTGTACTGAAAATCAGACATTGCCCAGAGGGTGATATTTGCTTCAGTAGTAACAAAGGGAAATGTGGTCAGACAGAGACCACAGTCGCTCTGGAGACAGGGCCCTGCTAATCAAAGAGCAGACGCCCGAGCCTCCTGCATTCTGGCTGCAAAAACAGCTCCTGGTTTGAAACAACTTAATGTAAGCCTTTCCTAAATATGCCTTTCCTTTTTATTTATGTTTTCCCCTCTTGGCCCAGGGACCCCCTGGAAAGGACGGGCCAAATGGACCACCAGGTCCGCCAGGAACCAAGGTTGGTCACTGATGCGGTTGGCACCAGTTTGGGAACCCAAAACACAGAAACTAAAGAGATGCTTGATTGTTGGTGAATTCTACAACAAGTCAATTGCCTGGGTCTTCGATCAGGATTCAGTTGAAATGTTTGGATTTATGGGGTCAGATGGGGGAAGGCTCCTTATTTATTCTCAGATAACTGCAGAAGGATTTAGAAGCCCTAGGCTTTAAAATTTAGCCAGGCACAGTGGCTCACAGCTGTAATCCCAGCATTTTGGGAGGCCTAGGCAGGAATTAGCCTGGCATGGGGGTGGGCACCTGTATTCCCATTCACTTGGGAGGCCAAGGTGGGAGGATTGCTTGAGCCCAGGAATTTGAGGCTGCAGTGAGCTATGATTGTGCCATTGCACTATAGCCTGGGCAACAGAGAGAGACCTGTCTCAAAAAAAAAATTTGATCTGTTAGAAATACGTTTATTTATGTATTTATTTTATTTTCAAGGAGGAAAACTTCTAAATACTCTTACTAACATAATAAGAGATTTCAATTTTAACAATGTTCTGGTGGGGCTTATGGTAGAATTATTAAGGTAAGAGTCAAAGGTTAAATAGCATAAAACTGGGGAGCAAATACAGGTTTCAATACTTTAAATGAATTATTATACAACCATACCAGTATTTTAGCAAATGAACAAATGAACTTTATTCTTTCCTGTGAGCACACCCAGACTCAAGTATGCACCTCAACAGTCCTTGAAAGGCAACTTGGAAAGGCAACTGTTGAATATTACGGGAAAATGTGTTGTCATTTTTCAATAAACAGACTTACAAGGTCAACTTCATGGCAAAATACAGAATAAGTGTGGATTTAATTTAGTTTTCTAGGCATTGAATGTAAATATTGTGAATTTTTTTCTTTCCCGTCTTTTGAGACAAAGGATCATGGCTGACCAAGTATTTTTTTTATTCTTAGAAACACTTATGCAACATCTTCCTTTCTTCTAAATCTCTCAATAAGAGAGAATGCCAATTCTCCTCAATTATATTTTTCTAAATCAAAATTACAGCTATTGAATATGGAACCTAGGAGGCTGAATGAGCTGCTGTGTTTGATGACTGTGGTTAGGTAATCGCAGAGTTGAAGCAGTTCAAAACCACCCGAGTGCAGGTAGTTCTCTTCCTTCCAACCTGTGCCTAGTACTTTGTGTTGTTTAATCCAAGCATGGCCCGTCTCCTGTTAACTTTGCTCTGTATTCCTTCCAGGGAGAACCAGGAGAAAGAGGGGAAGATGGTCTGCCTGGAAAACCAGGCCTTCGGGTATGGACTTTGCCTCTTTTTCCCATTATGCTTGCTATTCTGAGTGGTCTATTTGGGGTGGTGTGTGAATCTCGACTTACCATAAGCATAGCGTCTATATCAGCTGGGACCTGGCAGGAGACACATCAGATACTTGAAAAGGGGCAGGGTTAAGGGCTCCAACCAGGATGACAACATGAGGCTGGCAACAACAGAACCAACACCACCTCTAGGACAGAAGGCACCAGAGGAGGGAGTGGTTCCTCGGAACCAAGATCTGCAGCTGGAGAAGAAGGCACTATCCCCCACGAGAGCCGGAAAGAGCCCCCACCCCCTTGAGAGCCGTGGCCTTGGGAAGAAGAATATCATCAGCGTCTGGCTTATCCTGGCAGGGAGGGAGTGAGAGGAACAGATACAAGTGCTCGCTCGCTCTCTCTGAACTGTGTTCTACCTTCACTGCGATGCTTCCTAATCCCTTGACCCTACAGAAAGCCAGAAGGCAAGGAAAGCTGGCAGATGCAATCCGTAGAGTTCAGCCTTCTCGGGCCAGCTTCCAGTGGGTGGTGAGGTGTGAAAAATGGACCTGAGGGGGAAATGGAGGCTTCCCAGCATGTGACTTGGACAGGGCAGCCCCTGTGAGTGGAGAGCCCTCAAGTGCCCTGTGTTGATGGTCATGCTTTGCCCAGGCCCCCTCCAGGAGTGACTGCTGCCCTGTGAGGCTTTTCTGCTGGGCCATGTGTGTGTGGTGTGAGTGTGCACGTGTGCATTTGTGTGTGTGCACGCATGGAAACCTGTGGTGCTGAGGAGACAGTGGCCAGACAGGAGATTGCGGGGAGTTCTGCTCCTCCCGCCCTCCACCCACAGGGCTCCCGCTCTACTGGGGTATGAGCTACTGAAACCCAGTGACCGGGTCTTAGTCAACTCTGCACCTCCCACTGCCCGCCCACAGGCAAGCACTGCTTAGATACACAGTACGGGCTTGCTAGGTGGAGAATGCATGATCAAATTCAGCCCAGCCAGAGCACAGGAGTGGCCTGGATCCCACACAGTGGGGGAAGCTGACCCCGTGGGAGGGCATACCTCAGGGCATCCGTTTGCTGGCCAGGGAAGGTGCTGGTGGGCACATCCCGGGCCCTTATGTTCCCTATTGTTTCACTCTTTCATAAAGTGGTCATTTTTAAAAGACCCAATTAAAACCAAGCAGAAAAACACACAGATTAAATTGCATCCAAGCTGTCTCAAGCACACCCAGGTTGACTCAAACTGTGGAAAGAGTATTGCCAAGAGCCACTATGAGCCTCCCACTTCCTGGATTCCAGATCCGAGGAACTCAGCCCTCATGGCCCCCATGAATGTACCAGTGTGTACCAATAAGTCCCCCCATGGCCACCGACAGACACTATATCCTTCTTATTTTAAGATTCAATATTGACATTTAAATATATGTCTACACCGATCCCCATGACATTGAAATGTGATGTCATGTAATTTGCTGTGTGTTTTTTTTTCATGCCTGTCCTGAGGTGGTTGTGTGTGTAGGGGAGTGAATCACATGGTCTTAAAAGTACTCGGGCCACCTTTCAGTGTTTGATTGATTGGATTGAAATTCTATCATCTTCCAGAAAGGATTGAAAGCATTTATCTAGGTTTGCTGTTCTTGACTTCACGAATTTCATGGAGTCAACCATACCTTATGGTTGTGTTTCCTCAAATTTGTGAATTGGCAAATCCTTCTGGGTTTATACTGTATGAACCCCACCTTTCTATTCAGTAATGAAGCAATCCATTCCCATCGAGTTTCTCATGCAGGGTTCTGTAGATGAAGGGGATTGATTACGACAATTACTGGGCTAAAATTATAGGGACCCTCTGGGATTACTCCAGCTTTTCAATCTATGTGTTTTATATTTCTGATCATCACTCATGGTTGAAAGATTCAGAGAAGCCTACTGCTTTATCTCATGTGTCATTTTTATTCAATTTCTAAGGCTCTGTGTTCAAAACATTTCTCTGAAAAGTTTAAAACTGAATTTCTCCGGTCATGACGCTTTTCCAACATACTCATAGTCCTAGAGGAGCCCTGGCAGAGGGTCTTGTTACTTTATTTTGACAAAGCATCAACTGAAGATAAAAATTATTTTCCAAGATGATGATGACTAAGTCATGGATGGCAGATTTGTGAAAGTCCACTTAGAGGGTAAAGCTGTCTGCGGGATGAGCAGAGGCATTGACATTTTGAGGCTCACTTCGAGAATTCAAGAAGATACCGTTTCACCTCCATTGTGCCTTTGGATTGGTGTTCACGACCCAAATTCAGGGAGGACTTCAGATGGTCTTCAATTTTTTTTTTAAACCAAACTCAGCCCCTTATCCTTTCTCAGCATGTAAGAAGCAACTCCCACTGCAAATGTGCTACTATTCTAGCAGATTGAAAGCAACAATTTGAGTGACGAGTATTTGCACAATTCTGGTTAGAGCAATTCTTACTAATTGTGCTTGTAAACATTGGGAATTGATGGGAGCATCGGAGTGTGTCTAGAATTTTAATAAGTGCTGACTCCAGATGTGTGACACCAGCGCTACAGGATAAAATGTGTGCTTACACTAAGCCACACTTTTAATTACTTCTTTTTTTTTTGTCTTTCTCTCCAATAAGTTGGTAGTTCTGGCCTTTGGTACCAACTGAGTCTGGCATAGCTGCACAAAAAATCTTTATAGCCTGCATACCACCTATTCATTCATTCTTTCGTGCATCCATGCATTCATGAGAAAACCACATTTCCTTATTAAAATCTACACTAAAGGTTTTAGTAAATAGCATATGAATATTAGAAATACATTGTCATTCAAGAAGCTAGTTATCTTAAAGACACATGGTTGGATAAAGATGATAGTCCGCGCTCACCACCACCATCATCATCGCAAAGCTCTTTTCATCAATGATTTGTAAGAACCTGGGAAGTGCAGCAGCCTGATTGATGCTCTTGGATCAGAGATAAAGCCCCTCTGGCCCTGTGTTCCCCACTTCATCCGGACCACAAAGTGCTAATTAGGAACTGTTGTATTCCTCCAAGGGGACTAAACCTGGCCAACACAGTGAGACTCTTTCTCTACAGAATTTTTTTTTAATCATTTGTGAGTGGTGGTATGTGCCTATAGTCCCATCTACTCAGGAGGTTGAGGTGGGATAATTTTTTGAGCCCAAGAGCTCAAGGCTGCAATGAGCTATGACTGCATCACTGTACTAGCCTGGGTGACAGAGTGAGACCCTGTCTCTAAAAAAACTAAAACTAAAAATAAAAAAATAAATTCTGGCCGGGCGCAGTGGCTCACTCCTGTAATCCCAGCACTTTGGGAGGCCGAGGCAGGCTGATCACGAGGTCAGGAGATCAAGACCATCCTGGCTAACATGGTGAAACCCTGTCTCTACTAAAAATACAAAAAATTAGCTGGGCGTGGTGGCAGGCACCTGTAGTCCCAGCTACTCGGGAGGCTGAGGTGGGAGAATGGTGTGAACCCGGGAGGCAGAGCTTGCAGTGAGCCGAGATGGTGCCACTGCACTCCAGCCTGAGTGACTGAGTGAGACTCCGTCTCAAAAAAAATAAAAAATAAAAAAAAATTAAAAAATAAATTCTAATGGGACAGTTCTAAGAGTTGTTTCTTTTGGGGAAAGCAAAAGACTATATGAGAAAGTGGATTCTGCTCTGCAAAAATGCTAAACACTTTGGTCTTCAGAGCCCATGACTCTTGGGCCTCTAACCATGCCGTATATTTGAAAATTAAGGGTTGTGGCTGGCAGGTGCTATGAATGTGTGAGGACAACTGGGAAATGGCAGTCATCTCTTTAAAGTGAATGGAGAATAATGGGGTATGTTTTATTGCATTTTCAGGGAGAAATTGGGGAGCAGGGCCTGGCAGGCCGACCTGGAGAGAAGGTCTGTTTGTTTGTGCTTTTATTCATTCATTTTATTCATTCATTCATTGTTATACGCTACATCTTGTATAAATTATTTAGATGCCAAGAGGAATTAATCCTGGTTTTTGGGAGCTCACTATATGTCCAGGATAAACTGGACATTGAAGAACAATTGAACAGATGTCACGAGTGGTGGCCTGCAGGTGTTGGGGGCATAGGAGAGGGCTTCCCAGACTTGGGGACTGTCAGAAAGGATGCTGAGAAGGTGACATTGTTGCTGAGTCCTAAAGAAACAGGAAGGGTTAGACACCAGGAGAGGCAAAATAAGGGTTCCTGGGAAAGGAAACAGCTGAAGTAGACAAGAGCTTGGGGATGCCCTAGTGAACGAAATTCTCTAGAATTCCGCTTTCTCCACTGCATTGCTTTCCATGTGATGTCCACTAAGCCAGAACATCTCCAGTTCCTGGAGAGCAGGAACTGAGAGCACATGGCCTGCAGCTTGGCCCCTGGGAGAGCCTTCCTGTTGACGCCTTGTGAATATTTTGTTCTCACAGGGAGAAGCAGGCCTCCCAGGGGCTCCAGGCTTCCCAGGTGTGAGAGGAGAGAAAGGAGACCAGGTAAGTGTGGCAGCTTCCTTCCTCCCACACAGGAACCTCGCCCATCTCCACAGAGAGCAGCCCCCTGTGGAGTCTCAGTCCCTCGGGACAGTCATAATTTTGACTGGGTGAAGAGTGTATTTCTCAGTGTTGATGGAAGGGACGGGGAAGGGGATAAGACTACTTGGGTCCTTGAGCTGGGACAAAGGACCATTGCTGGGAGATGTCTCTGGAAAGGGCAGAGCATTTTCAGAGGAGGCAGATGGGGCTGAGGGGTGGAAGGCACCATCTGTCAGGGGACAAATGGAGAATGAGGTGCTTCACGCCTAACTGACTAGTTCCCCTCTGAGTTACACTTCACTGTGGCCACTTTGCTGATAAGGCAAGGACAAGTGAGAGAGAGAAATATATACATGTATGTTTTTCCAAAGTCATGTTGCTCTTACCTTGAAGAGGCAGGAATTCAGCTCGGTTTGGGTTCTAATGTTTTCTAATTTTATCTTTTATTATAGGGAGAAAAAGGTGAACTGGGACTTCCAGGACTGAAAGGTGACCGAGGTGAAAAGGTAGGAGAAACTTGCTCTCATTCTGACCATCAATTATTATTAGTTGGGTTTTTCTAAAGGAAGAGATTTTCTGCAGAATATACTCTATCTTTTTTTTTTTTTTTTTTTTTTTAAAATGAGAGTCTCTCTCTGTCATCCAAGCGGGAGTGCAGTGGCATGATCTCGTCTCACTGCAACCTCTGCCTCCTGGGTTCAAGCCATTCTAGTGCCTCAGCTTCTCAAGTAGCTGGGATTACAGGCATGCCCCACCACACCTGGCTAATTTTTGTGTTTTTAGTAGAGACGAGATTTCTCCATGTTAGCCAGTCTGGTCTTGAACTCCTGTGCAACTCCTGACCTCAGGTGATCTGTCTGCCTTGGGTTTCCAAAGTGCTGGGATTACAGGCATGAGACACCATGCCCGGCCTGTACTGAATCTTTACATTTCCGCAGAATTTAGTTGCGTTCATGACTCCACAGCTGCTTTTTGAGAAAATAATACGCTAGACATAAACCTCAAACTTTATTGTTTGCAATTATAAACTTACAAAGAAGATAATAGTATTGGAGTTGACACCTTCATCTCACT
The DNA here is from genome assembly GCF_000001405.40 of Homo sapiens. Lineage (NCBI taxonomy): Eukaryota > Metazoa > Chordata > Mammalia > Primates > Hominidae > Homo > Homo sapiens. The sequence goes on along the minus strand of NC_000008.11, from coordinate 138,715,113 downwards.
ATCCATCCGTCCATCCACCCTTTTGTGCCTGTGACATGCAAGCACTGCCTGAGCTCCTGTCCTGTGCTGAGTGCTCTGTGTCGCCTGTTTACGTTCAATCTCTCTCTGAACACCACTGCCCCTTTCACAGGTATAATAGACATGATTAGCCCAGGTGTGAGGGCAATGGAGGCACCAGCGGGGTGTGAAGAACGAGCTGAGCAAAAACCCCATGTGCCCTGACTCCTATATCCTTTCCCCTGCATCGTTCATGAGCCCAGCGTGTCATTGCTTGTGTGGTTGACCCTGGAGCCAGCCTGAGTCCAGGCAGACTGTATCTAAATCAAGGGGGCATCATGGCATTTGTGGAGCCCTACTGTGTGCCCTGAAGTGCACAGAGAGGCTTCGTTGGCATTGTCTTCCAGGCAGACACCATGTCCATCAGGAGCAGCACAATCAAAATGGACAGTGGAAGAGAATTCAATGACAGAGTAATTGCAGGTTGTGGACAGTGCTTAGGGAAGCCGATGGGATGTGGCCATACCCTCCAGGACTAGGAAGAGCAAGAGTGGGAAAGGACAAGGGGAGGGAGCTGTCCCAGAGTCCAGAGAGGCTGGCAGCCATAGAAGGAGCCTGGCAGTCATTCTGGGCAGAAAAACAGACAAAACCAGTTCTCCTTGGCCTGACATCCTCAGCATCTCATCCCGTCCTTCTCTGTCCTCTCCATCTCCTACTAGACCACTGGGATCCAGGGGATGAGGTCAATGAGACCACTGAGGTTGCCTCCTGGGATGGAGAAAGGAACAGGAGTGGATATAAAGGGACAAACAGAAAACAGCCACTGGTATCCATAAGCGTGTTTTGCACGTGAAAAGAGCTGAGACTCAGAGAGATTTTGATACACGCCTAACCTACAGAACCACGGGTGGGACTGCATGGCCAGCCCAGCCCACAGGGTCTGACTCTGATTGCTTTGGAGGGAGGCTCCAGACTGCCACTTGCCTTTGGCAACATGCGGGCAGGTTCAAGGAGGAAGAATGCACTTTTTAAATCACAGTGTAACAGAGGATGTATGCCTACTCTCTCCAACCTTCTTTTACAAAAACAGGTTGGAGAGTATGATGAACCCTAACTTGGCACACGTGGTCCGGGAAGGAAAGTCCCTTACTATTTTCACCTCCTAAGGACTTGGATCCCTGGTCCCAGCCCCTTCTTAGAAGAGCAGCCCCCACTCAGGAGCCAAGCCAGCACCCAGGATAGTGTCTGGTCTAGAGGTGCAAGTAGGTACTTCATCTATAATATTTCAGCTCATGTCAAAGCCCCAGAGAAACCTGTGCTGATCAGAAAACATAATGGAATTTTTAGAGATCTGCTTGGTGAGACAACTGCAGTTGCATGAACCCCCTACGGCGGGGCGGTGGGGGTGGACTCATAGGGTGTGATGAGGTTTTGTTGTGGATGGAGTCAGGGGTGAGGCTTTAGACTGGAGTCAGCATGATTTGGTCAGAATTTGTCCACTGGAAAATCGCTGATTAGTTTGACACATGCGTGAGCTGTTGCCAAAACCGCACATGCACGAGATGTTTGTCCACGGGCCTATTTGTCTGAAACACAAGATCCTTTGCTAAAGCAGAGTGAGCTTGAACAGCGTGCGGGGAAATCATGGGTTCCGTATACTCAGTATGTTTTGCAAGTTGCAATTTCTTGAGTTTTCCGTTGCTCACTCTGGTGATCTTCATAACAATGAACTATGAAGTCATTTTCGTCTTAACCCCCAGTTTATAGGTGAAAGAACTAAGGCATAGAGAGATGTACTGTCTTACCCACACTCACAGAACCAAAGCTTGGCTGGGACCACATGCTGACTCCAGGCTAAAGCACCGCCCCCCCACCCCATCCACGACAAAACCTCATCACACCCCAGGAGTCCACCAGACATAGGGGGTTCACACAACTGTAGTTCGTCAGTCGAAGGGCTCTTTTGCCAAGCAGGTCTCTAAAAATTCCACTATGTTTTCTGCCCAGGCTTACAGAGTGAGGGTGGGTGTGAGTCCAGACAGTTGGGCTCTAAAATACGTGCTTTCAACCACAATGACTGACATCCTTTCTACTAGATTCTAACTTGTGCTTCTAGTTCTTACCCTTTCACCAAAGATACGTCCATTTGCTCTGACAGTCATTGTCTAAGAAGACTGATAGAACACGTACCCTCTGCTGATAGAACATGTACCCTCTGCTGGTAGAACCCTCACTCTCTGTTTGTAGAATACTTACCCTCTGCTGGTAGAACCCTTACCCTCTGCTGGTAGAACACTTACCCTCTGCTGATAGAATACATACCCTCTACTGATAGAACATGTACCCTCTGCTGATAGAACATGTACCCTCTGTTGGTAGAACACTTGCCCTGTGCTGGTAGAACCCTCACTCTCTGTTTGTAGAATACTTACCCTCTGCTGGCAGAACCCTTACCCTATGCTGATAGAACACATACCCTCTGCTGATAGAACATGTACCCTCTGCTGAGGAGAACATATGCTCTCTGCTGGTAGAACCCTTACCCTCTGCTGATAGAACACGTACTCTTTGCTGATAGAACATGTACTCTCTGCTGGTAGAACACATACACCCTGCTGATAGATGCTGATAGAACCATTACCCTCTACTGGCTCTAAAGGGGGTACAGGCATGGACAGGGTTGGGAGTCCCACCCTGAGTAAGGTGCTGTACCAGGCACTTGCTTTTCTTGCTGTTTCATGCTCAGTTCTGACCAAATGCACCTCTAGTTCCACGGCAACTTTATAAACACCTGCCCCAAACCCCTCATAGGAGTTTATTTGTGCTTGCCTGCAGCTTAGTAGAAAGAGCACCATTCTTGGACCCATAATGCTGGCCTGGAGTATGGTCCTGGTTCTATCTGCTGTGTGGCATCTTCCCTGACCTTCCTGTGCCTTGGTTTGCCAGTCCAACAAGGACCCTCAGAGTTGTTAAAGAGCATAAGGATTTCCTGTTGGTGGATGACTTGTGGCAGGCTCACTGAGTGCAGGACTGTCCTGAGCACCGTCTGTGTAGGGACTTAGGTAATCTCAGGCCAACCCCATGAGGGGTCACTGCTGTCAACAACATCCCCACTTGATAGATGAGGAAACAGAGGCACAGAAAAGCTAAGTTGCTTGTGCAGAGCTGCATGAATAGAGGTTTAGAGTCAAGATCTAAACCCTGCCAGTGCACATAGAAAGTCCTGGCTCTTAGCACAGAATGCCACACGCTAGGCCTGCCCTGGGGCTGCCTCAGGAGGAATGGCACCCACACACCCAGAGGGCTCTTGCATCCTTCCTCCTCCTGCATGATGCTTTTCAGGGTGCCCCATTCTCCCAAGTTTACTTTCTCCCCTCCAATTTCCAGATCTTTTTCTGCGCAGGTGCTTTCTGGGCTCCAGGCAGTGTCTCCCATCCTCCTTCTCTGGGGCTGGAGGCTGAGGACTTTGCTCCAGGCAGACTTGCGGTCTATAAATAGAGAGCCCAGAGTGGAAAAGGCTCTGCCTCAGTAAGCCATTCAGGCCTGCTGCTGCCGTGGACTTTTCAGAAATGCAGTTTCTATTTGAGAAACTCATTTCCAGAATGCAAAGGCTTAGCGAGACCATAAAGCCCCTTTGATTACTTGGACGGAATTGCCAGGGCCATGGCAGTCACATTCAAGCTTCCAAAGAATCTGGTTTGCCTTTCTTTTCCTCCAGAGAAATATGTGATAATTGACAATTTTGGTCAGAAAATCCAAAAGAAGACATTAAGGCAACATTGCCCTCTTCTGACTGTGCTTTGCCTGTCTCTGCCTCTGCTTCTCCCTTCACGTCCCCTGTTCTTCCCCATTACTGGCACTTAGGCCCACAGCATCAGGGAAGGGTGTGTGTGATGCTCCTGTTCCAGCAAGGGGCGCTGACAGTCAAACACGTCATGGAGGAGCTGGGATTAGAACCCAGGCCTGTTGCATCAACCCTAACACCCATTGATCCTTCTTAGTCAAGCCTCTTTTCCAAAGGCAGAGAGCCCCCATGGGTCTACCTGCTCCAGCTCGCTGTTCTTCCCTTGTCCACAGCCCTCAGGATGAGGAGGCTATTTCCAAAAGGCAGTCTTCATGCCCTCAGGGTGAGAGACACATCTCTCCTCCAGCCCTCTTCTCATTGATACCCATTCATATATTCAACTGGGAAAACACTTAACTTTGATCATTGGGACATTTTAATGGAGAGTAAATTGGTTTAGATGAGATTGGTTCTGGAGCTTGAGTTCAACAATGTCAGGAAGAGAATTGGGTAAAATCAAATAATACACAGTAACACCAAGAAAGTGCTTTTGTTTCTGAAGCTACTGGAACTTTAGTCAGAGCAATGCCACACAATTGTAAAGGGCATGCATTCTGAGCTTAAAACCAGGTTCGGCCATTTGCAGAATGTGTGACTTAGGGCAGGTTCATTGACATTTTTATGCCTCAGTTTCTTCATCTGTGAAATGGAGATATATATATATAGATAGATAGATAGATAGATTATGGGCATTGCTACAAAGATGAAATGGATTCACACATGGAAACTACTTAAACCAGGAGCTGGAATCAAATGCTAAATAACAATAGAAATAATGGTAGAAAAGGATACAACATTTTATAATCATATTATTGTTGTTGACTAAGGGCGAACTTGTCTCTCTCTAAGCCAACTATATTCAAACATTTTTCTATTTCATAACCATATTTGGAAGGCTTGCAAGAGAGCCAGTCCTGGGCTGGTTCAAGAAGCAGATCTAGACATAGACACCTGTCCCCTGGGACCATGTGGCACACATGAAATGACAGGCTTTGGAAACTGTATCCACTCACCATGGACTGTCTTGCGTGGAGCAGCTCAGTGACGTCCTTTCCTCAGGCCAAATGTAATAACACCGTACTCCTTACGGTCTTGCTCAATCTCTGTGCCATGCTGTGAGCTGTATGTATTATCAGCATCATTGTTCTGCAAAGAGAAAACATGCCAAAGTAGGTAAAATAATTTATAAAATGGTATAGTTAGGTTTCAAGCTCAGGTGATTCAACTCCCAAGCCTGTGTTGCTTATAGGAATGTAACACTGTTCCCCCCAGGTTCCTGAGAAGAGCCCACTCCTTCATGGGGGTGGGGCAGGGCCTGCTGGCATCCCTAGGACAGCTGGACTTCAAATGTGTAATTGTGCTCAGGGCATGTGTGTGAGGATATTTGCTGTAACAAATCAACATTAGTTATGATTGCAATCAGAGGAAAACCACATAAATGTCATCAACAGGAAGATGGATAAGAAATAACTTTATTACCTTTTTTATTATACTTTAAGTTCTAGGGTACATGTGCACAAGATGCAGGTTTGTTAGATATGTGTACATGTGCCATGTTGGTGTGCTGCCACCATTAACTTGTCATTTACATTAGGTATATCTCCTAATGCTATCACTTCCCCCTCCCCCCACCCTACTACAGGCCCCAGTGTGTGATGTTCCCCACTCTGTGTCCAAGTGTTCTCATTGTTCAATTCCCACCTATGAGTGAGAACATGGGGTGTTTGGTTTTCTGTCCTTGCGATAGTTTGCTAAGAATGATGATTTCCAGCTTCATCCATGTCCCTACAAAGGACATGAACTCATCCTTTTTATGGCTGCGTAGTATTCCATGGTGTATATGTGCCACATTTTCTTAATCCAGTCTATCATTGATGGACATTTGGGTTGGTTCCAAGTCTTTGCTATTGTGAATAGTGCTGCAATAAACATACGTGTGCATGTGTCTTTATAGCAGCATGATTTATAATCCTTTGGGTATATACCTAGAAATGGGATGGCTGGGTCAAATGGTATTTCTAGTTCTAGATCCTTGAGGAATCGCCACACTGTCTTCCACAATGGTTGAACTAGTTTACAGTCCCACCAACAGTGTAAAAGTGTTCCTATTTCTCCACATCCTCTCCAGCACCTGTTGTTTCCTGACTTTTTAATGTTCCCCATTCTAACTGGTGTGAGATGGTATCTCATTGTGGTTTTGATTAGCATTTCTCTGATGACCAGCAATGATGAGCATTTTTTCATGTGTCTGTTGGCTGCATAAATGTCTTCTTTTGAGAAGTGTCTGTTCATATCCTTTGCCCATTTTTGATGGGGTTTTTTGATTTTTTTCTTGTAAATTTGTTTAAGTTCTTTGTAGATTCTGGATATTAGCCCTTTGTCAGATGGGTAGATTGTGAAAATTTTCTCCCATTCTGTAGGTTGCCTGTTCACTCTAATGGTAGTTTCTTTTGCTGTGCAGAAGCTCTTTAGTTTAATGAGATCCCATTTGTCAATTTTGGCTTTTGTTGCCATTACTTTTGGTGTTTTAGTCATGAAGTCCTTGCCCATGCCTGTGTCCTGAATGGTATTGCCTAGGTTTTCTTCTAGGGTTTTTATGGTTTTAGGTCTAATGTTTAAGTCTTTAACCCATCTTGAATTAATTTTTGTATAAGGTGTAAGGAAGGGATCCAGTTTCAGCTTTCTACATATGGCTAGCCAGTTTTCCCAGCACCATTTGTTAAATAGGGAATCCTTTTCCCATTTCTTGTTTTTGTCATGTTTGTCAAAGATCAGATGGTTGTAGATGTGTGGTATTATTTCTGAGGGCTCTGTTCTGTTCCATTGGTCTATATCTCCGTTTTGGTACCAGTACCATGCTGTTTTGGTTACTGTAGCCTTTTAGTATAGTTTGAAATCAGGTAGCCTGATGCCTCCAGCTTTGATCTTTTGGCTTAGGATTGTCTTGGCAAAGTGGGCTCTTTTTTGGTTCCCTATGAACTTTAGAGTAGTTTTTTCCAATTCTGTGAAGAAAGTCATTGGTAGCTTGATGGGGATGGCATTGAATTTATAAATTACCTTAGGCAGTATGGCCATTTTCACAATATTGATTCTTCCTATCCATGAGCATGGAATGTTCTTCCATTTGTTTGTGTCCTCTTTTATTTCCTTGAGCAGTGGTTTGTAGTTCTCCTTGAAGAGGTCCTTCATGTCCCTTGTAAGTTGGATTCCTAGGTATTTTATTCTCTTTGAAGCAATTGTGAATGGGAGTTCACTCGTGATTTGGCTCTCTGTTTTTCTGTTATTGGTGTATAGGAATGCTTGTGATTTTTGCACGTTGATTTTGTATCCTGAGACTTTGCTGAAGTTGCTTCTCAGCTTAAGGAGATTTTGGGCTGAGATGATGGGGTTTTCTAAATATACAATCATGTCATCTGCAAACAGGGACAATTTGACTTCCTCTTTTCCTAATTGAATACCCTATATTTCTTTTTCCTGCCTGATCGCACTGGCCAGAACTTCCAACACTATGTTGAATAGGAGTGGTGAGAGAGGGCATCCCTATCTTGTGCCAGTTTTCAAAGGGAGTGCTTCCAGTTTTTGCCCATTCAGTATGATATTGGTTGTGGGTTTGTCATAAATAGCTCTTATTATTTTGAGATACGTCCCATCAATACCTAATATATTGAGAGTTTTAGCATGAAGCGTTGTTGAATTTTGTCAAAGGCCTTTTCTGCATCTATTGACATAATCATGTGGTTTTTGTCTTTGGTTCTGTTTATATGATGGATTACATTTATTGATTTGCATATGTTGAACCAGCCTTGCATCCCAGGGATGAAGCCAATTTGATCATGATGGATAAGCTTTTTGATGTGCTGCCGGATTCGGTTTGCCATATTTTATTGAGGATTTTTGCATCGATGTTCATCAGGGATATTGGTCTAAAATTCTCTTTTTTTGTTGTGTCTCTGCCAAGCTTTGGTATCAGGATGATGCTGGCCTCATAAAATGAATTAGGGAGGATTCCTTCTTTTTCTATTGATTGGAATAGTTTCAGAAGGAATGGTACCAGCTCCTCTTTGTACCTCTGGTAGAATTCGGCTGTGAATGCATCTGGTCCTGGACTGTTTTTGGTTGGTAGGCTATTAATTATTGCCTCAATTTCAGAGCCTGTTATTGTTCTATTCAGGGATTCAGCTTCTTCCTGGTTTAGTATTGGGAGGGCGTATGTGTCCAGGAGTTTATCCATTTCTTCTAGATTTTCTAGTTTATCTGCATAGAAGTGTTTATAGTATTCTCTGATGGTAGTTTGTATTTCTGTGCGATCGGTGGTGATATCCCCTTTATCATTTTTTATTGCATCTATTTGATTCTCTCTCTTCTCTTCTTTATTAGTCTTGCTAGTGGTCTATCAATTTTGTTGATCTGTTCAAAAAACCAGCTTCTGGATTCATTGGTTTTTTGAAGGGTTTTTTGTGTCTCTATCTCCTTCAGTTCTGCTCTGACCTTAGTTATTTCTTGCCTTCTGCTAGCTTTTGAATGTGTTTGCTCTTGCTTCTCTAGTTCTTTTAATTGTGATGTTAGGGTGTCAATTTTAGATCTTTCCTGCTTTCTCTTGTGGGCATTTAGTGCTATAAATTTCCCTTTACACACTGCTTTGAATGTGTCCCAGAGATTCTGGTATGTTGTGTCTCTGTTCTCATTGGTTTCAAAGAACATCTTTATTTCTGCCTTCATTTTGTTATGTAGCCAGTAGTCATTTAGGAGCAGGTTGTTCAGTTTCCATGTGGTTGAGTGGTTTTGAGTGAGTTTCTTAATCCTGCATTCTAGTTTGATTGCACTGTGGTCTGAGAGACAGTTTGTTATAATTTCTGTTCTTTCACATTTGCTGAGGAGTGCTTTACTTCCAACTATGTGGCCAATTTTGGAATGAATGAGATGTGGTGCTGAGAAGAATGTATATTCTGTTGATTTGGGGTGGAGAGTTCTGTAGATGTCTATTAGGTCTGCTTGGTGCAGAGCTGAGTTCAAGTACTAGATATCCTTGTTAACTTTCTGTCTTGTTGATCTGTCTAATGTTGACAGTGGGGTGTTAAAGTCTCCCATTATTATTGTGTGGGAGTCTAAGTCTTTTTGTAGGTCTCTAAGGACTTGCTTTATGAATCTGGGTGCTCCTGTATTGGGTGCATATATATTTAGGATAGTTAGCTCTTCTTGTTGAATTGATCCCTCTACTATTATGTAATGGCCTTCTTTGTCTGTTTTGATCTTTGTTGCTTTAAAGTCCGTTTTGTTTTATCAGAGACTAGGATTGCAACCCCTGGTTTTTTTTGCTTTCCATTTGCTTGGTAGATCTTCCTCTATCCCTTTGTTTTGAGCCTATGTGTGTCTCTGCATGTGAGATGGGTCTCCTGAATACAGCACACTGATGGGTCTTGACTCTTTATCCAATTTGCCAGTCTGTGTCTTTTAATTGGAGCATTTAGCCCATTTACATTTAAGGTTAATATTGTTATGTGTGAATTTGATCCTGTCATTATGATGTTAGCTGGTTATTTTGCTCATTAGTTGATGCAGTTTCTTCCTAGCATGGGTGGTGTTTACAATTTGGCATGTTTTTGCAGTGGCTGGTACCGGTTATTCCTTTCCATGTTTAGTGCTTCCTTCAAGAGCTCTCATAAGGCAGGCCTGGTGGTGACAAAATCTCTCAGCATTTGCTTGTCTGTAAAGGATTTTATTTCTCCTTCACTTATGAAGCTTAGTTTGGCTGGATATGAAATTCTGGGTTGAAAATTCTTTTCTTTAAGAATGTTGAATATTGGCCCCTACTCTCTTCTGGCTTGTAGAGTTTCTGCTGAGAGATCCGCTGTTAGTCTGATGAGCTTCCCTTTGTGGTAAACCGACCTTTCCCTCTGGCTGCCCTTAACATTTTTTCCTTCATTTCAACTTTGGTGAATCTGACAATTATGTGTCTTGGAGTTGCTCTTCTCGAGGAGTATCTTTGTGGTGTTCTCTGTATTTCCTGAATTTGAACGTTGGCCTGCCTCGCTAAGTTGGGGAAGTTCTCCTGGATAATATCCTGAAGAGTGTTTTCCAACTTGGTTCCATTCTCCCCGTCACTTTCAGGTACACCAATCAGGTGTAGATTTGGTCTTTTCACATAGTCCCATATTTCCTGGAGGCTTTGTTCATTTGTCTTTACTCTTTTTTTCTCTAAACTTCTCTTCTTGCTTCATTTCATTCATTTGATCTTCAATCATTGATACCCTTTCTTCCACTTGATTGAATCAGCTACTGAAGCTTGGGCATGCATCACGTAGTTCTCATGCCATGGTTTTCAGCTCCATCAGGTTATTTAAGGTCTTCTCTATGCTGTTTATTCTAGTTAGCCATTCGTCTAATCTTTTTTCAAGGTTTTTAGCTTCTTTGCAATGGGTTCGAACATCCTCCTTTAGCTCAGTGAAGTTTGTTATTACCGATCGTCTGAAGCCTACTTCTATCAACTCATCAAAGTCATTCTCAATCCAGCTTTGTTCCATTGCTGGCGAGGAGCTGCATTCCTTTGGAGGAGGCGAGGCGCTCTGATTTTTAGAATTTTCAGCTTTTCTGCTCTGGTTTCTCCCCATCTTTGTGGTTTTATCTACCTTTGGTCTTTGATGATGGTGATGTACAGATGGGGTTGGTGTGGATGTCCTTTCTGTTTGTTAGTTTTCCTTCTAACAGTCAGGACCCTCAGCTGCAGGTCTGTTGAAGTTTTCTGGAGGTCCACTCCAGACGCTGTTTGCCTGGGTATCAGCAGCGGAGGCTGCAGAACAGCAAATATTGCAGAACAGCAAATGTTGCTGCCTGATCCTTCCTCTGGAAGCTTCGTCTCAGAGGGGCATCTGGCTGTATGAGGTTTCAGTTGGCCCCTACTGGGAGGTGTCTCCCAATTAGGCTACTTGGGGTTTAGGGACCCACTTGAGGAGGCAGTCTGTCTGTTCTTAGATCTCAAACTCCGTGCTGGGAGAACCACTACTCTCTTCAAAGCTGTCAAACAGGGACATTTAAGTCTTCAGAAGTTTCTGCTGCCTTTTGTTCGGCTATGCCCTGCCCCCAGAGGTGGAGTCTATAGAGGCAGGCAGGCCTCCTTAAGCTGTGGTTGGCTCCACCCAGTTCGAGCCTCCCGGCTGCTTTGTTTACCTACTCAAACCTCAGCAATGGCGGGCGCCCCTCCCCCAGCCTCGCTGCCACCTTGCAGTTTGATCTCAGACTGCTGCGCTAGCAGTGAGTGAGGCTCTGTGGACGTGGGACCTTCTGAGCCAGGTGCGGGATATATTCTTCTGGTGTGCCGTTTGCTAAGACTGTTGGAAAAGCACAGTATTAGGGTGGGAGTGTCCCAATTTTCCAGTTACAATCTGTCACGGGTTCCCTTGGCTAGGGAAGGGAATTCCCCAACTCTTTGTGCCTCCTGGGTGAGGCAATGCCCTGCCCTGCTTTGGCTCACACTCCGTGGGCTGCACACACTGTCCAAAAAGCCCCAGTGAGATGAACCTGGTACCTCAGCTGGAATGCATAAATCACCTGTCTTCTGCATTACTCACACTGGGAGCTGTAGACTGGAGCTGTTCCTATTCAGCCACCTTGGATCCCCCTTCACTTTATTACCATTTACACAATAGAATAGTATATAGTGATATAAATGATCTACCACTACGCATATCAATATGGATACTTCTGAAAACAATGTTTTTATATGTCTGAAATAGTTTATAATTTGGAATGTACATATGTAATTATGTATGTATGTATCTATCAAGGTAGGTGCAGGGTGCACCTACCTGCACCCTGCAGAAGACAACACCTTCTGTTGTCTGGGGAAAATAGTGTTAGCTGATCTGTTGCAGCATAAGCAGAGTTGGGAGGAAGATTAATGGTCATGGATTTTCCATTTCTCCATCTAGGGTGAAGCTGGTCCTGCAGGCCCTCCCGGGTTACCTGGAACTGTAAGTTACTCCGCTTCTAATTCTTTCTCCTCTGAATTCCTATATTGGGATTCGTACTCCCCCTCCAGCAACTGCCACTACTTAGTTTTAAATATCTCCCCTATTGGAGTTTGCCAATAGCTAGGCCTATTCCTAGGTCCTACAAACCAAAAATATATACACTTCTCTAAGAACCATCCTATGCTTATTGATTTATTCAGCAAAAGCACAATTATTTATCAGAATGGGTGCTAGATACTGAGAATACATATCTGCCTGTCACATATGGGGAAACTGAGGTCCAGAGACAAGAAGCAGTTTGCCCAGCGTAAGACTGCACTACCATGACCCAGGAACTGGGCTTCATTCATTGGCCCTCTATACGTGTTAGGGTGGGCATGGTGAGTTGGTATTGAGTATCAGTAAGAGTGTGGGCTTTGAGGGCATGAAGACCTGGCTCCCAGCTCTGTCATTCACCAGCATTGTGGTCATAGTTATGGTCTAACAAAGTCAGTTTTCTCGTCTGTTAGAAAATATTATACCCAGCTATCTTGTACATGTGGAGTGAAAGTTAATTGAAACTACAAAATATTTGGCAGAGTTTCTGGTGCATTATAAATATTAAAAATCTTAAAAATTGCTATTATTATTATTTATCTTACTCCCAAGAACTGTATAATGGGAGCACATTTTTCTTTTTCTTTTTTTTTTTTCCACTTTAATGTTTCTTCCTCATCTTGAGATCCTCTGTTTTGACCAGCTGATTTCAGGGAAGTTTGCACATGGCTTCTTGGGCTGGCCCTGACCCTAAACATGTATCAGGAGTTGGCCAGTTACTGGCCCTTGCAGGGGATGCCAGGAGAGGAGAGAGCCTGTGCACTCAGAAATCCCATTTGTAGTGTGGCAAAGAATCTTACTCTGTGCTTTTCATCACACCGAAATCATTATTCCACAGCTCTGTCTCCTCCCCAGCAATGCTCATCAAAATGAGACTCAGACATTCCATAAGGGTGTTGGAAGAAATTGGGATCACAACTTTAGAGTCGGAATTAGTCATATCAAATTTTTGTTTAAGATTGATAACCTACAGCATTGGCAGGGGTGCAGGGCAGCAAGCAGTCTCATACCTTTTTGGTGGTAGAACAGATTGGACACACCTATTTGAGAAGTTACTTGGCAGTACCAATATATCACAAAGTGCCTACCCCTAAGCTTAGATATTCCATGTCTAGGCATTTATCCTGCAGAAATATTTGTATGTGTGCATTTTTAAAAGCATGTATAAGGATGTACATTGTAGTATCACTTATGACAATAAAAAGTTAGAACAGACCACATGATCATAAGCACAAAGTTAAGTGAATCACAAAATATCTGTATCATGGAATTCTACAAATTAATATGCGTACAATATGTGTATGGTCTTGAAAAGATAGTGATACTCAAATTAAGTGGAACTAGGCAAATTAAGTAGAAAAAATCTATTAGTCAATCACTGCATATTGAAAGATAAGAACACAGGCTCCCCAGGCCACCTATGTGGACGCCAGTTTCTGTCCTGACATTCACTAGCAGCTTGAACTTCATTCTGTGGTTTACTTCTGTGTCCTCCAATTTTCTTATCCATAAGGCAGGACAGAAACAGATAGTCCACCTCTTAGAGTTATTGTGAGACCACATGAGTGAAGGCCTCTCAATGGCTGTAAGTAATCATCTGTAGTCGCTGTTACTATTTGTATAACTTGCACAAAGTTATATATTTCTAAACATTTATAATTGTGTGGAAATATATAGGAAATAGTTAAAAATATGGTAAACTGAAAAACAGTGCCTTCTAGAAAAGGGACAGGGGTTGGGGACATGGAGGGCAAGATATAGGAAGCTACTTTTTTCCATCTTTTTTTAATGTATTGTGGTTTAGGACCATTATCTATGATGTTTTTTGTCCATTTACTGCTTCTTTCGGGCCCGTGCTGGGACCCAGGCATCTGCATGGATCAGATCTGTCAGGGCTTGTAGCCTAGTCAAGAAGATAAACTAACCCTACAGTGGCAAAGATATAGCTACATTGCAAATTATAGTAAATGTGATCCAGGAAAAGAACAAGATGCATCAACAAGAATAACATGGGGACCCAAATTATATTTGCATGGTGGAGAGGGAAGAGGGATCCGTGAAGACACGACATTTAAAAGACACCTGCAGGTCTCCATATGACCTTAGTCATAGAAAGGGAGAGGAGAGTATGTTCCAGGCAAGGGGAACAGTATTTGCAAAAGCTTTGAAGCTGGAGAAAGCATGACACCTGAGAAGCCTTTTTTTTTTTTTTTTTTTTTTTGAGACGGAGTCTCGCTGTGTCGCCCAGGCTGGATGGAGTGCAGTGGCGTGATCTGGGCTCACTGCAAGCTCCGCCTCCTGGGTTCATGCCATTCTCCTGCCTCAGCCTCCCGAGTAGCTGGGACTACAGGCACCCGGCATCACGCCTAGCTAATTTTTTGTATTTTTTAGTAGAGACTGGGTTTCACCATGTTAGCCAGGGCGGTCTCAATCTCCTGACCTCGTGATCCGCCCGCCTTGGCCTCCCAAAGTGCTGGGATTTCAGGCGTGAGCCACCGCGCCCGACCTAGCCTTAAACACAGCCTAGGTGGGGGTGGCCAGGCTGAAGGAGCCTGCAGGGGCCAGTCCGCCAGAGTCTTTGTAGCCTGGGCTCTGTCAAGCAGGGATTTCCCCTCCTCTCCTACTCTCCCCAACCTTGTCTACTACGCACCTGCATCCCTGCCTGATGCCCAGCAGATGGCAGTAGTGAGAAGGAGACATTGTGACATGAATCCAGTGTCCTGGCAGAGCTCTTATGGACACCTGCAGGGAAGAATGTTTCTTTCCCGTTTTACCGATGGGGACATAGAAGCTGAGGAGACATGTCCAAGGTCACACAGGGTTTGGAGCTCAGGTCTTTTGCCTCCAGGGCTCCGGAATCTAACCACTATGCATTTCTGCCTTAATAAATAAATAGCCAGGGATTTTAAAGAAAGATGTGAATCTAATTGTCAAAACTAATAATCGTTCCAGGAAGCTTTGGGGCTGTATTCTTTCACTTGTAAATCTCTCCAAGGCAGGTTTTAAAAATGAAACACTGGGTTCCTTGATGCCCATCTTTCTAATCTCTGTGGTTTCCTTTTCAGACATCCCTGTTCACACCACATCCACGGATGCCCGTAAGTAGTAGCGGTGCCTCGGGGTGCCCAGTGTGCCTCGGCCTGGAGGGCAATGTCCAGTGTGGCCTGGGAGCCTGGACTGGGTGGGGTGAGGACTCAGCCCCATCGCGTTCATCACTGTCAGGGATCTGGGCTGCTGGGCTTGTCCTGAAAACAGGTGGAGAAAGGGCCTTGCAGGGAGCTGGCTCCAGGGTCAGGCAGGACATTCCAGGGGCCTAGAAGTCACCTCTCATAGCTAAGAGCAAAGGCCAGGCATCTCTGGGAAAAGTTAATTCTTCAGTAACACAGAGAGTAGCTGGTGGTTTTGAGGAGAACAGAATTATTTGAGATGCCAGAACATGAGAGTCAGAGAGAGGCAAAGATGTTCCCCATGGATGCTGGCAGTGAAGGAGACCAGAGACAGGGGTGTCAAGAGGGGACCCCATTCTCAGGCTGTTCTGGGGACTGGAACCTGAGATGTAGCCTGGGGTGTGCCGATGGACAGAGAGTGATGCTGGCTACTTCCACACACAAAAACACTTGGCAGGAAATAAAGCTTAGCACTGCAACGTCTAGAAACCTTTTTCCTCTCTTTTCACGAATGGCTCTTCAGAAAATAGGTGTTTTCAGGATCTCTTTATGCTGTAGGCTGAAGCCAGAAAACATGCCATTGTTTCTTTTGCTGCCTTTGATGCAGTTCTTCTGCTATTAGGGCTTGACCTGCGGGACAGCTGAGAGGCTGAGGTAGATGTCCATTTCAGCTGTTGCTATCTTCATTTATTCAATATTAAGTCGATTCCATTTTAAAAGCTTAAAAGAATCCTGCGTGTGATGCAAAAGAAGGAAGCAGGTAGACAGACTGAGTCAGGTGCTAAAATCACTGCAGGAGAAGGAAGGATTTTGTGCTTGGGAAGCATAATGGGGAGATGGGGGCATCCTAGGGCAGCATGGACTTAGGGAGAAGTGGGTGAGAGGCGTCTGCGGGAAAGAGCAGGTGCACAGGGCTCTGGCTGTGAGCCTTTCCTGAAGGGAGAGAAGGCCCTGATGTTAAAGGAGCCCTCTTGTCACTGAGCTGTCAACCACTAGAGGGCACTGCTTCACTGCCCTCCTGTCCTGGAAAATGTTCCTTATGTTTCTTCGCTGAGACCTAGTTTTCTCAATTATAAAATTGGGACAATAAAAATACACTTTCAGGATTAAATGCAAATAACAGGATATTTGCACTTTACATAAAACATTTATAACTCTGCTCCGCTCTGGCAGAGACAGGCACTCACTGCATGAGGACACAGCACCTCCCTCACCCGCAGGGCGGGTACTCACTGCATGAGGACACCACACCTCTCTCACCTGCAGGGCGGGTACTTACTGCATGAGGAACACCGCACCTCTCTCACCTGCATGGCAGGTACTCACTGCATGAGGGACACAGCACCTCTCTCACCTGCATGGCAGGTACTCACTGCATGAGGGACACAGCACCTCTTTCACCTGCAGGGCAGCACTCACTGCATGAGGAGGCAGCACCTCCCTCACCTGTAGGGCTGTCGCTCACTGCATGAGGAACTCCCTTACCTTTCTGCCACCCTGTCTTCTCACCTGCTCTCCCAGAGAGGGGCTTGGAAGGACAGAGCACCCCATGCAGCAGCTCAGCTCCGGGCGTTTTCCTGGCACTGCTGCAACCAAGCCTCCTAACAGCCTTGAGGGAGTGGCACCTGTGTCCATCTTACAGGTGACGGTCCTGCAGCTCAGAGGTGCTAGGGAACTTGCCAAGAAGGCCCTACCAGCGAGATAGGAATTAGGGGCTAGTGTGTCAGCCATAGCGCACTGGATGGAGCGTCTGTACCGCCGTTGCTTCAGTTCCGGCTGGCTGTCCTGTGCAAGGGGCTTCCCATCACACTGCCTGTCCCTTCCACTGGTCACCTGCCTTTCCTGGACCACCTCCATGTATTGCCTCCCCCTGCCCCTGACATCTGTGGGCCTCCCTCCCTCAGGTCCACCCTGAGCCCCTCGGGGTTGAGACAAGCCTACATGTCCAGCCTCTCCTTAAAGGAATTGCTCTGTAAAAACACAACTTCCAGAGCATTCCACTGGGAAGGCACGTGAGGGGCCTGTGCCGCCCTCCACCTTGAGTCCCAGCACTGACATCCTTCCTGCAGGCTCTGCATTGCTGCGGGAGCCTGGGAGCCAGGAAGCCACTCTCAGATGCAAACAAGGAAATTATGTCTATGGAAAAAAAAAGTTTCATTGTGGGCAATTGCCTGAGTCTCCCCGGGACTGGCTTCGTCACCATGGCAACCCATGTTTGTATTGATGGATTTGGAAAGTGTTATTCTGTTTGACTTCTCCCTGCTCTGCTCAGGCACATGCCTTTGAGCCCCTGCAGTGCAGGAAGAGGCTGGGGAGAGAGCAATTTAGAGGGGTGTTAAGGTCTGCCGCATAATGAAGGAAGAGAATGGAAAGGAGATGAGGGGGTGGAGGGAGAAGCCCGACTCATTTTGTCACCCTCTCTGGGACTGAGGAGGCTCCTGGGGATGGCTGGTGGCTGCACCTGATGAGGTGACAGGGTGCTGGTGGTTTGCAGAGGACAGAGCAGGCTGTTTGATGGTGTGCATATCCCTGGGGTCTGCAGATGTCAGAACCTTTGCTGGAGGAAGGAGGGACAGGCAGCTTGGTGCTTGGGGAAGTTACAGTGGAGAACTCAAGCAGGGTTTTGTAACTGGAGGCTCATCAGTTGTTCCAAAGCAGTTATCTTAGGAAGGCTCTGTCCAACCGGCCTGATTCTACCCCCTCACCCTGCTAAGGAGGCTTCAGGATGCCCAGGCAATGACCAAAGCCTGCAGAGATGATCATGAGTCCCAGAGATGGTGTTTAACTTGGCTGAGGTCACCAGGGGGCAGTGGGGAGGAGATGGAAGCCAGCCAAACTTACACATTCAACAGCTACTGACAGAGCCCTTCCAGGGGGCCCCTGGAGGGAAGGTGCTGCCTCCTGACTCCTAGGCTCTGGGGCAGGAATCTCTTGAGCATCTGGAGTCCTTCTCTGGCCCTTTCTGACCCTCCGTAGGTCCTCACTTTGTCTTCCTGCCACTGCAGTCCCGTTCACCAACACTGGAAGAAGACTGTACAAATGTCTTCCCTGTGTGTCTCCTGAAACAATCCCATAAGCCCTTTTGTCTTTATGAATTGTGTTGCCAATGACTGGAGGACCAGAAAAAGACTTGCAAATCCCCACCATGGGTAGTTTTCTAGGAGGAAAACATGCTAGAAATAATGGTATTATTGTCTGTGGTGAATGGGGCTAGACATGTCTCCTTCTGAGCTCAATGGCAATGGAGATTCTAGGCAGAGGAATGAGCTGGCATCCGTTGAAACCTCCTCTGTATTGGTCACTGTGAAACACTTTGCAAACGCAATCTCACTGAATCCAGGTCACAGCTGTACGAGGTAGACCATGTCGGTTCCATGCAATAGGTGATGCTGAGTGAGGAAGACAGCCGCAGGCCATGTGGTCTCCAACTGCCGTATCAGAGAGAGGCTTGGGAAGGGAGGGCAGGTAGAAACCATGGCTGCAAGGCCTCTAACATTTGCAGAGACATAGAGAGAGAAAGTAGCATGAAACCCTTAGTAGATAGTGTCTTTCTATGCTGATTTCTCCACCAAGTAAAGGTTAGAACTACTCAGGTTCTCTAATGTAGACATTAGACTCTTTCTTCCAGATGCATCCATGGCCCTCCCTTCATCTCCTGCTCTCTAAAGCCGTGTCTTGCAAACACCCCATCCATGTAGGACTCCCTTCTACACCCAAGGCAGATGCTCATCCCAGCTCTCCTTGGGCTTATCTGTGGCAGGGGAGCCCGATGTCCCCCTAAGCAGGCTGTGGGGATTTGGGACAGTAGCAGGTTCTGCTCCTTGAGAAGGGTTGCATACTGCCTTTCTGGGTACACGTGCTCTGGTTGTTATCTGCCGTCCTGGAGAACTCTGCAAACCTGTGCTGTTTCTCTTTGATGTCTTGCCTCTGCTGCACCTTCTCTGTACCATTGACCTTCACCCTATGTGAAAAGGGGACCACCTCTTTATTTTGCAGATATGGAAACTGCAAAAGTCATATGGGGTCCGTATGGGTAACTACTTTGCCCAAGTTTATATGGCCAATAAGTTAGAGGGCCAGGGCTCCCAAGACAGGCTGTATGGGTCTGAAGCTGAGACTGTGTCCACACTGGTTCACTGGCCCCACTCCTCTCCTGCACAGTGGCCCTTCAGCTGTGGAAAGATACGCCCTTGAGCCCTTGGAAAGCTGTCCTCACTGTAGTCCCCCATCTGCTCATCTTCTCCTTGTTCCATATGAATTGCAGGCTGAGGATCACATGTCCCTTCAACCCTCCTGGGAGATGTGTTGGGCACCCTGGATGTGGCTCCCTGGAAGTGAGCCTGCCCCATCTTGGATCATTCCATACTGGGCCCACCCAGGGTACTGCCTGTCCAGCCTGTGTCTCATCCTTTCTTCAGCAAAAGTTAGACACACCATTCTGACCACCCAGAGTCTAGGGTTCAACCCCCAGTCTGTCCCCAAAGGTCTGGGTTCCCTTAGTTAAGCACCCCTCCCCAGCTTCTCTATCTAGAAAGGGGTTGGAGCCAGGCACGATGGTGAGGACCTGTAGTTCCAGGAGGCAGGTACACAGGAGGCTGTGCAGGGAGGATCGCTTGAGCCCAGGATTTCAAGAAAGGTCTGGGCAGTATAATGAGACCCCATCTCTACTAGAAAGAGAGAGAGGAAGGGAGGGAGAGAGAGAAAGAGAGGGAGAAAAAGTAGTGTTTGGGCCAGGGGCCCTTAAAGACCCTTCCTCCTCTCAAAACTCTTTCCATCATTCACTGATGATCTACCATGTGCCAGGCTCTGAGCTGGAGGGGAGATGAATCAAACCACACAACTAAGTGTAAAACTGCGGCCATAACAGGGCTCAGGAGGAGAAAGGCACAGTACACTGACCTGCTGTAACAGGAGGGTTGGGCCCATTTTGGGGTTCAGCTTCCCAGAAGAAGTGATTCCTGACCTGAAAGATGAGTCAGAATCAGTCCTGGGGAGTAGGAGGGAAGAACCCCCAGGCAGAGGGAACAGCCTTTGGGGGTGGGGACCTATCAGGTGATACACAGGACTGGAGGTGGCCTGTGTGTCCGGAGCTGGGGACATGTACCCTGTGACGAGGGGCAGTTCTCCCTGAAGTCCACTCTACCCTATGCTTCTCACCAACAGGGAGAACAAGGGCCCAAAGGAGAGAAGGGCGATCCAGGCCTGCCTGGGGAACCGGTGAGTCTCTTGTGTCCCCTTCCCCCGCAGGGCTGGTTACCTGGAGACCCGGACTCCAAAGGCTGACCAGCTGTAGATCTGCACCGTGCATTCCACACCCAGGAGCCACACTGAATGGAAGGCAGCCCTTTCTTCTCCTCAGGACGCTAGCTACGTCCCCTCCTTGGATCTCAAATTATACCCATTGCAACGTCCCCGCCCCATCCGCCCATCTGCTCAGAACCAGGAGGATGAGCTGGTTCATGGCAACTTGTGTGCTTACAGGGACTGCAGGGCCGTCCTGGAGAATTGGGGCCTCAGGGACCCACTGGACCACCGGTAAGAAAACCATCCCTTCCCCTGCTGGCTCAGAGACTTGGAGATCCCAGCCACACTCTCTCGCTCCAGGCCACCCTCCCCAGTTCTCTCCCCTGGCATTTTGGGAGTAGACGCTGGGCAGAGCAGCCCCAATGTGCTGCAGAGGCTGAGTGGCCCTCACTAAACGCCCCAGACACAGCCATGGGGCCAGGCCCCACCTCTGTACCCCTGGATGTCCCTACTCTGTCACTAAAGGGTTGGTGTAGGTGAGCTGCAGGTTTCTGCCGTGCTCTCCCTTCTCCTGCTCAGCGGGATCTGGAGAGCAAGGGCCTCTGCACATAGGGGGCACCTTGGTTCCCAGAGGATTTGCAGAACAGGAAATGGATCCCAGTCATGGAGTGGCAGTGCTGGTTTAAGTGACACCTGGTACATGTTAGTGCTTTGATTCTGTCATTTTGCTCGGTGTTTGCCTCTGCACTGGATCTTGGTTCTCTGGGAGACTCTGTGCTATGGTAGGAGATCCTGCTGGGGTGACTGGGGACCTTGCCTGGCTGTGTGAGCCCCTCTGAGCTACATTTCTACAGAGGGTCGGTGCTGACCCCTATACCCTGGGTAGGTGGTGAGGATGGAATGAAATCGCGATATGACCATCTCCAACAGAGGGCCAGAAAGTAGTGATTTTCTTCACCTTTTAGACGGTGCTCCCGGGCCCCTTCAGTTTGGAATAATGCTTCTGATGAGCACGGTATTCCCGAGACCTCCCTGCTGTGAGGGGAAACAGCATCACTGAGGGTGTCTTACCCCCGCCCCTCTTTTATTTCCTGTGCAGGGTGCCAAGGGACAGGAAGGTGCACATGGGGCTCCTGGAGCAGCTGGAAACCCCGTGAGTCCCTATGATCGGCCTGCCTCGTGGGGGAGCCCCGGAGGGAGGCCCCGCCCAGTGTCTGCTCTGCTCTATGGCTCACAGCTCTGGGCTAGCTAGGAGGACGTGGCCCAGAAGGTTCACCCACACTTGAGTGGTTGGTGGGAGTCAGCACGGAGAGAGGTTCTGGCCTCCACCACCTTCGTAGCATTTCTTGACTTTGTCCACATGCCCAGCGAATGAAAGAAATCTCTTTCTATGCACATGTGGATGAGACACACACAGACCTCCCCTCGCAGGTGAGGTTGTTACTCCAAGAAGTGTGCTTACATGCACAACCACGTACATGTACTCTACAAACCAGAGAACACACATCCTATAATACATGCATGCACAGGTGCACACACACACACACAGCCCCAAACACACAGATGCAGCCAGGAAAACATACAGACACCTCTATGCACACTCCTCAGCTGCTCCTGGCTCACCCATCCTTGGGGCCAGATCCAGGGTGTATTTGATCCCCGTGGGGCTGGCACTTGTTCCTGGAGCTGATTTGGGCTCTGTCTCATGGTGCGGAGCCAGAGAGCTCAGGCTGGACTGTGGAGCTGGCGGAAGGCAGGACGGGCTGACTTATCCCCGGGTCTCTGGGGAGCAGTGGTGGCAAGAGGAGCAGCAGCAGCACACGTCTGGTCTGCTCCTAGCACCACTGCCGGGTGCCCTGTACCAGGTAGAGGGTGCTGATATGACCAGGCCACCATGCGTATGGTCAGGTTGGAACTGGGTCTGCCAAGGTAGTGACCAGTGTGGATGCCACAGTGGGGACAGATGGCAACTCCTCCCTGCTTGTGGAGAGAGCCCTGGTTCCAGCTCAGCCTGGAGGGGAATGGAAGCAGAGTGTAGGCAAGGAGGAAGCTGGGAGTGTTCTCCGTGAGTCCTGACCCTGGAGATGTGCAAAACCCGGGGACAGTGGGGAACAAGGCCTGGAGGAAACATGGGCAGCCTCCAAGGCCGTGAGAGTTCCCTGCTTCTCTGCACCTATAGAGTTGACCCACCTGGAATGTCCTCACCCACATCTCCTGTCATGGATCATTGCCCGGCCATCAAGTTCTAGTTCAAATCCACTTCTTACCTGATTTTCCAGTCAAAGCCAACACACACACACACACACACACACACACACACACACACACACACACATGCACTCACACACACACCTCCACACACATGCACACACGTACGTGCACACACACATACACACACATGTACATACGTGCACAATACACATGTCCACAAACATGCACACATGTGCACACATACACACATCCACAAACATGCACACGCATGCACACACATACACCTCCGCAAACATGCACACATGCATGTGCACACAAACATGCACACACGCACACATACGTCCACAAACATGCACATGCACGTGCACACATACACCTCCACAAACATGCACACATGCACGTGCACACATACACACACACCTCCACACATACACATACCACCACAAACATGCACACACGTACACACATACACACACCTCCACAAACGTGTACACATGCACGTATACACATACACCTCCACAAACGTGCGCGCACACACACACCTTCACAAATGCACGCGCATGCATACACCTCCAGAAACATGCACACATGCACGTGCACACATACACACACCTCCACACATGCACCTCCACAAACATGCACACACGTACACACACCTCCACAAACATGCACACATGCACGTGCACACATACACCTCCACACATACACCTCCACAAACATGCACACACGCACGTGCACACACACCTCCACATACACACACCTCCACAAACATGCACACACACGTACACACACACACCTCCACAAACATGCACACACTTACGTGTACACATATACACACCTCCACAAACATGCACACTCACATGTACACACATAAACACACCTCCACAAATATGCACACATGCACTGTACACATATACACACCCCCACAAACATGCATACACGCACGTGCACACATACACCTCCACAAACGTGCACACATGCATGCACACACACCTTCACAAATGCACACGCACACATACACCTCCACAAACATGCACACACGGACATACACACATACACACACCTTCACAAATATGCACACATGGACGTGCACACATACACATACCTCCACAAACATGCACACACGGACGTACACACATACACACACCTTCACAAACGTGCACACATGGACGTGCACACATACACATACCTCCACAAACATGCACACATGCACATGCATACACACATCTCCACAAACGTGCACACACGCATGCACACACATACGCTTCCACAAACCTGCACACACGCACGTGCACACATACACATACATATGCAACTGAGATCTGAACTGTTCATTTTTCAATGTTTCCTTTTCCTCATGCACTTAGGATAAGGCCAAACCTCACCTGAAATCCTCTTCTGTGGTTAGGTCCCAGCCCTTCTCTGCCCACACCCAGGCTCCTCCACACCCCTGTGCCTTAGCTCTAAGGAACTTCCAGAGTCCTCCTGCCCTCCTGCCTTTCACCTCTGTGCCAGAAGCCCACTCACCTGAGGCTTGGTGCTTGGGACACCACAGCCCTCCGGAGAGGAGGTTCACGTCTGCAGAGGCTGTCAGGTCAGCAGCAGTTCCAGCACATTGCGGTGAATTGAGTATGAGGCAGATTTGCAGAGAGAGTGGGGGCAACTACTTCTAATCAATGCGTTTGGCCTTTCTAAACTTCTGTCTCTGAACAGGGTGCTCCCGGACATGTCGGTGCCCCCGGTCCCAGTGGCCCTCCAGGAAGTGTGGTGAGTAATTGGGAGAGGGCATACGCACGGCCCAGCCACCAAGCTAGTTAATGTATCCTCCCCAAAAGCCAGAGGCGTAGGATACATGGGAGTAAGGGGAGGATCCTTACTCCCATTTTCCAGACGGAGACACTGCTGTCCTGACATAGACCACCCAGAAAGTTCACACACCTGAGCCCTAGGCAACTCGCCAGCTATCCAGAGGGTAAACGCAGCTGTTGGCATCTGCAGAAAGTCTGTACATTTCACTGGTGTTGGAATCAACACCCTAGTTTGCTTCAGAAGAAAGAAAATGAACCTAAAGAAGTCAAAGGTCCCCTGACGGCTATTGGGGGACCTGGATTCGAATCCAGCTCTTTTATTAATTGACATGACCATCTTGGCAAGCCCCTCCTTGAGGTCTCGGCTAGTTCATCTGCAAAATGGAGACAATAGCTTGGCTGCTTCACCTTTAGGGTTGCATCTTTTTTGGCCTGACGAGATTCTGCCTTTTCCATGTCGAGGCCCAAGGTGTCCGCTAAAGGACCAGCTTTAAGATTCACCATAAACACCAATTTAGACTTGAACATTGTTCAACAAAACACTCCATGACATCTAGTCAAGGGCAACAAAGCGTTTTTCCCCTACAATAGATTTAGGTCAGTCTTGTTTCTTCATCAAGCCTTTATAGGTAATAAGCATAGTAGCTTAGAGGACTGAGCCTTTATACATGCCAGGCATGGTACTAAGCACATTACATGTGTTCATTCATTTACTCTGCACAGCAACCCTGCTGGAGGAATATGTGTTCATTCATTTAATCCACACAGCAACCCTGCTGGAGGAATATTATTATTTTACATGGAGGCTTCCTGCAGCCCAGCCTGCATTCTTCTGGCTGGGAGTCTTCTCTGGCCTCTAAAGAGTATGTTGTTGAGCCACGTGATGGGTGGCCAGCAGCACCACCAGCAGAATAGCTCAGATCACTTGTTCTCAGCTGTCATCGCTCTGAGCGTACGTCCTGCACAGGATCCCAGAGTCACAGCAGGACAGAGCTCCAGTGGCCAGCAAGTGTATTTCTTGCTGCCTGTTCTCCCCTGCTTTATTTATTTTTATTTTTATTTTTTGAGGTGGAGTTTAGCTCTGTCACCCAGGCTGGGGTGCAGTGGCATGATCTTGGCTCACTGCAAGCTCCGCCTCCTGGGTTCAAGTGATTCTCTTGCCTCAGCTTCCCAAGTAGCTAGGATTACAGGGGCGTGCCTCCATGCCCAGCTAATTTTTGTATTTTAGTGGAGATGGGGTTTCACCATGTTGGCCAGGCTGGTCTTGAACTCCTGACCTCAAGTGATCCGTCTGCCTTGGCCTTGCAGAGTGCTGGGATTACAGGCATGAGTGTTCTCCCCTTTTTGCTTCTCTGTTTCCCTACTATTGCATCCATGGGACGCTTGCACTTAAACCATGTCTCAAAGTCAACCTTTTGGGGACTCCAAAGACACTGTTGGAGCAGATGCCCCAATGCTAAGGCTGGGTTCTTAAGGCCATCCTCATCTTCCCAGAGTGTTCACTGTGCCAGGCCACGCCTTCTGATAGTTCACATTCCAGAGCAGGCGGTAAAGCTTCCAGCAGACCATGCCTGCTGTTAAGAGCTCTGATGTGCACTGTTACAAGGCCAGCCCCCCCCCCGGGAGAGCAGCAGTCATGGGCAGGGAGGAGGTGGAGCTTTGGGGAATTTAAATAAAGTATGGGAATTGGGTGGGAGCTGTAGTCGTTGACTTCAGGGGGACCTGATGATTCTTCCCTGGGGGTCACGAGCCACCAAGAGTGACCAGTCATCTTTAAATTCACCATGTCCGTAATCTTCCTTGCCACAGGGTGCTCCCGGCCTCAGAGGCACCCCAGGGAAAGATGGGGAGCGTGGTGAGAAGGTAAGACCAATATGATCTCTCAGCACACAAGTGAATATCCTTAACTTCTTACAGGCACTGAAGGAGCAGCTCACTCTGCTCGGGCCTGGTTTAGGAACCAGCAATCAGAAGGGGTTTACTAAGTAGGAGGGAGAGGAAGACTGTGCCATCCCATTGGCTCATTTATTCCTCACAACAGACCTGAGAATCAGACAAGTGCCCATTAGACAGATGTGGAGACTGAGGCTCTGAGAAGTTAATTAGTTTGCTCTGTGTCTCATAGCAAATAAGCTACAGAGCTAGGTCTGTCTGACTCCAAATCCTGTTTTCTCTCAATTCAGTGCACCAACTTATCCATTATACACCTATGCTCACACACGTAAACCTTCCCAAGCTATGAGATTTTTTTTTTTTCTTGAGACAGGGTCTCACTCTGCCACTGAGGCTGGAGTGCAGTGGTGTGATTTCCACTCACTACAACCTCTGCCTCCCGGGTTCAAGCAATTCTCATGTCTCAGCCTCCTGAGTAGCTGGGATTACAGGTGTGCGCCACCATGCCTGGCTAATTTTTGTATTTTTTGCAGAGACGGGGTTTTACCATGTTGCTCAGGCTGGTCTCAAACTCCTGGACTCAAGTGATCCACCCGCCTTGGCCTCCCAAAGTGCTGGGATTACAGGTGTGAGCCACTGAACCCAGCCTGAGATTTTAATTATTAATAAGAGAGACACATGTTCCCATACCAATTAAAAAAAAAAAAAACCCAGAGGCCAAGAAGGAGAATCTACACCCTTTTAAGTTCCATTCTGCATTTCTCTGACATAGCACCTTAGGAAATGTCTCTGAGGTTAATTGGTGACACTGAGCCAGGGCTCAGGAAATCAGACGTACTCATTTGAATGATTCAGCGTTTGGACCTGAGTCAAATGCCAGCTCTCTTGCCCTAGTTGCATTGATATAAGCTAGGGTGACAAAAGTGATTCTCAACAGGGGGTTTTTACCCAGGGAGATATTTTTTGTTGTCACCACTAAGGGGAGTAACTGCTCCTGGCATCAGTGGGTAGAGACCAGAGAACCTGCTAAAAACCTCACAGCACATGAGACATTCCCCTTATAAGAACGATCCTCCCTGAAGGTCAATAGTGCCAAGGTTGAGAAACCCTGATCTAAATAAAGCACACTCTCTTTGAACCTGGATTTTCTCATCTGTAAAATGAGGGTGATGCCGCATTGATCATAGGTTGTGAGGATTAGCTGAGGAATTGGGGAGTCATGTGCAAAGGACTCAGCAGATAACAGGTGACAAGGGTACCATGTGGTTGTGTCCTGCCCTCCCTGCGTGAGCAGATCACACTAGTATCCATGGACAGGAAGAGACGATATTGGGGCATGGATTGTCCACAGAGGTCCCTCCTAGCACACACCTGGCCAAACTTCTTAACATGAATTCTTTCAAGTTCAAGTTCATCTACTTGGTGCCTTTTAAAGAATCACTTCAGTTCTTATGTTTTTGCATAATTTAACACGAGGAGATGTCATTTGCCTTTTTGCAGGAAGGTTCAATTTTAAGATACACGTCTCCCAGAAAAAAAGAACTTAGTGCAGAGAAAAATGATCAACACATCTATGAAGACTCTCTTGGGTTTTTGGAGTGTTGATCATAGGCTTAATAATAACCCTATGGGCCGGGCGTGGTGGCTCACGCCTGTAATCCCAGTACTTTCGGAGGCCAAGGCAGGCAGGTCACTTGAGGTCAGGAGTTCATGACGGGCCTGGCCAACATGGTGAAACCCCATCTCTACTAAAAATACAAAAATTAGTTGGGTATGGTGGCACATGCCTGTAATCCCAGCTACTTGGGAAGCTGAGGCACAAGAATCGCTTGAACCTGGGAAGCGGAGGTTGCCTTGAGCTGAGATCACATCACTGCACTCCAGTCTGGATGACAGAGTGAGATTCCATCTCAAATAATAATAATAATAAATAATAATAATAACAAACCTTATGTAATACAGGTACAAACATTCATTTTTTGAAAAGAAGATAATGCCATTTCAGACTGCCTAGATTAAGCAAAGGAAAAACATCTGGATTCATCTGGTATTCCTTAATTATACCATGTCTGAAGGACGGCACATTATAAGTAGGACATTGGTAACCTGGAAGGGGATGGCCTCTTAGGAGGACTAACAGGTGCATGTTCAGAAACCAGAAATCAGTGGGCTATTGCCACATTCAGCCTCTAGAGGGAGCCAAATGCCTTTCCTTGGCTGAGCAGAGGCCCAGGCTGAGGGCCGGGCCCGGGATTTGGAAAGGAACCTCCAGGGCTCTGCAAAGTGGTAAAAATCCCGGACATCACAGCATACTTTTTCCCTCTCACACCATGTCCAGGGGCTGGCCTGCGGCTAGGGGAAGCTGATCCTGCTCCAGGCTTGGAGAGAGGCCCTCTCCATCCTTGCTTTGCATATCCTTGGCTCATCTTACCTTACCTCTGCTCCATCTGAGAATGTCTGGAAACACTGTGATTGCAGCTTCCACCCAGGGCAGCCCAGTCTGGGGAAAGGAGTCCGTCTGGTTCGCGGGGCTCAACCCAGTGTTCCACAGTCAGGGCCGCCACAAGGGCTGTTCAGAGCCCTGTCGTCAGAGAAGATGAAGCACTGGCCTGGAGCAAGCTCAAAGCCCAGGTCCTCAAGCCGACCCCGGTGCCCATGCTAGCACTCTCACACTCTCTCTCTCTTGCTCTCTCCATTGCAGCTTTAGGCTCTGTTCTTATAGTTGAAAACCTAACTGTAAGAGGGATTGGATTGTATCTACAGGGTTCCAGGGAACAGACTTAGTGTCCAATGTTGGGAAGATTTCAGAGAAGGTTGAGTATAAAGAAATGTTGCATAACAGAGCTACCTGACAAAGGAATGCCCAGTGTGGAGTGGTAGTGAGGTCTCCGCTCCCAGAGGAGTTCAAGCAGAAATGAGGGCTGATCTGTAAGAGATGCACCGGAAATAGATTTGCCCGCACTGGGTGGGAGGTCGTCACTAACGTCCTTTCCTTTTCCATGTTTTGCATTGAGTTGATTGACTAAGGCTGCAGTAACAAAGTATCATGAACTGGGTGGCCTAAACAGCCAAAAATGTACTTTCTCCCAGTTTTGGAGGCTGGAAGTCCTCAGTCAAGGTGTTGGCAGGACTGGCTCCTTCTCAGGGCTGTGAAGGAAGCATTTGTTCCAGGCCTCTCTCCTTGGCTCATTGGTGGTGTCTTGTCCCTGTGTATTTGTGTCCTCTTGCCTCTATGCATGTATGTCCAAATGCTTCCTTCTTTAAAAGACGCTACTCATATTGGATTAGGACCATTGGGGAGGGTCACACTCCAGTATGACCTCATCCTAACTTTAATCACATCTGTGCATTGAAGTAGTAGGGGTTAGGACTTCAAGACACGAATTTTGGGGAACACAATGTAACCTATAACACACATTACACAGTCCATCTTTCTGTGTCCCAGAAAGCATGGGCCTTCTAAAATCATAAAGGCAGCCCCAGGAAACCTACAAACCTACTCAAGCTGCTCCCCCATAGAAAAGCTTCGTGCTGAGTGTAATTGACCCTGGGAAATGTCTACTTTTCTTTCCAGGGTGCAGCGGGGGAAGAAGGCAGCCCAGGGCCAGTTGGTCCCAGGGGAGATCCTGGTGCTCCTGGGCTCCCTGGGCCACCCGGAAAAGGGAAGGATGGAGAGCCGGTAAGTGGAAGGTCGGGGGTCCCAGTGCCTGTAGAAACCAGGTGAAAATTAGAGAAGGAAAAGGAAAAAAATCTAACTGCCAAACTTTGCAGAAATTGAACCGTGGCCAATGAAATGGGCCTGGTTGGGAAAGGGGTTCAGGCTAGGGCAGCACAACCTCATGGACTGCTGGCCACATGCCAGCCTGGGCCAGTGCTGGGGATACAGAGATGGATGAGACAGGCTGCGCCCTGGAGATGCTCCCATCTCATGGAGAGACAGTCAGGCAAACACATCCCCACAGCTCAGGACAAGTGTGGTATGCGTAAAGAAGGACTTCTGGTCTACTCTGGTGCTTTCAGCCAAGACTTCCAAACGTAGAATCATGGTTTTCATTGTGGCTGTGAGTGCCAAAGCCCTTCAGCCTGAAGTGAAGGTTTCAAAGCCTGCTTTGAAACGAGGCCTTGCCCCTTACTTGCGCAAGTCTATACAATAAGGCTCTTCAATGGGAAAGCAAACTGAGAGAGGCTAAGAGATTTCCTGAAGGCCACACAGAGACAGTAGGAGGCAGAGTCGGAATTCACATCCAGGGCCTTGTGGCTCAAAACCAGATTCTGTTTCTTTTGTGCAAGTCAGGTCATAGTGAGTCTCACCCATCTCTGGGTCCCCAGCAGAGGATGCAGTCAGCCTGGCACGTGGTGGATGGGTCAGTGTTCACTCTCAGCTCCATGATTGTCCTTGTATTATTTATTTCTCCAGGGACTCCGTGGATCACCTGGACTCCCTGGACCCCTAGGAACCAAGGTGAGTGCTTGTCCAAGAAAACTGTGGGTGCCACGAGTTGCCGTTTGAAAGAGAACGTGGAAAAATTGATTATAAGCATCTCCGGTTACCTCAGTCCACTTCCATGTTTCTCAGCTCATCGTGTTCCATTTGACTAAAGGTTCTAGGACTTTTTTTTTTTTTTTTCGAAATCTTACTCTGTTGCCCAAGCTGGAGTGCAGTGGTGCGATCTCAGCTCACTGCAACTTCAACCTCCTGGGTTCAAGTGATTCTCCTGCCTCAGCCTCCAGAGTAGCTGGGACTACAGGGATGCACCACCATGCCCGACTAATTTTGTTTTGTATATTTTTAGTAGAGATGGGGTTTCACTATGTTGGCCAGGCTGGTCTTGAACTCCTGGTCTTGTAATACCTGCCTCGGCCTCCCAAAGTGCTGGGATTACAGGTGTGAGAGAAGATAGAACCAGTGCACCCAGCCATTTCTATGACTCTTAACTGTTACATTGAAGTAGTTGTCATATAATCGGTACTTAATAAATACTTACCATTAAATGAAGTGGTGGGAGACACTGACTTTCAATCGGCAGAGCGATAGGTCTAAGCAGTCTTGAATTATGAGTCTCATTGTGGTACCAGATGATTCTAAAATTTCAGAGGCTTAACACAGTAAAAGTTCATATCTCATGGACACTAGGTCTATGGGAGTCTTGCTGTGGGGAGTTCTGATCCACACAGCCATTCAGTGGTCACGTGTGAATCCCATGGCTCTTCCATCCTTTAGTTTCAGAATCTTCTACCAAATTCTTGGGGTGCAATAATAAGTAAAGGAAAAGAGAGTGGAGAACCCTGTGGGAGGATTTTATGGGCCAGGCCTGGAGATTGCTAATTCATTTCCACCAACACCTAGTGACAGTCACACAGGGGAGACTGGGGCATGTCGTCTGCTGAGGCACACAGGAGGAAAAGAGAAATGCTTGCTAAATACCAGCCAGTCTCTTCCTCAATTCAGTTGCACCCACAATTCAGAAACTATGACCTTTTTCATGGGGAAGTGTTCTTAGGAGAAATTTCCTGAGTGGACAGGGAAGTTTCCTAAAATACCTTCTACAATGAATCATTCATTCATTTACGCATCAATTACCAATCAATTACCAATGCATTCATTACTTTATATACTGCATGTCTGCTGAGTTTCTTACCACATGTGTAAGATTTTAAGGTGAGCTGTGGGATGACAACAGTGCATATCATGTGTTTCAGGACCTCCAGTGGCTCACGGTTCAGCCAGGAAAACAGATATGTCAACAGACGAAAAGCAGATGAGTGCTAGGAGAGAGGGTAGCTCAGGGCACATGTGGGCTCAGAGGGGGCTCGCTAACCCAGCATGGTTTCATTACCATGGCTTCTTGAAGAAGGAGATGTTTGTCCTGGTTTTAAAGTGCATGTAGGGCCGGGTGCGGTGGCTCACATCTGTAATCCCAGCACTTTGGGAGGCCAAGGCGGGTGGATCATGAGGCCAGGAGTTCAACACCAGCCTGGCCAACATGGTGAAACCCTGTCTCTACTAAAGGTACAACAAATTAACTGGGTGTGGTAGTATGCGCCTGTAATCCCAGCTACTTGGGAGGCTGAGGCAGGAGAATCGCTTGAACTCAGGAGGCGGAGGTTGCAGTGAGCTGAGATCATGCCATTGCATTCCAGCATGGGCGACAGGGTGAGAATCCATCTCAAAAATAAATAAATAAATAAAAATAAAATAAAGTGCATCAGCAGTTAGCAGGGGAAGAAGTTGAAGAAGGAGTCATTGGCAGGGGAATTAACAGGGAAAAAGACACTGAGGCATGAGGCAGAATGTGTTCAGAGAAGAGCATGAGCTCTAGGTATGCCCATATCCAGTGAAAATTATTTGACTAACTCAGATGCATCAACTTTTAAAAATGTGGGTGAAACAGTCAATGACTGACTTGAGAATGTTTACATTTTGGGCTTTCATTTGACATGCATATTCAAAATAATAATAAAAGTGTTATTGTAAAATTATATTACTTCTTTTGTACTTGCATATGTCTATGAAAACAATTTTTAAAGTTTCCTATATGCCTTCAATGTCTTCCGTCATCATCCCTTGAGCCACTTTCTAAGTCAGCTGGCACTTCTCCAGAGCTGATTACTATGCATTCCACCTGAGTTCTTTAAAGATTCAACACTTCTGGAATGCATGCATGCTGCTATTACTGAAAGTTTTATTCTAAGCCCCAGAAACCATTCTCCAAACAGTAGGAGATGTTTTTTCCCCTTTTTATTTATTTCTTTCTATACTTGCACCTTTGGTATCTCAACAACATAAACGCAGAGTGTATTGCTTCTCAAATTGTATGTGAGAGGCTTGCTTACAATAACATGCAAGATATGAAAATGTGAGGCTCCAGAAATAATTACTGTTATCTATATTAAATTTCATTGCTTCATGGTTTCCCCTTATTCAAGCAGGTGAGGTGACCTCTGTAAACATCCCAAGCTTACACTAATTTGGTCAATGTAGACCAATGTGCTTTTTCCTAAGGGTGATGTTCACAGTCAAAATATTTTTCAAAAGGGAAAATGTTTTTGTGTGATATGAGTAAATACATAACCACTCCTCATTTCCCTGACTGCGGGATCATATAAAATAGTTCCATATGCCTGGAACAGTGGGTATATATGGAGAGGGGCAGATTAAGGAATTAGGACCTAGATTCTGGAGGATTTTGTGCATTAACCACCAATCTGAAGATACGTGGCAGGCTCCCCCGTGATGTGGTGCACACAGCCCAGTCCGATCTGCAGTGCTCAGGGGCTCCACTTCTTTCCCCTTAGAGGAGAAGGACCTCAGGGACCCTCAGGGCCTAGAGGGCATTAGGATCTAGAGGGTATTGATAGCCTCTTGGAAGACAGGAAGGTGAGAGCACCAGAAATGGTGGAGCAGCAAAGTGGCTTCAAATGCTCCTTCTGTATGACCACTGATCTAACAGTAGGAGACCTTTTTTCCCCTTTATCCTGTTTATTCTGTAGCTATATCTTTGGGATCTTAGTGATCCACTGATCCAATGGATCCCAAAGATCCACTGATGGGTAGGCTCAGAGTGTATTACTACCTAACTCACAGGCAGAGTCTGGGGGAAAAATAAATGTTATCATACAAGTATGCATACATACAGTTGCCTAGCATAGTGCCGGTCACAGTTACCTGCTCAGTAAATATTCATGATCCTTATTATTAGATCACCCTGTGGGGTCTGCTTTAGACCTTATTATTAATTATTATGATTATGCTTAGATCCTTATTATTAGATCACTCTGTGGGGTGGCAGCAAGAAGGCAGGGGTTTATCTCTGCAGGCATGCAGTTGTTGGAGGAAGCCTAGGGGAAGTGGGGGAGGCAGCATTAAAGAGCAGAGGCAGGCTGAGACCCCCCCCGGGGGGAAGAGTGCAGACATCCCTGACATGGGTCCAGTTGACCAATCAGTTTCAACTCCGTGAGTCTCAGAGCAAGTCATACTGCTCCTTTGGCCAAATGTTTCCTCCTACTTAAAATGTGAGATGTCTAAACACATGACCCATTCCAGTGTTGATATTGTGTAAATGTGTAAGTCAGAATGTGGCTTAGAAAGCTTTCCATAGTCAATTGGCATTGGGAAGACAAATTGGAATTTGAGGTCATCTTTCATTGAAGAATGGGTTGCTCAGCCGGAGGAAGAAGGTAAGAAGCAGGGGAAGCTAGGGAGAGGTGGAGAAAGAGATCCTAGAGAGGGTGACATCCACAAGGCTTGCCCTGGTACTGTCCCAGGTGCTGATTGAAATTAAGGAAATTTCCTTAGGAAATCAAGGAAGGGAGTTATTTGAAGGTTTTCCTTGGCTGCCCCTTGGCCCCTTCTAATTCCTTATAACTGCAGGAAGACTCTTGAAGATGCCAGTACTTCTCTTGAGTGGCACTTGTTTCTAGCAGGATAAGTAAGCTTTGGCTTCATACAGAACTGGGTTAGAATCCCAGCTCAGCTACCTACAAGACAGATGACTCAAAGGCAAGTGGCTCAAGTGGCTTTGTCTCTCTGAGCCTCAGTTCCTTTTCCGTATGAAGGAGTAAAGAGTGTTTAACCCCTACAGGGCTCCTCAGGAGATCTATGATCTTATGACACACAGCTGTTGCTCAATAAATATCATCCTCCGTCTACAACCCCCACACTTCCTTCCTCCCACATCTCTTCCTTGGACACTGTGCTACCGATTCTAGCTCATGTGCTCTGTTCTTTCTTAACCATTAGCCTTCTGGCTTTTCCTGTCAGAACATTAAGATATTTTTGCTCTTCTTGGGGCCGTTTTCTAAAAGTTTCAGTTTATGAAATTGTAAGGTCATTTCTTGGGGGAATTTGTTAGCATCACAGTGGACCGTAAACAGACAAACGGAGCCACACCTAGTGTAGCAGAAAGCAGTCAGTGACTCCACGCTTCCAGACTGGGCTGGGAGAGGCCTTTCTGTCATGCTGCCTCCTCTGAAAAAGTTTATTTTGGTCAAAGGCAGATCTCAATGCCTGACACAGAATGATGGATGGAGGATTCTTTTGTTCCTGCATCCAGGAAATGGTTATTAGCTGCCACCTGTGCCAGACCCTAATCTGGACACTGTGGATACAGAGATGCATAGATCCAGTACCTAACAGAGGGGCTGAATTATTTTAGGTGCTTGGTAAACATTTGTTTGGTGAAGAAATGAGTGAAGATTTTCTACTTTCAGGCTGCTTGCGGAAAAGTCAGAGGGTCAGAAAACTGTGCACTGGGAGGGCAATGTGTTAAGGTCAGTGAAGATCTATGCAAACATTTGCAAAAAGACAGAAGGACAAGACAGGCAGAGGCAGCTTTATAACAACAAAATAATGGGACTGAGTCTTAGTTGATAAGTAGGCTTTGGAAGCTTAGAACATGGATGGAAGAAGATCCCAGACAAGGGGAAATAGCATGTATACAAAACAGAAGAGCAAACAAATACCATGGAAGCATACAAACTAGGTTGTTGACATGACTTAGCTTGCAATGGTCATGGTTTGCTGATGTACATGGACCATGGCCTTGGGACAGGAAAGGGACAGTTTCTGTTTCAAACTAAAACAGAAAATAAGAATAACAGGAAAATCTGCATTAAGATTTTTAAAGCAAAACCAAAGTGCAAAGAAATATAGATTTATCTGACATTTATATGTGTTTAGTTCACTTTCTATCTTCTACCTCTGCATATAAGGTAATAATAGAGGGAGGACTGTTTGAGTTCAGAAGTTCGAGACTAGCCTAGATAACATAATGAGACCCTATCCCTATAAAAAATGTCAAAAATTAGGCAGGTGTGGTGGTTCACATCTGTAGTCCCAGCTATGGAGGGAGGCTGAGGCAGGAGGATTGCTTGAACTTGAGAGGTCAAAGCTGCAGTGAGCCATGATTACACCACTGTACTCCAGCCTGGGTGACAGAGCAAGACCTTGTCTCAAAAATAAAGAAATAATAAATAAGTGATAATAATGCAACCATAATATACAATGTATTTCTCAACCTTATATAGTTGTTTTTAAATGTCTTCATAAGATACATGAGGATTTGGTAGAACTTTTTTTTTAATTGATGAGGACCCAGTGATGCAGAGAGGTTGTGGGACTTACCGAAGGTCACAGGATGAGGTTGATTTGGTCCTGAGACTGGACCTAGAATCACCTGACTACCAGCTTGAAATCTTCCTACATGCCCCTCTCCATTGCTACAATGAACTGGTGACAGATAAATCACATGTCATGATGGTCATTCTTGGTTCATGACACTTGTTTCCATATTTGTCTTATTTTTTTTTTACTCCCTCTATTCCCCAACCACCCCATAGAAACTAGTTAGATTTTCTAGGGATCCGAAGTATCTTGAACTTCCAAGAACCATTCATATCATATTATTCTAAAGAAACAGATTATACTAATTGAGAATTTACAGAAAATTTGAGGAGGGAACTGCTGGCAGAGATGAGGGCAGGGCAAGGGATGTTGCTGACTCCTAGGGACCCAGAAACAGCAGGTAGTGTGACTCAGAGGCCCAGAGGGACCAGGGGAAGAAATGATGTCAAGGAGACCTAGTGAGAGATTTAGGTCTTGGTTTGTGTCTTTTGTGAGAACTTCGCAAGGTCTGTTCCTTCATATCCCCATGAACATCCCTTCTCTTCTGAACTTAGCACTGAGTATTGACAATGGGCACTGAGTAATCTTCTGGGCTTGGAATCTAGAATATGGTTTGCAGTGAATGAATAAGCATTAGTTGAATGAATACATAGCTTATGTACTCATCCAGGCAACGGTTGTACTATAGGAAAGGCAAGTCATCTTAGAGCCATGAATGAGATATTTTGTAATGCACAATAACCTAAACCTTAATAAAGCAACAAATTACCTAGCAATATCGAGTTCTACCTTAATTAGCTGCAACATTATCTCATTGGCTCTTCATAACAAGCTTCTGAGGCTGTTTCCGTTTGTCATACGAGTTAACTCATTCCAGAGGTATTAAGTGGCTTGAGCAAGATCACCTGCCGTCTTGGCCTCAAGCTTGACTGTGGTTCAGCTGGCTGAATAAGCTCAGGATCATGGCCTCCTACACAAAACTGTTGGGGCCATGTCTGTTTTGGGCCAAATTCAATTTCGATTTTGGAAAGGTAATATGCAAAATATACACATAATGACATTTATGATAGTATCTGGGGCAACACCCCTAATCAAGCACATTAATCCTTAGGCGACAAAAATATGTAAATTTTCAACACACAATGGAATAACCAAAGACTGCAAATAGCACAAGTCAGGTTTTGCTGCCAACTGAGTTGAGATCAACACTTGTTTTTAAGGGCTGAGGATTTTGAAATTACGAATAAGGCGTGGCTCGGCCTTGGCCATGTTCTCCAGGAAATGGCAAACAAAATTTCTTCCCTTTTTCAATTTCTCCCTCCTTTTTCCTTTTCCATCAAAGTCCAGCATGGCAGTACAACGAGAACAGAAGCAAACACAACTCCTAGCTCAGGTTCAGTGCTGTGCTGGGCTCTGTGCCAAGCACTCTCTCTGCATAATCTCATAGAGTGAGCACAACATCTGCAGACCTGGCAGCTCCTGTCCTGTTCCCCTTGTAGGTGAGGAAACTAGAGCATAGGAACTCATCACTTTCCTAAGTTAACAGTTAATAGGTGTTGAAACCAGAACTTAAATCCAGGCCTCTGACACCCACGTCCACACTGTTAACTATGCTTGAAGGCAAAGGTCTTATCTCGGTCCCCTTTAGGCTCCTCCTCCCACATCCAGAAGGATGATGTGCAAAATGTAGGTACTTGGCAAATTATTGGTGAATTGATAAATTAATTTATGGGTGATTTGGGATCTAAATTGAAATGTGGGTGCATGCGCAAATCTGGGGTATAGTTAGGATGAGGGTCTGATGTGGTTTGAAGAAAGCATGGTAGATTTGGACAATGCTCACATGGGGAGGGCCATAGTGTTATAATCACATTTAGAGCCATGGTCAAGGTTGGTCCGGGAGTGGTCGTCCTTGAAAGGTATATAATCTGAGTTGGTGGCTGTGGTCCCTGAATATTGGGCTGAGTGGGATGATGGGCTGCCTGGGTAGACTATAGCATGGCCCATGGAGGCCAGGTGGCAGGAGAAGCCTGCAGTCAGGATTCTAGAAGAAGCATGATTCATTTTGTACCCTAGCCCTCTCCTTCCTGGCACTGACCTCCTTGATCTTATTTTTCTCTCTTTCTAGGGGGATCGAGGAGCTCCTGGGATCCCTGGTTCTCCTGGCAGCCGTGGTGACCCAGGCATTGGGGTTGCTGGCCCTCCTGTAAGTCTTTATTTATCCAGCTCTTACTTGCTTTCAGGACATACAGCCATTTCCTGTTGGACCTGCCTGCAGAAACACTCTTTTCTTTCTTTCTTTCTTCCTTTCTTTCTTTCTTTCTTTCTTTCTTTCTTTCTTTCTTTCTTTTTCTTTCTTTTTTTTTTTGAGATGGAGTCTCGCAGTGTTGCCCAGGCTGGAGTGCAGTGGTGCAATCTCAGCTCACTGCAACCTCCGCCTCCCAGGTTCAAGTGATTCTCCTGCCTCAGCCTCCCGAGTAACGGAGATTACAGGTGCCTGCCACCACGCCTGGCTAATTTTTTGTATTTTTAGTAGAGATGGGGTTTCACTGTGTTGGCCAGGCTCGTCTTGAACTCCTGACCTTGTGATCCACCCACCTCAACCTCCTAAAGTGCTGGGATTACAGACGTGAGCCACCGCTAGTTCTAATGAATAATTCACATCAGTCTACTAGGTGTTAGTTTACAAACTCACTAGGGGTGATAGCTTTAAGAGTTGCTAAAACTTTGAGTTATAGGGATCTTAAGAATCAATGAAGTGTGTTCCCGTTCAGGTTGAGGATTGCTATCAATATCTTCGGCCTCCACCTGAATGCCTCTAGAAATAGAAGGCACACTTCTTTCAAAGCCAGTACATCTGGCTCTGCAGTTTAAAAATATATTTCCATAGATAATGGAAATTCAGTAGAATTTTGTTTTCATTGAGAATAACATTATGGTATCCTGTAGTTTCCACCCACTGCTTTTAATTCTCCCTTTTGTACCACAAAGAACACATATTTTCTTTCCTTCTTTACTGAATGATAGTTTTTGGGACATAAGACCAGTTTACAACCTTGAAGCCTATTCTTCTGTTTAGTCCGTTCTTTGATAAAGACATCATACCCTCTTAATGCACCTTAAAAGTGCATTTACTTTGTCCTTAAAAGCCCTGTCTTGCTATTGTTTAAAAGAAGCTCAAATACTCAGTGCTTGCTAAGCCATGGAATACCTAAACTACCCATGTATTATTGTTGTTGTTACTATTATCTTAACCCAAAAGCACAATCTAACTTTATCTTTATTAAATGCAACTGGAATATAAACTGGAGTAATACATGGTCTAGTTGCTGTCTGGTATTGCATTCAATAAATGAAGGCCACGACCAAGAGTGATTAAGAGTAATATCATTCTTCATGCATGACTCTCAAAGAATAAGAAGGAAAATCCAACTTATTACCCAAAATATTACTTGTGAAAGAAAATCCCCCTTTCCTTTTCTTCTGTGGTTCTCTTACATCCAGAGTAGTTCTTGGGCCTCTCACTCTCTCCCTGAAATTCTCCTTCGTCCTCCCATTTTGGAGCAGGCCTCCTGGCTTCCACACCAGAAATCACCCCCTCACTGTTATTTCTACCCACTCACAATGATGGGTTGTTTCATGGTGACAAGAAGACCAGGTAGCTCTGTGTCTTCTTAGATCTTCCTGAAAAGCATGGAAGGAGGCGTGTGGAATGCCCTTGGGAATGTCTAGTTTGGTTAAACTGTTTTCCTTAAAACACATTCTCAGGTAAAACTGCCCACTTCATTACATTCATTTTACCTTTGTTCTTTGGCTATTTTTGTTGAGTCTTTTTGTAACTGGAAGGAACACT
The DNA here is from genome assembly GCF_000001405.40 of Homo sapiens. Taxonomy (NCBI): domain Eukaryota; kingdom Metazoa; phylum Chordata; class Mammalia; order Primates; family Hominidae; genus Homo; species Homo sapiens. Next base: position 138,674,910 of record NC_000008.11, on the reverse strand, counting down.
GTAACAATAAGTGCAGCGAGAGAACACAATAGTTTATGCCTTCTTCTTTCTGAAATTCTCCTTTAATAGGGCCCCTTCTGCTGGAGTTAGGATGCTGCTTCATGTGGCACTCGCTCCTTAGCATAGAGAAAGGGTTGTAAGTGAAACTGCAGACCCGTAACCTGAATGAGGCACCCCCATCACTTACCAGGGTTCTACGTGACCCTGTCTACTCCCTGCAGATTCACCTTATCAGCCCTTACAGAAAGCTGGCTGTGGAGGCGGACACAATTCACCCCACCTGCCACCGAAGAGCCAGCAAAAATCACCCATGAAATATGTTCCCGCCTAAGTAAGTCCACCTGAAAAGTAATTGGCTGGCTCTAGTCAAGAGGCTGTAAATCAACTGTTTAGTATCTTGGCTACCTCTTGGACTTATTAAAAGCTTCCGTGGTGGATAAAACCTTATTGAATTTTCATAAATCCTATCTCTGGCCACAGCCCAGGCCAGTAATGGCCTGGGAATCTGTATGGAGTGTGCAAAGATATGCTGAGCTAAGCAAAGGTGTGTGGAGGAGGTGAAGAAGGGGTCAGCGTGGGGGTGGGTACATGTCAAGTTCACTGGGGATGCAGTTGCCTCGTTACAGGAACATTGCCATTTGCTGAGAAGTCCTGTGTCATATCTTGTGCTGGGCCTCAAAGCATCCACATCTACCTCCTCATTTGGTCCTGGGCAAGTTGGTTTTATCCGTTGGTTAAGGCTGGGATCCCATGTAGCCCCTAAGGAGGGGATTCAAGAGCAAGGAGTTTGTTTGGGAGGTGATCTTAGAAATCACTACTTAGGAAGTGACAAAGTGAGACAGACAAAGAAAGCAAGCCAAGGGGAGGGTATGTTACTGAGCAGAAGGCCACCGTGGGTACCTGGGACTCACCTGTACAACAGCCCCTGAGTGACTGCATGGCGTTGTTGCAGAGTTGTTCTGCAAAGGGAGAGAAAGAGCTGGGGAGTTTCTGTACCACCTCCTGCCTGTGTTTGGTTGGAGGCTGCTCCCTGGGGAGTCGACTCCCAGAAACTCTCAGCCTTCCCTGTGGTTGGGCCAATCATTCACCTGTAGCTAAAGAAAGCCCTGGGCAGGTGCATGCCCAGGGAACGTGGCAGGAGGGAACTGACCTGTCCACTACATCACTGTTTTCCAGGTAGACAATGTGAGGTTCAGAAGGTGACATGATGTGGCCAATGCTACACAGCCAGCCCAGGGCAGGGCCAGGATACAGACCCGCTTCCCACAACCTCTGAAACCAGTCCTTTTCCCCCTGCAACACCTCGCTTTGTGGCTTCGGCAGGATGGGCAGGATTTATTCATTTCCATTAATCTTCTGTGAGATCCCTCAAAGAAGGCACATTAAGGATAGATCCGGCTGGGGCCGGGCATGGTGGCTCATGCCTGTAATCCCAGCACTTTGGGAGGCTGCGGCAGGTGGGTCACCTGAGGTCAGGAGTTTGAAACCAGCCTGGCAACATGGTGAAACCCTGTCTCTACTAAAAATACCAAAGTTAGCCAGGCATGGTGGCGCATGCCTGTAATCTCAGCTACTCAAGAGGCTGAGGCAGGAGAATTGCTTGAACCTGGGAGGTGGAGATTGCAGTGAGCTGAGATCCGCCACTGTACTCCAGCCTGGGCAGCAGAGCCAGACTCTGTCTAAAAAAAAAAAAAAAAAATAGATCGGCTGTAAGTAAGTTACTCTTTGCTTCCTTCCTCCCGTGATGTCATGCTCCCATGCCTTTGGCATCCAGGGCAGCACTGACTCCCTGGAAGGGAGCCAGGAGCTCTGTCTGCCAATCTCTGCACTGTCACCAGGCAGGGGGATGAATGAGGCCATTGTTTGGGGTTTTGGCTTGCTGCTTCAAGATATTAACAAACAAACAAAAATCCCTTTAATCTTTAGGTTGCCTCTGATGTTCCCTTAGCAATGTTTAAGTTGCTTACAAAATGAGCCTCCTTAGGCCCTGGGACAGATTAAAGTCCAAATTAGTTTGACTGAAGGAGCTGGGGTTTGTGAAGATAAGGTCCCACATGTAACCCAGGACTTGCTCCTTCCTACTCGGGCCCTCAGTTTCCTGATGGATCAGGTGCCAGCAATTTCTGCAGCAGCATCAAGGAAATTGGGAGGAATACAACATGATAATACTGGTGATAATACCTGCTTCCCTGCCTTTGCCCCAGTGATGTCATAGCAATCCTGTTTGCCTGATGTCTTTCTCAGACTTTGCAGCCTGAAATGACGTCCCTTTTTGAGCCTCTCACTGTCCCTCCCTGGAATTAGTTGTACTGATGCCTTACATCAGTTGGTCCAGGCATTGAGGACGCACATACAAAAGGGACAGAATTCCCAGGCTCCCTGCCCTCCAGTGGGCCTTCTAGCCTAAGAGAGGCAGGAAGCATGGCCCCGTTATGTGCAAACAAATATCTCAAGTGCCCTAACAGAACAGTTTTTTTTTCATCCCCCCACCTTCCAAGGAATAATATATTAATAATAAAGATAACAGCCACTGAAATATTAGAGTAATGGCAACCACAGCCAACATAAAGTGCCTACTTGCAGGGACAAGAGTGAGCAAAGGCCTCCATGTCTACCTCTCATTTATCTCACAGATAGTCTCTCATTTGTTTCTCCCAGAAACTCTAGCAGGTGGATTCCACTTTTCTTTTCATTTTACAAGTGAGGAAACAGAGATATGAAGCCACTTCCCTGAAGTCACCGTTAGGACATGGTAGAGCTAGGACAGGAACCCCAGCATTCTAACTCCAAGCAAATGCCCTTAACCACTCTTCCAGCAGGGGTACCATACAGTTGGCCCCTGAATAATGTGACAGTTGGGGTGCTGACCCTGCACAATTGAAAATTTGAGTATAACTTTTGACTATCCCAGTATTTAACTAATAGCCTACTGTAGACTGGAAGCCTTACTGATAATACAGTCAAGTAACACATGTTTTGTATGTTATATGTATTATATACTATATTCTTACAACAAAGCAGGCTAGAGAAAAAAGTTATGAAAAAAATCATAAGGAAGAGAAAATACATTTATAGTACTGTACAGTATTTATCAATACCGTAAGTTTGTGTTGTTTGCTTGTAAGAATAGTCCATTGGAAATGGCTGCAGCCACAGCTGCAGACCTCAGTGTAAGGTACACATCAAGCCATTCAGCTTTTTCTTGTAATATGACGACTTTTCTCTGCTCCGTGGAAGAACCTCCAGCATCACTTGTAGTGCTTCATGTGGGTTTTCTGGTGTTATTCAGTGTTTACAGTATTGCAATAAACACGACAAAGAAAAAAATGCAAGATCTGCGAGAGAACGCTTTCTACTTTGGCAACACAATTTACTGGAGAGACAGACTGCTCACGCAGAGATGATTAGAATCACGCAGCATTTAAGCAGATACTCACAACACTTGAGCTCACCACAATCGCAACAGGAGGTGGCCATGAAATTATTATAGTACTACGGTCTGGCTACCATTAATTTTATGCAGTTATGACTTAATGCTGCATGTATGTTTCTTTACATTTCTCTCAACAGCCACGGTGCCATGTATGGTCTGTGTTTGTGTGCACACATTTTAACAAATTGTAACTTTTTATTATAGATTTGTGTATATTTTATGATACTAAATGATACAACAGACTAGTATCTCTCTATATTTTATGCATTCATGACATACCTTACTTTTTCTTAATTTTTCAGTATTTCTAGGCCACTGGGTCATTTGGCAGTTTTTAAAAATTGTTGAAAATCTCCAAAATATTTTCCACTGTATTTACTGAAAACAATCTGCATTGAAGTGGACCTACACAGTTCAAGCCCATGTTGCTCAGGGGTCAACTGTGGTAACAAAAGTTCGTGTTCACTTTAGCCTTCACACTCACCAGTGGCTTTTTTTTTTTTTTTTTTTTTTTTTTGAGACAAGGTCTCGCTCTGTCCCCCAAGCTGGAGTGCAGTGGCGTGATCATGGCTCACTGCAGCCTTAACCTCCTGGGCTCAAGTGATCCTCCCACCTCAGCCTCCTGAGTAGTTGGGACTACAGGTGCGAGCCACCATGCCTGGCTAATTTTTGTGTTTTTTTATAGAGATGAGGTTTTGACCTGTTGCCCAGACTGGTCTCAAACTCCTGAGCCCAAGCCATCCACTTGCCTTGGCATCCCAAAGTGTTGGAATTACAAACGTGAGCCACCGTGCCCAGCCTACCGGTGGCTTTTTATGTGCATGATTGCTCCTGCACGATTGACTTCCATGTCCAGCCTGTGTGGTTTTTTTTCTTTAATTCATGTCTTATCTGCCTGCTTTAGTCCAGTTCCTTTGATCATAAGAACCAAAGCCACTGACGCTGTCCCAAGAATTAGGCTGGCTAGATTCTGTTAGGTGTGAGTACCCCCATCTTGTCTGGATGCTACTTGGGAACACTGGGCATTTGTCCATGGTTACCCCAGGCCCCAGCTCCCGGCCTTGCCCCCATGGCCGATGCTCAAGGAATGTGCAGGGCTTGATTCACTGAGATCCACTCTTGCCCTGCCCAGTGCACAGAGCTGCGTCCTGTGGGTAGTGAAGGAGGAGGCTGAGGAAGGTGTAAAGCCACACACCACCTTCCAGACTCCAGGGCTCCTGTATTGCTTCATGTATAACCAGGAGCTGAGCCACGTATAACCAGGAGTTGGTTTTTATATAAAGTCTCAGAATGGCCAGGTGCAGTGGCTCAACCTGTAATCCTAGCACTTTGGGAGGCCAAGGCAGGTGAATTGCCTGAGGTCAGGGGTTCAAGACCAGCCCGGCTAACATGGTGAAACCACATCTCTACTAAAAATACAAAAATTAGCTGGGTGTGGTGGTGGGTGCCTGTAATCCCAGCTACTCGGGAGGCTGAGGCAGGAGAATTGCTTGAACCTGGGAGGTGGAAGTTGCAGTGAGCCAAGATCATGCCACTGCACTCCAGCCTGAGCGACAGAGCGAGACTCCATCTCAAAAAAAAAAAAAAAAAAAGTCTTAGGAGTTTCTTCTGTTGATGGAGATAGAAAATAGTTTTTAAATAAGTTTCTACTGCCACCTCTGATTGGAAACTCTCCTTTCTAAATGAAACCATTTTGTTGTTCTCAGTAATAATTCCTAAGGTACACTTAACATGCTGGGCACTTGGCTTGACATGCCACTGCCTTCCCTGGTCTTCCCGGCAGTCCAGTAAGGTGTAACTATTACTGTCTCCAGGTTTCAGATGAGGAGACTCAGGCTCAGAGAGGTTTAGGCAGCTGGCCTTGGTCACTCTGCTAGTGAGAGACAAAGCAGGCATTTGAACCTGCGTTGATCTTGCCCTGAAGTCTGCACTCTTTGTTTCTAAGCGAGAAGACAGCCTCTGCTGTCCCTGTGGCTCCAGGAGCCTCCTTCGTGGCATGGTGGGAGGAGCTGGGCTGTCCTGGGCTGTTTCTGGTTCTGCACAGTTAAAGCCAGCACAAGAAAGGCTTCTTGGTACCGGACATGGGAAAGGCCAGACACTGCCCTGACCGGCCTCCAGGACCCTCATCTCTGCCTCCTTATCAGACCCCACGGCCGTGGCCGAGCCCTCTTCGGCACTCCCTGCTCTCCATTTCCACACTTCCTGCTCAGCTTCACTCTGCCCCTGCATCACTCGTGCGTTTTCCCGCTGGTCTCCCCAGGTGCCTGGCCTCTGGCCTCTGGTCTGTTCCCTCTGACCCCTTCGCCACTCCGCAGCCACAGCTGTCCTCCTAAAGCCTGGATCTGAGCCCACCTCTTGCCTGGTGGGTAGCTTCAGAGGCCTCTCCAGCAAGGTGCTCAGGCCCTTCTCCTTCAGACTCCAGCTTCCCTGGGGCATTCCTGGAGGCACCCCTGCTGCTCTCTGAGCACAGAGTCTGACTTCTCCTCTTTGCGTAGTGTTCTCCTCTGCCAGAGACATCTCTGCCTCATCCTCTTCTCTACCTGTGAAGCCCCCGACCCCACTAAACCTCTTTTCGCCTATCCCCCTCTGGGTGAAGGTTCCTCAAACTCTCTCGGGCTGATGCCAGTAGCTCTAGGCATCCCGTAACCCTGACTCACTGAACCTGATCAATCATTACAACAGAGATTTTCCTCTCACCTGGAGTGCTTCACATAAGTGGGCTCCATGCCATGCAGCCACTTGGCCACCCACCCCAGCACACAGCACTAGGCCTGCACACATGTGAGGTACTCAGATCAAAGATTACGGAGAATAAAAGTTCACTTTATTTTCAGATCTGTGCCTATGGTAGGGGGAACAAAGAGGTGATCAATTCTGAGAGAAGGGAAGCTGGTTTTTAGAACAGCCTGACAGCAGAGAAAGAAGAGAATGTGTTTCACATATCTAAAGCCATATGCGGCTTTCAGTTTTATAAAACTTTACTATAGTTGTCAGAAAACACCAATAGCATGGCTGTGCATGTGTATCAGATGTAAGTGTATTCATATGTGTGATATATATGTGCATGTGTGTGTGTGTGTGTATATATAAATTTTTATTATGGAGAAATTCAAATATACTAAAAGTAGGTAGAATAGTAAAATAAACACCCATATAGCCACAACTAGTGCCAGGATCCCACAGCCAATGACCATGGTTTTCCTCTTATCTGCTACCTTCCATTATTTTGAAGCAAATTCCAGACACATTTTGTCTGTAGATATTTCAGTATATGTTTCTAAAAGATAAGAATTTTAAAAAACAGAACCACAATCTTATAATATACCCCTTAAAAATCCATAACACCATCAAATATCTAGTCAGTGTTAAAATTTCTAATTATTTCATACATGTCACGCTTCTGTGTTTTTTGTTTGTTTCTTTAAGATCCAAATAAACATATAGCGATTGGTTGGATGTTTCAAATTTTTTTTTTTTTAGTCTGATAGAATTTTCCACCATCTGGCATTTGTTAATGTAATAGCTCAATGTGTTCCTCTGTCTCTGTGGTTCAGCTAAGTTGGTACTCAGACCTAGAGGCTTGATCTGATTCTGGCTTGATGTTGTTGGCAAGACTTCACAGGTGGGGTGTTCATCCAGCAGGAGGCACATGATGTCTGGTGGAGCCTCTTTGTGATGCATTCACCCTGTGATGTCTAATGCTCGTACCAATTAGTACATCAAGGGTTGCAGACTGGCGCTGTTCTAGTTCTATTCATTCTTTCTTTATTAGCTGGAATAGTTCTATACAGAGAAAAGTTCCCTAAAGTACCCTTTGGATACCTAGTGGTACAAGACATATGGAAGGCAGAATATAAATGCTTGAAGTCTTTCCCTTGTTTTCAAATAATGACTTGGTTCCCTAGCATCTTGCAAAAAGGACCAATTAGATGCTTATTGTTGCTGTTTGTTCTAAGAATAATTTTGAACTCGGGGATATAAACACATTTGATGTGTTTTAAATTATTGCAGCTTGTCTTCCTTTTTATGCTCATTTTGTCTTGTCTTCTGCCAATGGGGGTCTATTTAAGTCGATTCTGATTACCTTTGACACAAACCTAGCAATCTTTGATGGTCTCCTTGCTCTCTCTCTAGGTTTGTCGTGTACATTTTTTGTCCAGGTCTCTGATCAGTCATTTCTTCAAGAAGTCATAATAGTTTCTCTTAGTAGAAACTGGTATCAAAGGCCCAAATCTGGGTATTAGGGTAAAATGACTCTTGAACAAACGCATCAGAGGCCGTAATTTCAGAGAAGAGGGTTGTAATTGTTGAAAACATATTTGAGCTTCAGATATAGGAATGACATTAGAAAGTCATTGTATAATCCCCTTCTTCAGCACACCTTTATCTTTCTTAAAAGTAGACTGACAGAATAGACATGGGAACTCCTTTTATGGTTGGGCACTGCCTGCTCCTCTACTTATAGTATCTTCTTTTATTTCTGATAACACAAGGCAAGGTGATACTCTAGATTTGTATTACAATTGAGAAAAGTGAAGGTCAGAGAAGCTGTCTAAGTAACTTGCTTAAGGTCAAACAGCTGATGATTGATAAGCTAAGATTTGAAATGAAGACCTTTAATTTAAAAACGCATCCTTCAAAGTGGATTTTCTGTTAAATGACATAAGAAAATAACCTGGAGCCTCGTATGGTAAACAAGTTAAATGCTCAAAGTGGATCCTGGGATTTAACTTGAAAACAAAGGGTGACTCTCAAATGATGTGACATTTCCCAGGCCATAACAAACCATCCCTCATGCCCTTTCCTTAAGGAATACATATCCATCCTCCCTGGGAACTACTGTGAAAGGAACACAGTTCAGATGCAGGTATGGTGGTCCATGTGCACCACTGACCTACACCTTGACAGAAGCAGTGAGGTAGAATGAAGGGAGCACTGGCTTCTGAGTCAAAGAGACCAGAGTTGGAATTCTGAGTCCATTATTTTTTCTGCTTCTCCTTAGCCAAGCTATTTAATGGTTTTTAGCTTTAGTTTCTCCATCTATAGCAATGAAATGTTGATAATACCAATTTGTAGGCCTCTGATTGGGGTTAAAGTGAGAGATGATCCATGTATGGAGCAGATAGGACCACTCCTGGCATATAGACCAATAGCTGGAAGTCCCCTTTGTTTATGCAGGTGTGAGTTATTCATTCATCTCTGTTTCCCTAGCCAGACCTCCCTATGTGTCTGTATGACTCTTTCAGTCATTTCTGGAATGAGATAGAATTCTGACAAATGATGAGAGATTTCAAGAGAAAGAGAGAAGCAAATGTGCTATATTCTGGTGATTTATCATTCATTTGGTCAAGAGGAAAAAAAGAATAATTTCAGAAATTTATTGTGACTTGCCACTGTTAGTCATGATCATTGTGTGTCTTAAGAATTATATATATATATTTTTTAGTTCAGTTGCCACTCTGCATAGGTTCTTCAGGAAATAACATTTGCCATGATTCTTAAAGACAATTATTCTGGGAAATTCCTATTTTATATTAGTTTCAAATTAACCTGGTTATTACATTTATTTTAATGACTCTACATTTCTATTTCTAAAAATGTACTCTGGCTCTTTTGATACCTGCCAGATCTTTCTGGATAATGCCATGTTATTTTCTCTGTTTTCTTTCTTTTTTTTTCTATATGTAATCATTTTAATAGACCTTTTTTGTTGCCTGTATCTGACCACCCCATCCTCCAAAGTTCGTGGAAACTCAGTTCTACCACTTGTTATGTCCTTGTGGTGAACAGCTTTGTAATTTGAGATTGCAGTTTTGTGTCCTTTGGGAATCTATCTGTGAAGATCCTTTAGCTGCTCTGTATGCTCCTAGGGGATTTTCTTTCTGGGTGCCCAGAAGTTGACTTGTGTGTAGGCACATTGCCTTTGAGCTGAAGTTCTGCAGGACTTCTGACTTAGAGCTACCAGATGCCTGTAAGGGCAGGGCCCTGAGGGTGAGTTCTCAGAGGAGGCTTCCTTCATCATACACCTGCATCCCAGACAAAGATGGGTGAGCTTCCTTGACATCATTTTCTTCTCTACCCCTTCACTTTACTATCTGTCCCTTTACAGAAAAAGCCTGTGGACCCCTGCTATAACCTACTGAAGGATTGCCTTTACTTACTGTTCTGAGTTTCAACTTACTGATCAAAAGGGCTTCCAGCCTCGCTTCCTGTCTCTGCACAGCTATCAGAGTCCTGCTCCCCTCCAGGGCAGGTCTGTGTAGATTTAGGGCACTGCTTCTCAGTTGTCTCTTTCTCTAGACCTCTGGAGATTTTCTCTACTTTCTCTAGTGCCCAAATACACACTTAAAATGATGCTTATTCTATTTTATTATTAGACAGCTCTGGGGCATATTTAATGAGTAGGCTTTTAGGTTACCCCTGACACTATACTGCAGGAACCTTGGCGTTGGTGTGAAATCATTTTGCTCTCTCGGGAATGCCTTAGGGACATTCTCGTGGGCTGTGCTACAGGGAGATGCAGAGCGCACTGGACTGAGGGCAGGATGTGGGACTAACCTCACCCTGGCCAGTGACTCCTGGCGTTGCTAGGGCAGGTCTCTCTCTCTCTCCTCTGGACCTTAGTTTGATTGTCAGTGAAAAGAAGGGATGATTGGCATTGATTCTCAAGTTCTCCTCGTGCTTTAAATTTTTCATTTTGATCAAATGCTATTTGCTGTGCTCTAGTCGGCTATGTTCTTGCAATGCACAGGGCACTTGCTGAGTGCTAGAGAGAGCATGGTAAGAATGCAGACTCCACAGCCACCTCATGGGAGCATTCAGTCCATTCAGTGAAGAGGAGTGGACCAACAGGCAGTAACAATGCTGGACTTTCAGTCTTAGGCAGGGTGTGTACAGGGGCGGGGACTATCCAGTGAGCACCCTGGGAGAAGCCAGAGGAGGCTCTCCACAGGCAGGATTTCTCAAAGGAGAACCAGAGTGTGACAAGAATGTTTCCAGGCAGAAAGGCAGGACAGAGTCTTCATGGAAATGCACAAGCATCGCAAAGCCTCAGGGGCAAGGGACGGTCCCACTCGCTGCAAGACTTGGAAATGCATGTGAATGCCTTCCAGTCAATCAATGAACAGCATCTTAAGCATAATATCTAGAAGCCAAATTTTGTCTTGGCAAAGAACTGGGCACAGTGGAGGATGCCAGACCCATGTCTGTGTGTCTGTATCTGTGTGTGTGTGTGTGTGTGTGTGTGTGTGTGTGTGTGTGTGTGTGTGCGCGCGCGCGCGCGCACCCCTTGTTGGAGAAGGGAGCATGACTACTGCAGCCTCAGACACTAGCGCTATGGCTGGGGAATGTGGTCGTTATCATGCCCGTCCTTTCCCAAGCAGAAAGAGCCAGTGCATCTCCAAGGGGGTGTAATACAGGGAAGTCGGGGCTGCCAGGTTCAACCTCACACTAGAGCTACAAAGTAGAGTTGGGCCCAGGTGTCAGGAGCCACGCAGGGATGATGATAGGGTGGCATCAGTTGAGGAGCAAATGGAGGAGCTTCCAGAGAGATTTTCATGAGCAACGTTTGTGGGTGGGTAGGTGGCAAGAGGGTATGGCAGTGTGGCTTCAAGGTGGGAGGAAGTTAGTGACTCCTCCTAGGACAACTGAGGACCTGTCTATGGAATAAACACCATAGCTTGTTTACATCAGCATGCCATTTCTACTTTGCTTACATACTTGTTTGTTTGTTTCTAGGGCCCTTCCGGACCACCAGGAGACAAAGGATCCCCGGTACAGTATGCTTTAAATAAAGGGATGAGTTTCTATGGGAGGAATCCTGCTCGAATCAAAGCAGTTTTAAATGGGAAGCACCAAAAACTGAAGTAGATTCTGAAATTTCCTCCTATTATTGAACAGTGCAGACTGTCCAACCTATGAACTCTGACCTGTGGAATACAGTGTGATAGATGTACATATGAGCAGAGAAGGGATGCCACACCCATATTATAGTCAGGCAAACAGACTGGCTTCAGTTTTGGGCATCTTTTCAACACAGAAGGGTGGCCATGGTTTAATGAATTCAGCCAAATTGCCTGAAGAACTAATTTTGAATCCTGGTTTCACCAATCCCAACCACACAGCAGTGAGCCAACATGGGGATTGCTCTTAATCTGTAACATAGGCAGAGCAAGACCCGGGAGCCACTGTGGAGACCTGGTGGACTGACTTCATGCTGAAGCAACAGGAGGGCTCTCAGTCAGCCTTCATTCTTAGGAGCAGCAACCATCCATGACATGCCTGTGCGTGCATTTACTGGGAAAATGCGATTTCCTATAAATTCACCCCAGGGGAAATAGCTGCATTGTAGCAAGTGGGATGATATTGTATCTTATGCCATGTGAACGTATTTTAAATAACCTTTATTTATATGATTTCTGAATTCAGGACAGGGATTGCTTTGTGTGTGTGTGTGTGTGTGAGTGACAGAGTCCTGCTCTGTCAACCAGGCTGGAGTACAGTGGCACGACCTTGGCTCACTGCAATCTCCGCCTCCTGGGTTCAAGCAATCCTCCTGCCTCGCCCTCCCCGGTAGCTGGAATTACAGGTGGGAGCCACCATGCCCAGCACAGGGCTACAGGGCTCCTTATACCCATTTTTATAGATGAAGAAATTGAGGCACTACGTAGTGAACTGATAGACGTGAGATTTCAGAGCAAGTTATGGCAAAGTAGAGGCAAGACAGGTGGGACTCTAGATGGAGGGGTCATGTGAGAGGAGGTCTGTGAAGGCCCAGGAGATGCAGGGTCAGCTCCTGAGCAGCCCGGTAGCACAGTTCCAGCAACTGCCAGGAATTCCCACTTTTAGACCAACTTAAGGAAAAATCTTACGGGAAATGAGATCCATAATGAAAGATATCTGTGCCGTTTCCTGATGTTGTCCAGAAAATTGCAGCTAGAAATTATTTTCTTACAAAGAGTTGTAATCGCCAGGCATATGCTGAGTGTTGTGCTGGGTCTTGCACAAGGAAACTTCTTTAACCACCTAGTTAGAGCTCTCGGGGCTGGTTATCCATAGGACATGAAAGGAGTGAGCCAGGGTTTGAGCTCAGGCCCATCTCACCACAGGAGCTGTCTCTTTCACTCAAGCAAGGGAACTATACAAATGGGGTCCAAGTTGTCAGGCTCAAAATGAAGATTTTCCAGAGCATTCTCTCTGTGTGTCGAGCACATACCTCCATAGGGTACAGTCAGTTGAGTAAGCTCTGAGCAGGGTGCTTTGGCACACATGTTGCATCAGATTCCTCATAGCAACAGACCATGTGTTGAAGGAGAGCCAACTATTGCCAAGGAGGGTGTGTCCTTATTTGCTTAAATATTGTAGGGTGTCAGTGTCTTCTTTTCTTTTTCTTCAGGGATCACGAGGCTTACCTGGATTCCCTGGCCCCCAGGGCCCAGCCGGCCGGGACGTAAGTACAGAGAAATGGCGTGGACTCAGTGAAGGCCCTTACATGACCCCTGAAAGCCCGCCCTCCACCATCTCCTGGCCTCCTTTGACCATGTGGCCAACTTTGTAGCCCGGTTGAGGATTTCCAGGAAGCCCCATGGACATGCTTTTTATTTTTGCTCTTCTGTTGAGTGTGGTTCATAATTTTGTATTATCCAGTTTTATTTCCTATGTTTGTGTTAAGTTTTCAAGATCTGTTCAACTCCTGGGTATCCCACACAATGTTCCCTAATTTCTTGGTCAATGTCTTACATACCCTAGTCAGTTCTGCTCGAATCAGGCACTGCCTTCTCCAGGGACTTGCCCCTGACCCTTCCCTGGAATGGCTCTCTCTTTTCCATGGAATTCCGCAGATGTATGTCATGCTCATTGTGAGGATGTGTTCCTTCCCACTTTGTGACAATGACAGTCATCTCTTGTCTCCATTGTTTGGCCTTTGCTCAGCCATCTCTGAGCTCTAAGAAGGAGCCCCTGTGTCTTATGCATCCTCATGGTCCCTGGTGCCCAGCAGCGTGCCAGGCACATAGAAGGTACTTGATCCATACTCATTGACCAAATGGTAAATGACAACCATGAGTCCTTATAGGACAAAGGTGTCTGGCACTAGTAAGCAGTGGTATTTATTGCTTAGACATACAACTTTTCATCTCTGTAGTTTTAGTTCATTATAAGCAGGAACAACAAAATGTCCTTCTCTTCCTTGGGTTCTGTTTCCAAAGAGAAGGTTACTGTCTTATTCCTGCTTCAAAATATTCAAATTTCACTGTTCCACTCTCAGCATTCTTATAGCCAGTCTAATAGGAGTATTTTTCTAGTTTTCAAAGCCATTCCTTCCACTTGTTTGGGAAAGCACTGGGAAAGTTTAAGACAGGGTGTGTGTGTCTGTGTGTGTGTGTGTGTATGTTTGTGTGTATGTATGTGTATGTGGGTGTGTGTGCGTGTGTGTGTGTGTCTGTATATGTGTGTGTATGTGCGTGTGTGTGTCTGTGTATGTGTATGTGTGTATGTGTGTGTGTATGTGTGTGTGCGTGTGTGTCTGTGTGTTTATGTGTGTGTCTGTGTGTCTGTGTGTGTGTCTGTGTATGTGTGTGTTTGTGTGTCTGTGTATGTGTGTGTCTGTGTGTTTGTGTGTCTGTGTATGTGTGTGTGTGTCTGTGTGTGTATGTGTGTGTATGTGTGTATGTGTGTCTGTGTGTCTGTGTGTGTGTGTGCATGCGTGCATGCACATGTTCTGTGTGCATGAGTTGTTTTTAGTTTTGTGTTTAGGACAGGAGTTGTGGGGGTAGTTCTAAACATTGGTTGTCATTGTCGAATTCTTCCTGGGAAGCCATGGGTATTCAGCTGAGATTAGAAACCACGCATTTTTATTGGTGCCAATCCTCATGGTCTGATGATTTTTTTTCCCCACTGAGTTACACTTAGCAGATAGAGAGATTGGCAGAGGGTGTGGGTAGAGTGGGTCAGGATCGTGTGCTTATCACAGTTAATGTTTTATTTCCTTCTTCTCTTAGGGTGCACCAGGAAATCCAGGAGAAAGAGGGCCTCCTGGCAAGCCGGTATGTCATCTTATGGTTCTGGATGAATATTGACTATCAGTCAGGGCGTAAGCAAGAGAAAAAATGCAACTCAGAAAGTTCAAGAGGTTTTAACAAAGGAACATTTGACAAAACTGTGGGCAGAGGAAACTAATATGGGATGTTGTGAGACTCAGAGATAAACTACAGTGGGAAGTCGTTACCACCATTATGCCGGTTTTCAAAGCCCAGGGAGAGTAGAATGGTGAGAAAGGGATTGCACATAGGAGCTCGGTCATGGGTCAACACCGCTGTCAGAAGGCTTGGCCCAAGGCCAGGAGGTAGGGATGTCTCCCACCCTCCAGTTTCCTAACAGTGCCTCGAGTTGGGCAGTTCAACTGCGGGCCAGCAGGCAAGCCAGCCCGGGAGACATTCCAGGGGTTTAACCTCCCAGGCATGGAACGGGACAGAGAAGGGTGAAAAGTGGATCTGGGGTGAGCAAATGAGCAACAGCAGCACCCATTGCAGATCCCTAACTTGCCCGTTTCCTAGCGCTTGACTGGGTGAGGTCAGCCTTCCCAGTTGCCATCTGTTTAACATGGAAGAAACGTTCTTTCTTGCCTCACAGTGAGACCAGGGGAATTTGTGAAAGGTTGCGGAGATGGGGACAGCCCTGAGTGTTGGTTCCTTGGCAATGTGGCCTCAGTCCAGCCCGAGAGTCCTATATATAGGCTTCCCTGATGCGAGGCACCCTCATCTCCTGGGACACCCTCTGACTGAGTTTCCAATGCCAGAGAAGCCCCAATGGTTTAGCTGAGTAGCCTGGCTATAGGTGGACCCTCTAGGGAAGGAGCAGTGGGGATGTGCTGGCCTGAGAGAGTGGGAGGCAGCTGTGCGGATGGAGAGAGAGATGAGTCCTTGGGAAGAAGCTGCCTAAGATGGAAGAGACAGCAGCAACCAAGACTGGGGAATCGCAGGCCTCAAGAGTGAGTTTTTAAGTCTGGTTTCAGAAAGTGAGATGCTCACCTGGGCAGAAGCTTCACCTTGAGATGGATCTGAGAGGCTGCCTATCTCTTTTGTAAGCCTGACCTGCTACAAATTCCAGGCAAGGACCCAAGGCTCAGATGTCCCTGTGGGTGTGGATGACCCCCCATCCCTTATCTCAGTTGGCGGGCACAGCAGAGACCTGGACAGGGATCCTGGTCTGCCATTAAGGGTCCTGAAACTTCTCACTGAACACCTTCCAATGAGAGGAGCATAAAGTCTTGTTGGAAGTTAGGGACATCTTAATTACTCCTGTTTCCTCCCCTGTAGAGTCAGCTTTGCAACAGCCAAATAAACCTCACTTTATAATGAAGCCACTTCATTATCAAAGTGAAAAGCTCTGGTGAAGTGCAGGGAGAGTGAGGTTCAGGCCAGAAGTCAAGCGGGGGTTCAGATGACCTCTGCCAGATCTGGACTTTGACATCTCCCTGCAAAGATAGTGAAGTCAGCATAGTGCAGCTGATGATGTGGATAATCATGATTGTCTCTCAGGCGGTCAGCAGCAGAACAGAGAGCTGAGGGGAGAGAGAGAGAGGGAGAGAGAGAGAGAAGAGAGAAGAGAGAAGATCTGTTAGATTAACTGAACATACTCCTCCCGAATGGTCCCAAGTATGGCCCATTGGCTCTCAGGTATCTCTGAGCTCACTAATCAGATAAGGCATGGTTGTCTCAGGGATTCCCTCATGTTCAGTCATTTCCCAGAAGGACTCACAGAACTCAGAAAAGCTGTTATGCTCATGGCAATGGTTTATTACAGTAAAATGATACAGATTAAAATCAGCAGAGGAAAAAGGTGCACAGGAAGGAGTCCAGGAAAGACCAATACAAGCTTCCATTTGTCCTCTCCCAGTGAAGTTGTGCAGACAGCACTCAATTCTCCAAGTCACGGTGTGTGACAATACTCACAAAGTGTTGCAACCATGGAAGCTCACCGGAACCTTGGTGTCTAGGGTTTATGTTGGGAGTCGGTCACACAGGCATGGAGTGCCCACATGGCTGATCTTCATCCTCTCTGGAGGTCAGACTGAGGTATGTGTCCAAGGCACCCACCATAAATCATATTGTTAGCATTAACTACCTGGCTTGACCCAAGAACACAGGTAAACAAAGACACTCTTACCAGGCAGGACATTCCAAGGGCGTAGAGGTAATTCCCAGGAACCAGGCAGCAGCCTGGACATTTCTTTGGAATGTGCAGGGTTTGGACAACACTGGCCTGCTGAGCTAATTATTAATTACACAGTTCCATCCCTCAGTGGGTGGAGAGAGTGACCCAAAGTGTTTCTCCAGTGCTGCACCCACCTGGAGAGAAGCATAGAATTCCTGTTCCAGGATCCTCCTTCTGTGTCAGATTAGGTTCTCTGGAAGCACAGCCTGCAGTGGGGATTCTTGTGCTAGTGACTGATTGAGGGAGTGCTCTCAGGAGAAACTTACGAGGATGGAGGGAAGCAGGACATGACAGGGGAAAAAAACAGTAAAAAATGTGTGTTCAAGTCAAGTCTATTCCCTGCCTGATCCCACATGGAACTCTGGAGTGTGAATGGAACCACCAAGCTGTCCCACCTTGAGGCCAGGCCCAGCTCTTTTCACCCTGCCATCAGTCAGTTATCGGCTGTATAACCAGCACCAGGGATGAGGATGCACCGAGAATGGGGAGGATCTAGGTAGGATGTAAACTGGCATCTACATCCCCACACTGTCCACTGTTCTCTGAGCCCATTGGGCCCAACAACAGGTGACATGAGTGACTGACTCATAGAAGGCAGAGACGGCAGTCTGCCATATCCTGAGTCCACCTTCACAAGGCCACTGCCTCCATCCACATGCTGGTCCTGTGTGTCTTTTGAGACTTGTGAGGTTTACAGAAATGAGTCACAGCAAGATGTTAATGAAATTGTATCCAAGACCACACTGTACCTAGACTGAAAATCCACTCCTCATTCTCTCTCCCTTTGTGACTGGTGCCCAGCCATTGTGTCTGATATAACTGACTCTAATTATGCAAAGGACTCAATGGCAATGTAAGAATATCCCTAGTAATAGAATGCCAGCAGCATTAAAATATACCAATTTGAACCATATGAACCCTTTCCTATTATTAACTTCCTAGGGGAAACATATACGGCCTGAAAATAAAACACCTTTCCCTTTTAAAAGTTTTAATAAATTGCTATAGCAAAGGTTGTCTTTTCTTCAGAGGACGTCACTCAGATAACTGGGGAGGTGTTGGCCTTGGCTTTAGCCGCTGCATCCTAAGTGAGCTTTCACTGCAGTGCGGATAATTCCTTGAGCACCTGCAATCTGATTTAATTCAACCCCAGTCTCTCTCAGTCCCTCTTTCAATAGCCCAGAGCATTGATTGAATTTCTGAGCTTATCAACACACAAAACCCCACCAGCACGTTTCAGGCCACTGCAGCAGTTACCTTGAACAAACTCGTGTTACCTGTTTCATGGTTTTGCTAACCACAGGATGGCACCGAAAGCCCATGGGGTCAGGGATGGGGAAATAGCCTGAAAAACTGCCTTGGTTTCAGCCTTCCCAAAATGGCAGACTGAATTTGTAATTCATACACCTAAACTCAAACTTAATGAGGAGAAATCAGCCACCATGCATTTAGTTGTTAAGTCTACCACCTTGCCTCTGCTGCCTGGGTCTTCTGGTATTCCTTTTTCTTTGCAAAATTTAGAATTTTGCAAAGTAGCACACCAGTCTCAAAGTCTTACCTAAGAATCCCTTCTTTCCTTTACGGTCTGCCTTTTAATTTCCATTTTCCTTCCTAGCCTTATGTTCCTTGCACCCAAATATTTTCTGAGCCTTCACCCTGTCTTGGGTTCCAGGATGGCTGTGGTTGTAAGAGCCACAATCGTAGCTCCAACTCACAGTGGGTCTGAGCATGAATTCATCCACCTGCAGACTCCTACCTACCTGTAGAGGCTCTGTAATTATTCCTGATTTCTGAAATACCCTTTCTGGAATTAAAGACTTTTAAGCCATAATGACAAATGACGTGTAAAATGCTGTTTCACCTGGGAGAGCTGAAGACATTGGCTTAAATTCATACTAGGTTGTGGATGACTGATAGTAACAGCTGTTGCTCTTTTGGGATATCCATGACAATCCAGATTGCAAACAGTTTGCCGCTTTGCCTCCCACGGTACTCATATGACCTATCAGGTTTTGGTGGTCGGGGGGAAGAGGGAAAGCTGGGAGAAGAGAAGGGGCAAACAGAAGGAGAGTAGGGATGGCCAAAGGCCAAAGTCAGTCAGACTTGGTTAGGACTGGCAGTCTGTGCAGTTGCTGTCTTGGAGGAGTGTTCTTTCTGTGGCTCCCAGGCTTGGGACATCCACTGGGCTGTCCGTATCCCACGCACGGCGCAGTGTGTCACGTATTGTGTCACACTTTAAAGTCCTTTTGCTTTCTGAAGATGCCTGGGATTTATTGTATATATGCATGTACGTATGTGTTTGTTTCTTTTTATTTTGACAGGGCCTCTCTTCACTACTGTCTCCAGGGGACATAAATCTCTTGGCTAAGGTAAAAGCATACAATAAATGCGCATGTGTTTTGAAAATGGTGATGGCGGGATTGGAGATCTTGATAATAAGTTGGGGTTTTTTTTGAACAACTATTTGGTAGTATTAACGATAACAGCAGCGCCATTAGTTGACAACTCAGCATGTGGCTGGTGATGTGCTAAATCCCCCTGTCCAACACAACAGCCACTGGTCACATGCTGCAATCTAAATGGAAACTAATTAAAATTAAATACAGGCCAGGCACAGTGGCTCACCCCTATTATCCCAGCATGTCGTGGGGATAGCTTAAGCCCTGAGCCCAGGAGTTTAAGACCAACCTGGGCAACATAGAGAGACCTGATCTCTACCAAAAAAAATGTTTTTTAAAAATTAGCTTGATGTGGTGACATGTGCCTGTGGTCCCAGCGACTCAGGAGGCTGAGGTAGGAGGATCACTTGAGCCCGGGAGGTAGAGGCTGCAGTGAGCCATGGGCATGCAACTGCACTCCAGCCTGGGTGACAGAGCAAGACCCTGTTTCAAAAATAATAAATAAATGCGATTAAAAATTTAGGTGCTTGATCACTCCAACCTCTTTCTTTACACATACTTAATAGCTGCATGTGGCTGGTGGCTGCCTTATTGGGCACTGCAGATATAGAGCAGAACATTATTTGGAGCTATGCTACACTAAATGTTTAATGTGCCTCCCTTATTTAATTTTCACAAATATTCTATGGGATCAATACTATTTGTTGTGTTATTCAGCATATAAGAAGCCTGAGATACTGTGAGGGTCAATGAATGGAATGGAATAGAATAGGACATCCTAAGAATAAAATCCTTTCTCGCTGACACCAGAGGCTGGCCTTTAACCCAGACAGGACTAACTCATGTTCTCAAAGGAGGGCCAGCGGCAGAGTCAAACAGCCTGGACCTGGGTCCTGCTGGGCCAGGACCAGAGCGCAGGTTCAGTGAGGTGATGTGGGCTGTTGGGCCTTTTATCCAGGACAAACTCAGATGTGAGTGCAGACTTGACTGGTTTCTAGAACCACATTTGCTTTTCCCACGAGAGGAAAAGGTCCTGAGAGGTTGAACATAACTCGGCCAAGATAGGGCACAGCATGGCTGGAGTTACACCCGAAGGCTAAGTTGCACAGGTGCCCAGGTGCCTGACCAAGGACCTGGGGTCTTCAATGTTGAGAGCTGTGAAAGGCTGTGAACGAGGGAGAGAGAGGTAAGGTCTATACTTCAGAAAGAACAGGGGTGCTGCAGCAAGTGAGGAGGCCCCTTCTGCTGTCTGTACTTCAAGCCTCTTCGTAACTCTGGGTGAAGGGTCAATACTGCATTTTGTGACTGGTCCCTTCCTTCCCTCTTGTTCTCTAAAAGACACTGGGTGATTTCAGAAAATACCTACTTCATACATGAAGCCAAGAGAGGAAAACAAAAGAAAAAGAAAACCTTCTCGGAAGTCTGGGGCGTTCAATCTCACTGTAAATTGAGATGCCTTGATGGGAAAATTACACCTTTTATTAAAAAATAAGTAGCAGAACAATCTTTACCAGTTTTTGTTGACAAGTGCGGTAGTTATTTTTTTTCCACATTCAAGGACATGACAAGAAATCATTACCTATTGATTCAATCTTCTGTTTATTACAGGCTTTTATTAGCCTGGATTCTTTTTCTTAATTCCCTCACTCTAGAAGGAGCTAGGTTTTCATCAGCCACCAGCCATCTCCACCCCTGACCCCTCACCCAGAGGATTTCAACCTCAAGATGTCCCAATCTTTATGTCAATAATAAGAGTGAGCACTGAAATGGCTAAGCATCATTCCTCACGGCCATAGCACTGAGACAGATATTTAGTCAAATCAATATTTCCTCACTATGAAAGGATACAGCTGTGCTCATCAGAGCAGCTGGAAACCCCAGAAGGAATGCAAGCGCCTACGTGCAGGGTAGCCTGTGGAGACTCACTGGTCCCACAGAGCTGAGCTTTGCCTGGAAATTCTATAGTCAACAGCCTGGGATGAGTGGATTTGGCCAGGTCTGGGGAACAGACTATGTTCATCTTCCTGTTTTGTGCAGTCACTGGCTGTCATCTCGATGTTGTAAGTTAGAGTCTGCTGGTCTAGTCTAGGTGGCTGGTGGCAGATGTCTCCCCTGCTGAGACATCTTGTATTACAGAACATTTGTCTCTGCCCCAGAGAGTTTTATAACTTCATATATCTCTTTCTGGTAGTTGGAGAACTGACTGGGTAGTAAGTTCTAAGAGTCCCTGTTAAATGAATGTCCATAGTTGGATCTGTGCCCATGGAGGTCATCTTAAAATTGTCTCCATTACCCTTGCAGAAATATTATATTATTAAATCCTCAAAAACAATCCTGTGAGTGGTTTCTGTTGCTGTCTGCATTTTACAGATGAACAGGTTAAGCATAGATGGGCAAGACACTTGTTCAAATCACAGACCTTGTAGTGGTAGAACCAAGACTCAAACCCAGTGAGACCAACTCTGAAGCCTTACGCGTAGCCTCTCTACTATCCGATTCATCTTTACGTGAGCCAGAACTTCCTGACAGCTATCTGATGAAGTCCAGGCAGCTAGTGAGTTCTCTGCCTGTCACATAGAGATTCGGAGATGAAGGCTACACAACTCTTTGGTAGGAATATCATAGTGAGGATTCAGATGTCCAGTGAGAAGGTGGATGAAATGACCTAGAGGTCATTTCCTCTCCTGGGAAGCAATGACTGTTATTTTCTCCATGTAGTAAGCATTTTGTTGAGTGCTTACTTGGTACTTCAAACCACACAAAGTACAGTATTACATGCAATGACCTAACAAGCTGAGTTTGTTGAAAATAGTTCAGACCGGCGGGGTGCGATGGCTCATGCCTGTAATCCCAGCACTTAGGGAGGCCGAAGCAGGTGGATCACTTGAGGCCAGGAGTGCAAGATCAGCCTGGCCAACTTGGGAAAACCCCGTCTCTACTAAAAATACAAAAATTAGTCAGACGTGGTAGCATATGCCTGTATTCCCAGCTGCTTGGGAGGCTGAGGTGGGAGAATTGCTTGAATCTGGGAGGCGGAGGCTGCAGTGAGCCTAGATCACACCACTGCACTCCAAGCTGGGTGACAGAGCAAGACTCTGTCTCCAAAAAAAAAAAAAAAAAAAAAAAAAAAACCAGAAAAGGAAAAGAAAATATTTTAGACCAAAGGAAGGGGTAGAGACTAGAGGGAAAGAACATTAATAGATTACATACAATGAACCCTGAAATATGCTAGGCACTTTGTATGCATTATTTTATTTAAATTTCACAACAATCTCCTAAAGTAGGAGAATGATCCTTTTTTACAGGTGAGGAAATAGACTCAAGAAGATTAATTGACTTGCCTGAGATAACTCAGAAAGCCCAGAGATTGGGAGCTAGTATTGATGATCACGGTCATCTGATCTGCAAATGGGGCAAGGCCACAGATTTAGGGAGGAAAATAAACAAAACCGTAATGGCACATGTAGCAGCTAAAAGTCACTATGCTTTCACTCTGTGTCAGGACAGTGTCAGGCATTTTCCATTAATTGTCTCATTTATCATAAGACTTTGACATCCCCATTTCACAGATAAGGAGACTCAGGGAGATGAAGCCATGATTCCAGGTGGACAGAGGTTCAAGTGGCGTATGGGCAAGCCCATTTGGTTGGAAACACAACCCTATCCAGTTTCAATACATTCAGAGAAAGTGTGAATTGCCCTCTGAGCTGGAGTTTGGTGCAGGGCCAGGAGGGACTCGGGGGGCTCCCAGGAGCTCTGGAGCCAAGGTGAGCATCTGTAAGACTGCAGATTGGGGTGATCTCACCCTATGCTCACTGGATTCCAGAACTGGGTCAGTGAGTTGAGTCTAGCTCCCTCACAGGTAGGTCTGGGTCTCCGACAGCTCTGGTCTTCAGGAAATAATCCTGCATAGTATGCAACAGGCCCAGGTTGAGAGCCCTGCCAGAAATTAGAAAGAAATAGGAAAGTCATAAGATTTTTGTATTACTCAGGTATAATCTTTTTATGTTATGGATCCCACTGCAAAGAATGGCTTCCTATCACCAGGGCACCCTTTAAGTCCAGAAATATCTCAGTGGCTAGAATTTTTGGTGTCATCAGGCTAGTTCCATTTGCATCCATCCATCCATCCATCCATCCGTGCATCCATCCACAGTTGCAATGTTTCATGGATGCATCTCATCTTAGAGTACAATAAGAGAAGGTCTACAAAGAGGCGAGCTCCTTTCAGCTCTGCTACTCTTTCAAGCAAAGTACAGTTATCAAAAGCAGCTCATCTAAGTAAACTGAATATCTCATACACTCTTGCTTTATATATCCCAGTATTTAACTCTTTCCATCCTCCAAATAATCCAATCAGCTTTGCAAACTAACCACTAAAAGAAGATGGCACAAGTCGCCAGAATGTCAGGTGGACAGTTAATTGGTTGATCGGTCAGTCAGTTGGTTAGTTAGTTGGGATGCCTGATTCATTCATTTATAGCACTCATGCTCTGTGGAAGAATATTTGCCATGAATTTGGCAAGCAAAGATAATTCTACCTCTGTCCTCTGAGTGCTTACACCTTCTGTTTGCCTGGTGGAGAGAGGATGGAATAAAAGACCATTCCAACAAGGAGACTAGTACTTCAGTAGTGAGGATTCCTGAGATTTCTGGGAGCAGGAAGAGCCTGTCCCCATCCTGAGGCAATCAGGAAGTCTTCTTGGAGGGGGAGACTTCTAAAGAATCTCCAAAGACTGAGTAGGTGAAACAAGTAAAAGGAAGGTGGGCCATTCAGAGATGCTTTTGTGATGGAAAAACTTGACCATCCTGAAATCGGAGACCAAGAAGAAAACAAAATCACCTGCAGCTTCACCTCATGGACTATGAACAGTGCAGCTTCCGCGTATTTTTGCAGGTGCCTTTGGTGGGGCTTTCAAAAGACCATAGTTAGTGCATGTATTTGTGTCAGTTGACAGCGTTGAACTGAGAGCTCTTCAAGACACACACTCACTGTGGTCCCAAACTTAGCACAGTGCCTGACACATAGTAGGTGACTTTCAAGTATTTTTTCAATGAGTGAGTGACTGAGTGAATAAATAAACTAACAATAATGGCTAAATGTGTGGGCATTATCTATCTATATGTATCTGTGTATCTGTCTATCTGTCTATCTATCTATCTATCTATCTATCTATCTATCTATCTATCTATCTAATCTTTCTTGAGAGTATTCTAAGTGCTTTACTTGTGTTATCCATTAAACTCCGATCACAAGGAGAGAGGCAGGGTGGATGAGAGGGAGGATTAGAGAGAAGGCCATGGAGGGGGCAAACCAAGAGGCAGGTGGATGAGGCAGGCTGGAGTACAGTTAGGTGAGTTTTATTTGGCACATAGTGTGCTCCAAACTGTAAGATCCAACTAATCAGAAAACACATGCTCTGGGCTCAGAGGACTTTAAATTTACTCGAGGAGCAATATTTACCTGCCTTAAAGAAGTAGAACAAAGCCCAATTCCAGGGAACATTGATTAAGTGCTTGCCTTGGGTAAAAAATAAAGCTAAGCATGGTCAGAGTCGGCATTGTATCACAGAAACAAAGTCCCAAGGGTGTGTGCCTGTTGCCTTGTTTATCCTTCTTCCTTGTTCAGAAACCACTTGACGGGCAAATGCAGAACAGAGAATTCAGCTCCCAGCTTGGCCTCTAACATCAGGGACAGAGCATGCTATTTTTAGTAATACTAAATGTTTGTATTAAATCTGCACTGTTAATGTTTTCAGCTGCTCACAGATCATTTTACATGGATTTTTGACATCATTTCCTCAGGCTATCCTTCCAGAAGTCTGGGTGGAAATAGGGGGAAATGGAGGAATATCCAGATATGTCAGTGCTGAAACCTAACTTTTAGTTAAGAAAGGGAAAATGCAAAGTTTAGACACAAGAGTATTTAGATCATGACTCAGTCCACCTGTTTGCTTTTCTATCTTCTCTGGAATTTAAAAACCAAATCTCCATCTGGAGAGATAGCAGCCAGGGCTACTTTGCTTTGCTTTGAAACTGTATTTGCTAGTTATTCTCTCTTTGTCCCCACCTCTCTCCCCACTCTCAGGATGTGTGCAATGACTGCCCTCCTGGCCCCCCAGGCCTCCCTGGTCTACCAGGTTTTAAAGGGGACAAAGGTGTCCCAGGAAAGCCAGGGAGAGAAGGCACAGAAGGGAAAAAGGTAAGGAGAAAAGGGGAAACTCGATTTTTATCATTACAATGAAAATATCATTCTGGAGATCTCAGTATTGCCCCATCTGCCTCTGAAGGTGTTCAGGGTTTGAGGGGTTCAAGATTCAAGATAGATGAGGAGTACTGGGTTGTGAGATACAGCTATGGAAATGGTAGGAAGTGGGTATCTATGGGTCTTTGTCACTTTAAGAAGATGTTGATTGTGACTTCCCAATACATGCTGACACCTGGAAACATACACTCATTCAGTTACATTCCTTTCCACCTTGTCTTTCTCCCTTCCTTTCTTTTGTCATCCAACAACTTTTGCCTATCTACTATGTAATAGGCACCAAGATAGGCACTTCAGACTCATAGATCAATCAATGGATCCATCCATTCATGCATGCATTCAATCCCTTGTCATTACCTGTTTATGACACCCCATTACATGTGTCTTATATGTCAGTCAACATGTAGACAATGGGGAAGTTCAGAAGAAAAAGGCTGAGACCCTATTCTAAAGGAGTTCATGGTCTGTCCTGGAGCAAAACAGAGGTAGGGAGTTTCATGGGTGCTGGGGAAATAGAATTGAAAACAAAATCTCCTCCCAACCCAGAAAACTTCTTCACAAAGGTGGAAGAGAAAGAAAACCATTTTAATATTGAATTACATTTAAACTAGAATATAATGTGCATTACAGACAATCTGCTAAGAGATGGTAAGGACAGGAAGAAATCTCACTCTTTTATATAGCTAAGCAGATAAAGTCCATTACAGACATTTTCTCAAGATAAGCAATACTTAGTCCTCAAGTAGGAAGTCTTGACAGTGCTATTTGTCACATACGTTCATCTTAGATTCACCTGGTAATTCAGATGGCCCTCCGTCTTAGCTAATTGGCTTTATCCAAAGTGAAAATAAACTTCTTGCATCTTTATGTAAGAAGATAGTGTTGCAACTTGGGGAGATACCAATCCCTAGACATTGGGAGATAGTGGTGGATCTTCCTTGCTGATCATATTTCACAGAGATGGATCCTAACTCCTAGAGAAAGACATTCCTGGGTCATCAAACTGGAAAAAAAAAAGCCTTCTTTGCCTTTTAAAAGGATTTACACACATTTCAAAGAGACAGATAAAGAACTGACAATGATCTGTTTTCTAAAGTAAATGCTTTAAGAAAAAGTCTTAGGTGAGATTCTCTTTCTTTTCAAAAAAGAGAGAGTTAAGCCTCTTATTTGTGGTTTGTATTTTACCCATACATGGTACAGGGAATACAAACACAGATGTGAAAGATGACCTTTATTCTGACTCTCTGAGCCTTAAGCAGTGCTTGTTCCCTTTCCACCAGCTCAGCTATGCAGGATATTTGAGCATAGACCCCGTGGGCATGCCACAGTCCTCGAAATTTCTCCATACACTCGTGGGCGTGCCACAGTCCTCGAAATTTCTCCATACACTCTGGAACCCTGGAAGGAACAGGGGCCAGTGCTAAAGCTGATTTGACTAAGAATAATTTCACCTAATTAAATTCTCCTGGTGATCAGCTTATTAAAAACAGGCCTTTATTTGATTTGCAGCATTTCTTGTATCATGTTTTATCAGATAGTAAATAAACATGTTTGAATGTACTTACATCCATGTCATGGGTCTTTCCCATTGCCTTAATTTTAAACAGCTCAGAAGATCATTTAGTTCATTAAGATAGATGGGTCTTTAGGAATTTATTCCAGGAGTCTTAACCTCAAAGATTCTTGATATCAGTGCAGAGGCTGTCAGGGTGGCATTTCTAAATCACTTAGGGAGATGTTTAGATCAGTCTTTTCCAGACCTTTCTACCACAGTTGCTTTGCATCAAATCACTGGGAATGAGGCTTGTATTCTGTGTGTTTACTACAACTGCTACACAGTGATTCTGATGTTCAGAACCACTCAATGTTCCACAACTTCTGGCAGGACCTGGCAGGGGGCCACGAACCCCCACCCTCCCACCTGGGTAGTCCTTTCTCAGAGTCAAGCAGCTGACACTCCAGGTATTACAGAACTTAGAGTGAAAATAACCATAAGAAAATGGTTATGAAAGTAACTATAAAGAACATGCAATGTGTGCCAATATAATTATACATGCACGTATATTTGTAAAGCACAAACACGCACACACAAATGAGATCCTACATAATTCAGACTCTATTTCTTAGTGCAGCACACTTTTTCTCTCTTCTCAACTGTATTAGTTATCTATCACTACATTACAGATTGCTCCAAAACTTAGTGGCTTAAAACAACAAATATTTATTATCTCAAATTTCTGGGGCAGAAATCCAGAAGTGGTTTCGCTGGGTTGTTTTGGCTCAGGTCTTTCATGAGGCAACCCTCAAGCCCTGAGCTGCAGTCATCTCAGGGTCCATCTGGTAGAAGATCCCCTTCCATCCAGGTTCACTCTTGTGGCTGTTGATGGAGACCTCAGTTCCTTACCACATGGGTGGGCCTCTCTGCAGAGCTGCTTGAGTGAGATCAAGACGTGGAAACTGGTTTTCCCCAAAATGAGTGGTTAGATAGAAAAAGTGCAAGGTGGGGGGCGGGGGATGGTAGCAGGCCAAGGTGGGAGTGAGCCATCTTATACTCTAATCTCAGCAAGTACACACCATCACTTCTGCCATGTCCTGTGGGCCATAGAGACCAAACCTGGAACAAATGGCAGGACGGCTGCTCCAGGTTGCAAATATGGGAGGCAGGGGCCATCAGGCTATCTTGGAGACACACCAACTAACCATATTAATGGTGGGTCATGCCATGGTTGCACAGCCACACTCAGTACTACCACTTGCCTATACCCTTTGCTCAGACAGGCTAGGGGCAGGGGTAGCTGACGGAAGTCCCAGTGGAAAATCAGTGAAGGGAGGTACGAGGCTGATGGCATGGTGATGACCCTGGATGTGGGCCTGATACTCATTCTTGTTTTCTTTTTTTTTCTTGTATCCCTGATACAGGGAGAGGCTGGGCCTCCAGGCCTACCAGGGCCCCCAGGAATAGCTGGACCACAGGTCAGTGAGACTTCATAACCATCTGCATGGATCTATTCTGCTCATCTCAATGGTTAATCTCAATTTAAGGAAGAGTGATGGCCAGTGTAAAGGAGTGGTTTTAAAATCAGAAAACCCCTGTTCTGGGTCTAAGCATGGCACTGACTATCCTATTGACCATGGGCAGGTCACTTCAATGTGTGGAATCCCAGTTGCTCATTTACAAACAACTGCTTGTTGGAAAGTATGAAATGCATGGAAGAATTGGACTGTGTGGGACCTACTGGTTAAGACATGAGTTTTGTGGTCAGACGCCTCCACTTAACTCCCAGTAATGACAAAAATACAAATGGTGTCAGATATTTGTTAAAATGGAATGATATGATACATAAAAAGGATGTGGCACTCAGTTGAAAAATACTAGGAAAGTGCTTTTTGAATGCAAGCGAGCACTGTTATTCTCATGTGAGTGATAAGGCATCTGTCTAAAAGCAGCTCTGTGGCTCTGTGGTTTCCCAAAGCCAGGGAGGACAGCCTGAGAGAAAGGGGGGTATAATCTGAACCCCAAAATAGGCAGGGAAGCTCTCTGGCTGTCAAAACAAATGTTCTAGGGCTGGGGCTGTTTGAGCTGTTGGTGGTGTTAGTATTTAGCTCTAAGAAGAAACTGCCTGAGTGCTGGTATGGGGACAGATAGACCCACACCCTCATTCCCTTCCCGCTGTCATTGGTGCTCCCCAGAGTGTGCTCCCTTATCTCTTGTGGCCTCTGTGCTGCTGCAGAATGAACACCTTCCCCACCAACACTCAGGGCCAAATGTGTCCCTATGTCTCTTCCTGAGGCCTGGCTGGACATAGCATGCCTCATCTGGTAGAAGAGGTGGCATAAAATTGTCAATAGGAGAGAAAGCTCAGAAGTCAGTCCTTGGGGTTAGAATTCCATCTCAGCTGTGTGACCTTGGGATAGTTTCTTAACCTTTCTGGCCTTTTGTTTCCTAAAGTTAACTAGGGACTATGAAAACTATGAGCCTACAGGCTTATTACTGTGCCAACTGCGGGCAAAATGCTCCCATCAGTGCCTGGTATATTGTATCAACTGAAGAATGACAAAGTGTGGCTGTTGTGATACCTCAGTTGTTGTCTCCTTGGTTGAAAAGCATTTAAACAAGAGACACACAGCAAAGGAGATGCAACATCGAGTAATTTATTGCAAAAGAAAAAGAATACTTTGAAAGTTAGGGCAGAATAGACACTATGCCTGAGAGAGAGAGGATTCAGGGCGGGCTGCTCGCAGGGATGAGATAGCAAAGACCAGCATTAGGGAGACTCCCTTTATGGGAGACTTACATGATTATTCATAAAGAGGTGGGAAGAGGCGTTACTCATAAGCACGTTCTGAGTGGTCCTCTGGCTGTACATGTGCAGTAGCTGTACATGTTTGTTCGTACGTCACATGTCTCATTAGCATCTTAAATCTCCACCCAGGGGTATGTTTTTTACCATTATAATGAGCAAAGCGTCAGTTTGAGGATGGGCAAAATCAAAGTGCACATGCTCTCTAGAGGGGAAAGTCCCTACTGAAGATAGCTTTGCGTGGATGAGCTCAATTATAATGTGAATGCTGAGGCTTATTGTGTTGCTTGTACTTACTGTCACCACGGTTGCTGCATCCCAAGAACATGACTACCTGTCCTGTCTCAGGTCCACAGACTTGGAAAGGAGATCTTTATTTCTCACATAGGATTGCACTTGCGGGCCGTCCGTCCCACAGGCTGGGAAGCATAGCCTCCAGCAGAAACCAAGAGCAAGTGCCTCAAGGGAAGGGTAAAAGCAGCAGGAATTTATGCTGAGCAGGCTGGCCAAATGAATATATTTAAAAAGCTATAGGAGAAGTCATGAATCTTTACAGAAGGAGAAACATGTGCATGGGAAATTGAGTTTCATGCCTCATAATGGGTCATGTGTTCAAAAAATGGCAGCATTAGCATGATCCAAGGGTGGAGTTTTTAAAGTTTTGAAACCTCTGACGTCAAAAGGTGAAGCAGAAGACATGAAAGCTTTTGACTACACGTGCTCTGTGAGTTGGCCAAAACTGGTCCAGAGATGGTGGTCAGGCTGGGAACTCAGTTTTTAAGGATTTTCTGGGTCTCCTTGGCCAAGAGGGGGTCTGTACAGTTGGTTGGGGGGCCTAGGATTTTATTTTTATTTCTCAGTTGTAAGTGCTCATTTGACATTAGCTTTTTTAGCCCTTACGGTCACAGTGGTGGCAGCCGCATATTTAGGGTGAGGATTTGGGAATAAAATTTAAGAAGCCAAAAACCTCAGCAACCTAGGTAAATAATACTTTAATGCAATATTTTATAAAATTTAAAAGTAATGCAATCATTTCATGAGGAACAAAATATCAAAATTTAAAATAAAGACATGACCCAACCCTCCACTTGAATGACCTACCTAACTCACTTCTGCCAAATTCCAGCAGTGTCAAATACCTGTGTTCATTTACATTTTGATATTTCAATCATCTTGAGTTATTTTAGATTGACTTTGGCTTTTTAAAATATTGCATAGGGGTCAGGTGTGGTGGCTACCACCTGTAATCCCAGCACTTTGGGAGACTGAAGCAGACAGATCACATGAGGACAGGAGTTCAAGATCAGCCTGGCCAACATGGTGGAACCCCATCTCTACTAAAAATACAAAAATTATCCAGGGATGGTTGTGCACATCTGTAATTCCAGCTACTTGGCCAACATGGTGAAACCTCATTTCTACTAAAAACAGAAATTAGCCAGGTGTGGTAGCACAAACCTGTAATCCCAGCTACTTGGGAGGCTGAGGCATAAGAATCGCTTGAACCCGGGAGACAGAGGTTGTAGTGAGTGAAGATTGTGACACTGCACTCCAGCCTGGGTGACAGAGTGAGACTCAAGAAAAAAAAATTTTTTAAAATATATATAAAATAATATCCCTATGCAATCTATCTGTCTATCTATCTATCTGTCTATCTATCTATCTATCTATCTATCTATCTATCTATCTATATTGCATAGGGATATTATTTCTTTTGGCTTCTCAGCAAGAGGTATTCAGTACCCAAGGTGAGTGATTCACTTTCCTTACCCTAGGCCCAGCCCTGGAAAAGGGTGTTGGCACTGTTATTATGACTGGTAAAAAGCAAGCAAAAAACCAATAATTCTATGTTGTGACAACAGCACCAGCCTTGTGGTATATCAAGATGGAAAACACCCAGGTCTCCCAGACCCTAGCTGACAGCTTAAGACATCTAGCGATCATGACCCGTGGACTGTGAAGATTTAGATGGTTTTGACAGAGGCAAGACTCCTGCATCAGGAGTTATAGATATCAGATCTCAGTGCAGATAGAACAAGAGATTTGCCCGGGGCAGTGTTAGATTGAAAGGTATCAGGAAAGTGTAGCATCTTCAAATGTTGGAACTCCTTACTGGGCATGACCTTCTCTTTCTGGGATCACCAGCTGAGGCCAAGCTTCTTGCCCTGTAATTTCAAATTTTAACTGATCCTTAAGTAACCTTTGCTGTCAACTTGCTGGCTGCTGGGCTTAGCCTCTGCTGAGGGGGAATTGCCTTTTTTTTTTTTTTTTTAAGATAGAGTCTTGCTCTGTTGCCCAGGCTGGAGCGCAGTGGTGCAATCTCGGCTCACTGCAACTTCCACCTCCCAGGTTCAAGCGATTCTCCTGCCTCAGCCCCCTGAGTAGCTGGGACTACAGGTGCATGCCACTACATCCAGCTAATTTTTGTATTTTTAGTAGAGATGGGGTTTCACCATGTTGGTCAGGCTGGTCTCAAACTCCTGACCTCTTGATCTGCCTGCCTTGGCTTCCCAAAGTGCTGCGATTACAGGCATGAGCCACCGCACCCGGCTAGAATTGTCTTTATTCAAAGAAGTAAAATCATATCAATTAAACAGATAAGGAGCTAGCTCCATTAAGTATGGACTGTTTTCTCCTTCAGCCCAAGCCTGCATGCAGTGCTGATGTTTTCAGTAACGGCCCTGCTTTTGTTCCCTTATAATTTGCTTCAACGGAGGGTTTGCTCCTTTAAATATTCTGAGAACAGAAAGCTTCCATCCAGAAAAAAAGAACAACAATTAGTGCTGCATCTGAAATACAGGGGTTCTTCTTGCTCCATTTAGGAGCGGATGGTGACTCCAACCATGAGAAGTCCTTGGGGCATGTGATCTAACCCTGCATGATGAGCCCCAGGCAGTTGCGTTGGGCAGAGTGCTCAGTGTTCCAAGGAGCAGGTTACTATTTCCTGCAATTGTCAGCATGATGCTAGGAGGCAGAGCTGTTGTTTCACTTTACAGATGAGGAAACTAAGGTTTAACAAGATTAAATGCCACAGCTACAAAACTAGTGGGTGGTATAACTGGGGTTGACCACTAGTAGTCCAACTTCAGTACCCTGAGTAGTTATTGTCTTGTCATACTCCTTAGTAACAGCTGATACCAACACCAGCACCCAGGACAGCTCCTAATGGGGTGCAATGCTTTAGTCTACACTATATCTGCTAATGCTCCTGTCTGCAATAGCTGCCCCTTGTCACCACTTATTGTTGAGAAAATGCATCACAGAAGGGTTAAATGTGTCCTCTGAGGACTCAGTCTATTGTGGTTCTTGGCTTGAAACCCAAGCCAGCTTCTATGCTTGTCATTTACCCCACACTACTTTCCAGAAAATAGAAAGACTGTTTCATTTCCTCTCTGTTCAACTTCATTTATCAAACAGTATCTCCACTAGACTTGGGGATGTGAAGATGAGTTTGTAAACTGAAAATGCTACCCCTGATGGAGTACTTACAATCATTGTCAGCATCCTTTCATAACCAAAGGCTCTGGGCATTCATTGGTCTCCTGCACTGCCAAGAGGGTTTGGTTCCTTTGTTTGCAGTTGCAATGCAGCATCGGGGAAGTAACTTCCCCAAGGTTTATCTTACAGATTTGCAGCTGCTGTCTTCAGTGGCCGGCATGAGGAGGCTCATGCCACACGGTCAACTACAGAGCTCCATTCTAGGACTTTGAACTCACATAAAACACTGACTTTAAGATATAGGGTCTGGAGATCGTTGCTGCAGTTGTGGTTATGATCCGTGTAAAGGAGGAAGAAGCAACAAGATGGTAACCACAGCAATGACCCTGGGAGCATGTATTCTACAGAGTTAGACGTAAATGCCTTGTTTGGGTTGGAAATGATGACTATTCTGTCCCCTACGAAAAGCGTTTTTATTTCCTTCTTATAGCATGTTCACCAACCAGTAATAGGACCTAAAGGGGGCCTGGCATGGATCCAGA
Source organism: Homo sapiens (assembly GCF_000001405.40). Lineage (NCBI taxonomy): Eukaryota > Metazoa > Chordata > Mammalia > Primates > Hominidae > Homo > Homo sapiens. Next base: position 138,641,320 of record NC_000008.11, on the reverse strand, counting down.
GACACCCAATGAGCAAAAGTCCTCATTTGGAGGGTATGGATGACTCCGAGGAGGCAGAGATAATACCTGCTGCCATTGGCACTACCTGAAAAAGCCTTGGGATTCCCATCCTGCCTAGAAAATAACCCAGAGCCACTTACTCCATGTTCTTTCCTAGAGCAGAAAATTCTTTCCGTCTGTAACTGCCACGGTTCTGAAAGATTCTCACCAAGCATCACCTTAACAGTTTCCTTTCAAGTCAGGAGGTATATAGAGAGGTCAGATATGGGCCATTCCTTTCATAGCCTGATGCTGTGACAGAGAAGAAAGACCTACAAGCTTGCAGCGAACACTTAGGAATGTCTGATGGAGGCAGGAAGCCAACAAGGCCTGTGGGCACAGGCCTGGGCTTTGGAAGCCAGTGGTCCCCAACCCACTTTGCCTCTTATTAGCTGAGTGAATTTTCCTTGCTAATTATAGGACTTGGGCATTTATTATTCTCTGAACCTTGGGTCCCTCATTGGTACCTTGGGTCCCTCATCTGAAAAAGAATTGTACAATCTGTCTCATAATGAGAATGCGAGAACTGAACAAGGGGGAATTTACAAATCACAGCAGGTAGGAAGCATTTAATACATGTAACTGCAAGTGGTCCTCATAATACTTGCTTCATTTGAGTTAACAACAACCACAACAAATTGTCAGTAGAAGAGTAAACGACTGAAAGAAAACTAACACCATGGAACAAGGGGTAACCTGTGAAGGCCACCTGGAGGAGGTAGGATTTTAGTTGCCACCTGGAGGAGGCAGGATTTTAATTGCATTGGAGGGTTAGTTAGGAATTTACCAGCTATTGGTGGAGAAAGGTTTTCCAAGCAGGACAACAGCATGTAAAAGTTTAGGAGAAGGGTTTGTTCTGAGAGTCGTAGAGAGTTACTAACTTGGGAAAGTTTAGTCCCTGCCCTCAAAAGTTTGAAAACCTTTTGAGAAAATTGCCTGTTCAGTGTGTTCATGAAGGACAGCACTCTTAGAGCAATTCCTGGTATGAATGTACCTTCCAAATGATTGTTTTATCATGTGCTTAGCACATGATGGTTCTGGAAAAATGTAATTAAAAACAAAATCTCCCAACTCAGAGAGGTTTTCCACGAAGGTAGAAGAGAAAGAAAACAATTTTATTATTGAATAGCATTAAACCAGAATGTGATTTGCATTACAGACAATATGCTAAGAGATTGCAAAGACTGAAAGAAATCTTACTCTTTTAGATAGCCAAGCTGATACAACCACCTATCACATACGTGTTGTCAAGATAAGCAATAACTAGTCCTCAAGTGAGAGGATTTAATGACACCGCATGTCCTTCCTAGATTCACCTGGTAATTGCGGTGGCCGTCTATGTGTCTGTATTAACTAATTGACCTTATTCAAAGCAAAGGTAAACTTCTCACATCTTCATGGCAGGAAATAGATTTGCAACTTGGAGCCAGGCATCTGCTGAAGTTGGGCTTCTACTGTTTCACAGGAACTGGGAGATGGATAGGAATACTATCTCTTTGCTGATTCTATTTCAAAGAGATGGTTCCTAGGTCCTTCAGAAAGACATTGCTGAGTTCCTGGGTCACAAAGCTAGCAAAAGTCTCATTTAGCTTTTAAAAGTATTTGCATACCTTTCAAAGAGACCCCCCCTAAAAAAAAACTAACAATAACAAGTTTTCAAAAGTAAGTGTTTTCAGTAAACTGAGTGGGGCGAAGTTTCTTTCCTTATTTTCAACAGGGGGAATTAAGCCCTTGAAATGACTCTTTAATAAACCTCTTCTGAAGAGGACTAAATATGAATGCCCAGTGCACATGGTTTTTATCTGTTTCATTGATTGTTATATATCCAGTGTATAGAAAGCTGTCTGGCCTATGCTCAGCATGGTCAGTCAGTCTTTCTGACTATAAATCCAGTGCACTTGACATCTTGAAACCTGTTGGATAAGGCATCATGTTCTAGGAAAATAGCCGGAAAAGTAATTTGGGCAGAGAAAGCCAGCTTGGATATTTGATCATCAGACAAATGGATCTGGATTAGATTCCAGACCTTGCTTTCTATAAGCTGTGTGAGCTCAGGTGAATGACTGAACCTGTCTGGTCTTCAGATTTATTATCTAACACTCTGATAATAAGCCCTACCTCAGAGAGTAGACTTACTGGCTCAATAAGAGAATAAAGACATATTAAATATTTTTGCATCAGTTCAAGATATAAACAAGGAAATATATGTAATGGGATATCATGTGGGAAGCCTTGGCAGAGTTCCTGGAAGAGTCGGGGCTCTGTAAATGTCAGCGCCCTTCTCTGGAAGGAAGTGAATCAGGCTTGGGGGTGGGTGTGTTTGCTTTGATCCCTGACCTACGTTGGAGTAGGAGACAGGGACAACTGTGGAGATCCTTGAGCTGCTGACATTTTCATTGTTGCAACATGAGTGTTGAAACTAGTCTAAACCCAGACTGAGGACTGGAATTTGAAAGGAAGCCATTTACTTTTAAGGCAATTGTCCTAAATGTTAAGGAAGCAGTGGGCTAATCTGTGTCACTTCTTTTCATTGATTACAACATGATCTGCAGAGGGTGTGATGCCTTTATTTAGATTTAGAAACAGTAAAAATAATTACGTGGAAAAATGTCAGAAGAAATGCTCTTTCTCTCTGACTCCATTTTTTTTCTCTTCTAAACAATGATATTTAGCACTTCACAGATATGAGCTCACCTAACCCTCCCAATATATCACAGAGAGAGAGGGGGGATTATTAGATAGTCACTGTCATCAGTGGTCTGCTGAGGTGGTAGAACAGTCTGGATTGAAAGAGGGCTGGACTTGATGTTTCCATGAGAGAACTGTGGGGCACTGGACCCCCTGAAGGACCCTCCTAGATGGACCTGCCCCTCATCCTTTATTTACTAGATGAACAAACTGAGACCAGAGAGTGGACATGATATGCTTAAGAATGCAAAGTTAAGGGATGACAGGCATAGAACCACAACAAAGATTGACCTACAGTCACAAACCTATTTAGTGCATAATGCATTCTTTTAAAGGAATTGAAATGTTTTTGTTTTAAAAACATTTTGCTGAAACACACTTATTAACACAATAAAGGCAGAGCTAAGGTAGATAATAGTTAAAGAATTTGAACCTTTGGATGTTACTTTCTTGGGTGGTCTGTGAAAAGTATTTTTGGTAGGTTGTATATTTTGAGCATCTTGATGACCATGATGATGATGACAATGGCAATAATGATGACAATGATGATGATGAGGATGATGGTGATGACAATAGTCATGGTGTTGTTGATCATTATGATGTAGACGATGATGATGGTGAAGATGAGGATGATGACGGTGATGGAAACAGTGATGATAATAGCTCTGGTGGTGCTGATGTTGATGGTGATCATGATTATGATAGTGATTATGGTGATGATGGTTATGGAATAATAATGATGGTGATGGTGATGATAATGATCATGATGATCATCATGGTGATACTGACAATGAGAATGATGATAGCTAATGTTTTTTTGAGAGCTAACACACAACCTGTCATAAGTCTAAGCACTTTGTATATTTTAGGTCATTTAACTCTCACAGTAACCCCATGACAAAGATACTATTTTATGATTCTCATTTTAGAAGTAAGAAGACAGAGAGTTTAAGTATCTTGTCCAATGACACACAGTTAGCAAGTGGCAAAATAAAGAAGATAATAATTATGACTAAGATTTATTGAGCTTTTACTGTGTTCTGGGCTCTATGCCAAGTGTTTCCCATTTGTTATTTTATTCTCTAACATTTTCACAGGGTAGGCATCATTGTTTTCTTGTTCTTGTAGGTTACAAAACAAACGAACAACTTGAGCAGTTTTAGTGAAGTGGCTCCTCAAAGTCTCACAGCTAGTAAGGGAGGGAGCAAGGAACTTATGTATGGATAAATTCTTCCAAAGCTTCCCGTTTGGTGCTGCTGCTCCTGCTGGCCACCATCTAAACTTCTCCTTCTCCCTCACCCTCACACCTGTTCTGCAAGGCCTGCAGACCCTGGGTTTATTCTGCCTCTTTTCCTGCCACTCCTGGAACACCACTTGTTTTTAACTGACCCTTTTCTCTATAGCCTGGACCACTAGCCTATCCCACACTATACCCACAGCTAGAACCTAGGACAATTTCACATCCTTTTAATGGTTTCCAGTGCCTACAACTAAATCTAACATCAGATGTTGACATGCAAGGCTCTCAAAGAAATGAGCCCTGCCTGCCTCCCTGGCCCCTTTCCTGCTGCCCGCTCTCCAACCCCATACCCCAAATCCCAGTTAAGCCATTTTATCACACATCCTCAACCAGGCCCTGTTTCTATCTATCTGCTGCCACCGTGCCTGAGCTACCACAGGAACTTGATAAGAGATTTTTGGAGAATTAATGAATGGATGAATGAATGCATGAAAATGATTTTTGTTTTCCTATTAAAATTTCCAGTGACATCTTTCTTTTCTTTTTTTTCCTTTCAAGGGAAGTCAAGGAGAACGTGGTGCAGATGGTGAGGTTGGGCAGAAAGGTGATCAGGTAAAAATTTACTTTATAAGGAACCATTCACCCTGAGGAAGGAGCACTGTTTCTCCCAGGTGGCTTCCATTGTACAATGTCATTCCTTGTCTCTTCTTTGCCTGTAGCAGGATTTTTTAAAATCTCATTTTTATGGTTTTCATCTTGGTATCTCTGGTTCACTCTAAGTGCCCTCTCTCCCTCAATTATTGGAGAAGCCTCCCTGCCTTTCCTTTCCTTTCCTTTCCTTTCCTTTCCTTTCCTTTCCTTTCCTTTCCTTTCTTCCTTCTCTTTTCTTTCTTTTTGTACTATTTTACCTTTACTTTTTTTTTCACTGAAATGGACACTCATTAAAAAATTCCCCCTTCTTCCCTCCCATCATCTCAATTAACTGTTGCCTGGCTCTCTTGCTGCTAGCTGAAATGCTTCACAGATACTCCATGCTCTGATCAGATCAGTGCCCATCCAGGCCTGCTGGACCACTGCTCCTAATGTGCTATAGGATGGTACCAATAAGGGCTCACTGCTCTCTCTGTGGATCTGAGCATGGCCTACCTATCATCCTCTATCCAGCACAACCAGCTGATTTCTGCCCAGTCCAATTCTACCACCCTTCCTGCCAACGGAAATGACTGTTATCCTTCTGCTTTGCTGCTGTCATCCTTTTCCCTGTTCTCTTTTCTCTCCTCTCCCAGCTGCCCTCCCCTTTACTTCTCCCTCTCTTCTGCATCTCACAGCCAGTGCTCATTGTCAGCCAATTCCATGCCAGGCACTGCACCTGGCTCTGAGATCTGGAATGACTCGCAGACAAACTCCTGACCTCACTGGGCTTGCAGTTCAGTGAGGGCATGAGGGACATGAACGAGTAACCCACAGGCAGTGAGATGAGAGCAGTGCTCAAAGTCTGAATGAGCTCCTTGGCTAAAATCTCTTCTGTATTTGGAAAAACAAAATGTGTTTGGATTATTCTTATGAGAATGACTTATCAAAGGCAATGTACTCTACATTGAATGGTGTAGCCTGTGGTTTCAGTGGTAAGGCTTGGAGGTGGAGGGCAGAGAAATCATTTGTTTCTTGGTGGTTTATTTGGTTTCATAACATTGTTGTACAAGACTAAGTGTTAGATTCCAAGCTTTGTTCTATAACTTTTTCAGCTCATTCTATAATATGCAATAGACTCCTCTACACATGGAGAAACAAATCTCTTGCTTAAAATAACTGTAATATTGCCAGAATATGGAGGCTGTAATTCAGTTAACCTAACCATTTCCATTGTGTACATTGTGTTTCTGTGCATTTATTTGTTTTTTATGTTTTTATTATGAAACACTTCAAGCATATCTAAAGAATAAAGACTGTAATAAAATGAACATTTATGTACCCTGCACTTAACCACAACAGCTTTCAATTATTATGGCCCCTCTTGTTTTCATTTATGTCCTCAACCATTTCTCCACACCCCCTGCCCACACATTATTTTGAAGCAAATCCGCTTTCAGGACATGTTTGTTTTTATAAATGTTGTCAGTTATTATTGAGATATATAAAAAGAAGTCCCTTTTATTGTCAGTGTCTTTAAGCAAAATTGTTAGTAGGGTTGGAAGGTGGATTCTGTATTGTTTTCTGAAATTTGATATTTGCACAAAGTAAAAAGTATTTTTCAAGTCATTTTAAAGAATTGCATCTTGTGTTTTCCTAGGGTCATCCTGGAGTTCCAGGTTTCATGGGGCCCCCAGGGAACCCTGGGCCACCAGTAAGTAATCATCTTTAATCCCCTCCTCTTTCGGCCTTGACATTTGAATGCACATCTCAACTCACCAGGCATGGTATGACACTGAGCATATCTCTCATTTTAAGGGATGGCCCAACACCCAAAAGGTGACAGAGTTGTCCTAAAAATGCAAGTCCCACAGGCATGTGGGGGAAAGTGCAGACGGTCTGGAGTAGGCTTGATGGACCATGCAATTAGAGTGATGTTGGGACTGGGGGACATTGGCAAAGACAGACAGACTTCTTCTTTTTTCAAATTGAGCTTTGGTGGGTAGGAAGCTAGTATTTCAAGATTATGATGGCAAGCAAAGAAGGTAGAAAATGAGAAATTGTAAGCAGCTTTCCCCATGTTATGGGGAGCCTGTCTTGATATTATCTCAATGATCTCCACTGGGCCCCCTGAGCAAATGTTCTCTCTGCTTTTACAGTAGCTGTAGCCTTGACATTGACTGGTGCCCTTCTCACCATTTCCCTCTGCCTTCAGTGTAGGCTGCCCATAGATTAGTCATGTTCCTCCTCTGATCAGAGTCCACTGCTGTTGCAGCCCACATATCCATCATGGGTAGCCATGGCAACAGGCACTGGAAATTAGTGTTCCTGCCAAGCCCAGGACCAGTCCCCTGGGATTTCCCATGGGTTCCACATGAGACCCTTGTCCCAGACCTTGCAAGGAGAGGATTTCTGGAATGACTGAAAGACCACCGAAAAGGATCCCCCTTCAAATAGGAAATACCCTGTTTGAAAGTATAGTGAAAAGAAGTTCAGTTAGGAGTATAAATTTAAAATATATGAAATTAAGCTTGCTTTGTCATCTTTTTAAACAACTCAACTTCTAGTTGTTAACTGTGTGTTAATTAGTGGAATAAGTTAAGTTGTTTTAAGTGTATATTTTCAATAAAATCCGATGAAAGCATGACATGGCATCTTTCACTTCATGTTGACTTTTAGAGCAAACTCACAAAAAGGTAAATTATCTACAAAAGCACTATTCAGTTTCCCAGAAAGCCTACTTTAAGTCTTTAATATTCAACACATTTTCCTCCCAAGCGCCTTTGATGTTAATATTATTTTTAATTTCTCAGCCTCACATCTTACCTGGCCCAACTCTGCCATGTGCACATTTGTGAAGGATATTGTAGGGAATTTATCAGTTTGCTGTCATTTAACTTCACAAAATTCTACAATTCTTTCAAGGCTTATAATTTCACTTAGTAGTTGCTTTGCACTGTATTTGAATATTATTGGATTTTGTAGCATCTGACAATCAGCAAAAAGAGAAACTGATAATGATGCTGATACGATCAGTAGTAGGGAGAGGTGTTAGTGTTAAGCAAAGAGGGGCAATTGAGAGGTAACTAATTTTACTTAAAAAATAGTTTATTCACGAATAATTGTATATTATGATGACATTAGCTTCCTAAATGACATTGTGCTCCTTAACAGCTGAGGATCTCAGAAAATGAATAATGGATTACAGCCTCATCTCCACTCCACCCTGGTAGTTCCAAACCCCATAACATGTTCCCAATGAAACCAAAATCCTGATCTGTTCTCACTGGAAGCTGCAATAAGTTAGAACTCTATGACTGCTGTAGGAAATGACTCCTGGCTTATTATTCTCATGCTAGATGATGTATTGGAGGCCCAGAAACAATCATAATCAGAAGCCAGCTTGTCTGTCTCCAGCTGATTAATGCTTTCAATTCACTTGGCAGATGTTTATTGAGCTTCTATTTTGTGTCGTGCTTTGTACTGTTAATAGCCTGTGAGAATGGATGCTGAGGCAGCTGCCTGTTTAGGTTCAGCAGCCAATCATGCAGAAGCAACTCCACAGCAGAAAATTAACCTTTCTGGTCATGTATGCATTGTTTTAGTTTTGCTCTTTGTTGTTGCTTGTTTTCAAGTGCTTATTAATTGTCAGGCCCTGTTGGAAATATGCAGGGATATGGGTAGCGAGCTGACAAAGCCCTTTCTTTTAGTATTTATTTTCTGGTGCTCAGTCAGCATCCTTATTCCAGATAAAACACTTACCCCATCCCCATATGCAGTAGGGAATTTTTTTTCAACTTGGCAAGATTCCAGACTCTAGGATGCCAGAAGCTTTTTATCAAAGTTATGTGGAAAAATCTAGATTTGTTATATTAGCTTTGGACTACATATTTAATTAAAGCATGAACCTTAGGTTACTTGTTAAAATATTATCACTCTCCCTTTATTTCATGAACATTTACTGGGTCCCTACCTAGTAGAAGTGATAGAGACAAATCTGATTGCACCCTGCCCCAGGAGTTTGTCATACATGGAAAATAAGACAGGTCTTCTACAGTTATATCAAATTTCCTTGAGATCCAAGACCATGATGTAGTCATTTTTACATCTCTAAAATTTGGCTTGTACCTAGTACAGTTTAGGCGCTTGATAAAAGTATGCAACAATTAAATAAAGGCTGCTGGAAAGACATCAATAGAGTACTGCGGGAACTTGCTTATTTATGCTTTTATATTTAGTTAATATCTGCAGGATTCCTTGTTGTGGGTGGACAATAGACACTTATATTCATGGAAGGTCCCTATTGGACAGCCCTTAGCATTTCTCTGGTGCTAACTCCTTATGTGTCATGAATTCCATTTTCTCAACAACCCATGTAAAATAGGTGCTGTTCTTTTCCTTCATTTTACAAAGGAACTGAAATACAGAGGGGTCAAGTAGGTTTCCTAGGCTTATACAGCTGTTGAGTGGAGAAATGGGATATGGGCTCAGGAACTCGAACTCTAAGAGGCTGCACTCTTAACCAATACCCTCTCTTCTGTGCCTAGCACCTTGTAAGCATTGCCGCATTGCTCCTCCCCTTCCTAATGGCATGTGCAATTTCCAGCCTTTCACTGTGAAGGAAACTAAAGTTGAGAGATGTTACATGACTCAACCAAAGCTAGTAAGAGGCACATGTGTGAATTTGTCTAAAGAACTGCTGCCTTCATAACCCAGTCAGTTCAACTTCTAATTCATTCATTTATTCAAGAATATTGATTATTTACTATATCCCAGGTACTGTTTTAGTTCCAATGAGGAACTAAATTTAGTGTTCCAATGAGGAACACTAAATAAATGAGAAATCAATAAACACTAGCATGTCAGATTTTTGCAGGTGCTATGGAGGAAGGTAGACAGAAAAGGGACCTCCCCAGGGCAGGGATGAGGAAGGGTAGGTCTTTCAGTTTTGGGTCTGGTAGGCAGAAAACCTTTCACTGAGAAGCTGATATCTGAGCTAAGACCTGTAGGATGGGAGGGTATGAGGCTGTGCATATGTGAGGGACTAGAATGTAGGGGGAAGAAACAGCATATGCAAGAGTCCCCAGCAAAAGTGTGCCTGGAGCTCACTTTGAGCTGCTTGCTCGGCTGCATAGAAGTCTTCTTCCATTCATCCATCTGTGCATCTCTTCACCCTTGAGTTGACACAGCAATTGCCTTCCTAATCTCCTGGAAGATAAATCGAGTTGTCCATTTATTACTTTTTGTCCTGAAATGTTGCCTGATATTAGCTGAAAATGCCCATCCTGAAGTGAGTTCATTTACTGTTTTCAAAGGGGTGACTGCCTGGCTAATGCATTGGCCCGTCCTAAAATGTGGATGCTATTCTCTGAACATCATGTATTCCCAGAGAATAGCTCAGCCTGATGAAGAGGCAGAAGCACATTTGAAATATTTATGGTTCAGGAAGCTAGGAAGGGGCACAGAATGTAAGATCTGTGTGTTGCTATATTAGGATGTTTTTACATTGCTACAAAGAAATACCTGAGGTTGAATAATTTATAAAGAAAAGAGGTTTTATTGGCTCAGTTCTGTAGACTGTACAAGCATGATACCAGCATCTTCTTGACTTCTGATGAGACCGCAGGGAACTTCCCATCATAGAGGAAGGCCAGGTGTGTCACATGGCAAGAGCAGAAGCAAGAGAGTAAAGGTGGGGAGGTCCTAGACTTCTAAACAACCAGATCTTGCATGAACTGAGTGGGGGCTCACTTATCACCAAGGGGATTGTGCTAAACCATTCGTGAGAGATCTGTCTCCATGATTCAGTCACCTCCCACCAGGGCCCACCTACAATATTGGGAATCACATTTCAACATGAGATTTGGAGGGGACAGATAACCAACCATATCAATTGCTTTGTATTCAAAGCAGAGGGTGCTAATGACCTCTGTCTAGATGCACAAGAAACTAGCTTTCTGCCTTGTCTTTTTTAGGGGGCAGATGGAATTGCAGGAGCTGCTGGACCACCAGGAATCCAAGGGTCACCTGTAAGTTCCTCAAGGAATGGGATCTGTTTTTAATCTGTCTTTAGCCTTTCTGGAACCCCAGGTGTTTGCCAATTCTGCTCTTGTCCTGTGTGCCTCCTGTGGCTCACATATTTTTGAGGTTCTGTTCACTACAAGTCTTGCAATGAAACTGCTGGAGGGTTTGCTTTCTGTTGGACCCCTGTTTACTTTGCTGCTAAAGTAAAGGTTTGGTTGGAATGATATGAAGATCTGTGATTCCAGAATTCAGTTTACAACTGTCAATGCAAATAAGCCCTACATTTAGGCCCCATATCTCAATTTCTTGTCAGTGTGGTTTCTATATTGAGCAGGTGCAGGGAAGTGGAAAGGCTCAGTGCTAACTCACCTAGGACTATGGTGTGCACCAGGGGAATGTCAGACAAGAGGCAGCTATTGTTATCCCAACTGTTCAAAAGAGGAGAATGGAATTAAAAAGAAGTCACTAGTCCAGGATCCCAAACCGCAACCAGTGGAGTTGGCATTTGAACCGAAGGCTTTTATCTCAAAATCCAGATTTCATTTCTTGAAGCTGCCAGAACCACTCTTGGTTTCAATGCCATAAAGGGTGAACCACAGTTTAGTAGGTATTATGTTAGTAGCCAATACATGCATGGCAAGTAAATGAATATATGGTACATAAATATTCCTTATCTCCATCTGACAGCTCCTCCCACTTTGGACCTGTAAGTTAGAAAGGCCATGAATCATTATCCACATCTTATAAATAAGGAAAGTGGGGATTGGAGAAGTGAAATGGCCAGTTCAGGGTCACACAGTGAGGGAATGTCAGAGCCAGGCGCAATCCCTAGGCCACAGGAATCTCACCATCATATTCCAAGGCCAGCTAGCAAGCAGGCCAGCCCTACCCTGGTATCTCTGGAGTTCTGTGCAAAGGGCATTATTACTTAATAAGACTTCGTCCATGTCAAAGGAGGAGGTCAGAGTCCCATGGGGTTATGTCACTTGGTCAAAGTCATACGGAAATTAGTGTCCAAGTTGGGAGTTAAGTCAATTTGAGATTTCTCAGTTCAGTGCTCCCTCTGCTATTCCACATTGACCCACCATGTGGGTGGTCCAGGCAGCCAGACGGATGTTGAGTCTGAAAAATCACAGCCACATGGTTCTGTTTAGGATCCTCATCTGGTTTAGGATCCTCATCTGGTTAATCCTTTTGAAGCCGCCCATCTAGAAGTCCCAGGATGAATAAAATATAAAATATACTGGGCCGGGCACAGTGGCTCATGCCTGTAATCCCAGTACTTTGGGAGGCCAAGGTGGGGAGATCACCTGAGGTCAGGAGTTTCAGACCAGCCTAGGCAACATGATGAAACCCCTCTACTAAAAATACAAAAATTAGTCTCGCACGGTGGCACATGCCTGTAATCCCACCTACTTGGGAGGCTGAAGCAGGAGAATCGCTTGAACCTGGGAGGCAGAGACTGCAGGGAACTGAGATCGCACCACTGCACTCCAGCCTGGGCGACAGAGTGAGACTCCATATGCAAATGATTTCCCTAATAAAAACTAATGGATTGTTTGCCTGAAGAGAATAAGATGTGGATCCAGGGCCAGGCACGGTGGTTCACACCTGTAATCACAGCACTTTGGGAGACCAAGGTGGGCAAATCATCAGGTCAGGAGATCGAGACCCATCCTGGGAAGCCAAGGCAGGAGGAACACTTGAGGTCAGGAGTTCAAGATCAGCCTGGCTGTGAAACGCTGTCTCTACTAAAAATACAAAAAATTAGCTGGGCGTGGTGATATGTGCCTGTAGTCCCAGCTACTCGGGACAGTGAGGCAGGAGAATCACTTGAACCAGGGAGGTGGAGATTGCAGTAAGCCGAGATTGCGCCACCGCACTCCAGCCTGGGCAACAGAGTGAGACTCTGTCTCAAAAAAAAAAAAAAAAAAAAAAAGATGTGGATCTAGGATATAAAACTACCACATTCTTGGAATTAAACTGTACTAAATAAGACTTTGATTCTGTCATGGGACCACTCCTCAAGCTATGGTAGCACTTGAAGCTGTCCGTGGTGCTGAAACTTTACCATAACCATCAAACCAGAATATACTGGAAGTTTTGTTTGCCCAGTGAGCACTGGTAGTTACAAAATAGAAGTAATTTTTTTTTCTTTTTCTTCTGAAACAGTTTCACTCTTGTTGCGGAGGCTGGAGTGCAGTGGCACGATCTTGGCTCACTGCAACCTCCATCTGCTGGGTTCAAGTGATTTCTGACTAATTTTTGTATTTTTAGTAGAGATGGGGTTTCACCATGTGGGCCAGGCTGATCTTGAACTCCTGACCTCAAGTGTTCCTCCTGCCTTGGCTTCCCAAAGTGCTAGGATTACAGGCATGAGCCACGGTGCCCAGCCAATAGAAGTAATTTTTAAAAGTTAAATGGGGGCAAAATTATAATAAAAAGATACATACAAACCTTAGTTCTGTTGTATTTTGAATTAAAAGACAAACTGTTTGGCAGGCTTTTTGACACAAAATAAAGCCCTTTACTTTGATTTTTGGTAATGAATGGAGTCCCTTGTCATCTGTCACATAAAAAGAACATCCACTGATCAGTTTTTGTTACTTTTTTGAAAGGTGGTTGGAAAATATAACAACATATGTATAACAATATGAATGTAGAGTTCTAGATTGTTAGGATTTTTTTTCCTAACCTTTTGTAGGTATCTTATCTTATAGCTATATCAATTTAGATGGTGAGTGGTGAATGACTCACTTTTGGTCAGCGTCTTCAAAACTCTGACTTAACTTCTATAAAAAGGGTATTTTTTTCCACCTAAATTTTACTGGATTGTTTAATCAACAATTAAATTGTATGACTTTCATAGCAAATAACTGATGCAAACAGGCTTAGGAACAAGCACATTGACTCCTTGCAAGCCTTGAACTCATCCGGTAGGAACAATAAAGCAAGGGTGTACTGCAGGCAAGGGTGTATTGTAGTGTTGTGACCAGGCCTGGGTTTTTGGAGAGGATGGGGAGGCTGGTTTATAATGGGGATTGGTCAAGTGGAGGTTAGTTAAGGGTCTACCATGTTTTAAGTTTCAGCCTCTCTGCCAATGGAATTGATTTCTAAATAAATAAAAGTCTAGTGATGGCAAGAAGACTGAACGGCGAGTCAGAGGTGGAGTTCTTTCCTGGATCTGCCACATTCTTATTATGGGACCATGCTCTCCTCACCTGAGTTTAAAGAGAATGGTCTAATATAGTACTTGGCAAACTTTTTCCATAAAGAACCAATTAGCAAACATTTAATGCAAAATCAGCCATAGACAACATGCAAACCAGTGGGTGTGACAGTGTTCTGATAAAACTTCATTTAACAAATCTGGCAGTGGGCTGAAGTTTGCTGACTCCAGTCCTAGATCACTGGTGTTTCCACATTAGGGAATTTGAAAAATAAGCATCCAGGAAGGAACCCAGGAAGCTCCATTATCAATAACTAAAAATCTCTAATAATAACTCCATCTTTGTCTTGGGTTGAACAAAAATATCCACTTAATTTTCTTATGTGTTTTTAGGTGTTGTGATGTGGGGAGGGTTGAATATTTTGTTTTATCCTGGTTATTATTGCGCATTGCCTAAACCTTAAGAATACCTCGTTTTGTGTGGCATGTGAATTAGAATGTAAAACCTGGCACCTGTGTCTTATCTCCCAGTAAGCACTTGTAGGAGATTATAAATTTGTCAGCTCTAAATACTCATGGTAAAGACACAGGGTGATATGATAATACTCACCATGATAGGAATTAGGGCACTGATTATATAATGCTGATTTATAAGCCCTAATTGATACTTATGTAAGTCTTTGATGAATAAAATGGGAAATAAAATATTAATTAATGAAATTTGGTAAAACAGTTTTTCAAATACAAGGAAAGAGATAGTAAAGCAATTATTGGTAAAACATGTAGGAGCCTCTGGAAAAATGATGAAAATAATAAACCATCCTCTATGCATGCACCCCGGTCAGCTCCCCACTTGTGTACAGTCCTGTATGCACAACACCTCAAGGTCCTGAGGTATGTGCTGTATGGGTAGAGAATGTGAATTTCAGGAAGTCTGGGGACAAATACAGAGTTGGATCTGGACCCAGGTCTTGTGGATACTAAAACCCGAATAGCTTCTTCCCACTGGCATTCCAATATTCAGTTTTCCCTGAGCCTCTGTATTAATAATATGGCCAGAATGAGCTCCAGTGTGTGTACCAACAGGGGTGGCTATGCTCAGCCCCAGGGAACCTCACTGCCTTGGGGGAAACAGCTCAGAAAGCCATGAGGCTGATACAGAAGCACTCCTTGTTTCTCACCAAACACTCACTCCCCCAACCCATGAATGCAGTTCCTTGTGAAGTCATTTACTTCCAGAAAAGCCAGCAGAGGTTTCATGGTGTTTTTATGTCTTGGATCTTTTAGGGGAAAGAAGGCCCTCCTGGCCCCCAAGGCCCATCTGGATTACCCGGAATCCCAGTAAGTGGCTTTTATAAAAACAAACAAACAAAAACAAACTAGTTTCTCTTTATAAAAACAAAGAAACAAAAATATATTCCACTGTCAAAACAAGGCCTGGCCACTAGAATTTTGAGTGTTGTAGAAAATTAGAAACAAAATAATCACTAACTTGTTTATCAGTCAAAGCCAACTAAAATTTGGGTAGAATCAGTCTTAATCTTGTACTTCTTTTAGGCGTATATTGGTTGTTTCTTATTTGTTTAAATAGTAATTTTTCTCTCTCTACATATATATGTATGTGTACTTGTATATATATGTTTATATTGTTAAAACAAAACACACACACATATATATATAACTGTGTTAATTAACTATTTGTGATAATGTAAACATTTTCCATTTCCCATATTAATGTTAAATGTTCATAAACTTTACATTTAATAGACGCAATGGATGCACCATAATGCATATTATCATTTCTCAGTTGCCTCATAAACTTTACAATTATTTTAAAAAGCAACTACAACGGACAATTTTGTATGCATAGCATTTTAAAAATTTCTTTATGATGATCCTCCAAAATGTGATTGGCTTGCCAGAGTAGAGAAACATCTAAGGTTCTTGACACATACTGCAAAATTGCTTTCCAAAGATGTTGTCCTGAACTTTTCCATTTAATATCCTTCTCATTAGAGTCGAGCTGTTCAAGGCATTTGTAATAAATTCCTCCACAAAGGCCATGCACTGCCTTCTGCACTGAGAGTGAATTCTTCTGTGGCTCTTTGGCCTCTGCTTGCTGCTGTAGCACTTACTGTCTACAGTCCCCCAACCCTGCCCTCCACTGTGCCTTCTTTTGTTCCAGCCACACTGGATTTTTTTTTGATTCCCAGAATGCACTGAATTCTCTCCTGCCACACTCTACAACCCTTCCCAGGCTACCAGGATGCCTCTTCCCTTCTTTCGTTAGTAGATGCCTTCGATCTTCCCCCATCTCATCCCAGCTATCACTTCCTTCCCTGCTCCCCACCAGGCTAGGAGAGGTTCGATCTTCCTTTTCTTCGGAGTGCTTATCTCATCTGGTGATCGCATTTCTATTGGTGTAATGGATTGATTAATTCTCCATTATTCGTTGGTCTGGTTGAATCACTCATTCAACAAACAACTCTGTTTGTTAGATCTGAGGACGTAACATTGAAGCATGCCTGGTAATTAATCATGGGGTTATATTCTGTGCTGTAGGTTCTGCATGAGCTGGAACTACATCTGCTTTTGTTTAGCCTTGAGTCCCCACACATAGTGAGCACACAGCAAATATTGACAAAAGAAACATGTGGATGAATGAATTGCTTCTTAGAGCTTTTTCTCCTACAGTATCTGATATGTACTGCCATTGATCAAGAAGGCATTTCCTGGGCATCACTGACAGTCCTGTCTGTAACTCTGCAGCCTGGAGGTTAAGTAAGCTGTCCAGGACACACAGATCTGAAGTGACATGCTGGGATGTTGGTATGAACTACAACTCTGGAGACTAGGATATCATAGCAGTTAGGAAATACGTACTGATTTAATTTTAGCAATGGTAAAGCTAAGGAGAAGAAATTTCAATTTGGATTTTGTGTTAACCCGTTATCAAAGTTCTAGAGTACTGGAGAAGAGAGATACAACCTTACATATGATTATGCTATTTTCTTAATAATATCCATTTCTCCATCCCTCCCTCCTTCCTCCCTCCTCCTTTCTTTCCTTCCAATGGAAATCTGATCATGTTACTTCCCTCTGCTCACTGTTGTCCTTAGGCTTAAGCCAAAGACTGGGCCCTGTTACTTCCCTGGCACCTTGTGAACGACCCCAGCTTTGTTCTCTGTTTCTTTATCACTCTGTTTCCACTTCAAGGACAGAAATGAACAATGCTTATAGCCTTTCTGTGACCCAAACGTGCTCCTTGCTGTCATTCACTGAGCCCCTCCTGTGCCCACAGTAGTGAACCATGCTGAGTACCTTCCTGCGTGTTATCAAATGTCCTCATTATCATCGTCAGCATCCACATTCCCCCCTCACCCATCACTGTGCTCACCCAAGAGGCCCAGACACCAGGCTCTCATGTTCTAAACTTGACTTCACGAAAATGCCCAGGAGAGGCTTCTTTAGGTCAATAGCAATAATAATAATAATGCTATTACAAAATGTATTGCTTTCCCACTATATGCCAGATACTGCAAGTCAGAGATCCACAGCTGGAATCTTGGTGTTGAGAAAAAAACCAGGAAATCAGAACAATTCTGTCCGTTGAGACACTGCCTTAGCTGCCAACTGTGAAGGCAACTGCTGGAAGCTGGGCAGGAAGACATGCTGAAACTGCCTTCGTCTTTCCATCCCCTCGAATCTTCTTTGACCTGATAACCAATTTGAGTTTCTCTTGCAGGGAGAAGAAGGCAAAGAGGGCAGAGATGGAAAGCCGGGTCCCCCTGGAGAGCCGGTAAAGGACTCTAAACTTCCTATTATATCACATGCCAAATCTATTACATGTCAAAAACAACTACTTTGTGTGAGGAGCTATTTTGAACCAGTCTCGAAGATAGGCATTTTCTATGCATTATTTCATTTACATACTCCTGCACAGTAAACACTGCTGTCCCCATTTTAAAGCAGAAGAAACCTGGGCCTCGGGGAGGTGAAATCATGGCCCCAAAGTCACATGATGGGCTGGTGACAGAATCTGAACCTGAGCCCAGGGCTCCTGTCCCTGCTCCACATTTTGGTTTACTGCCCCCTGTAGCCTCAATCCTATTGATGTGATAGAGGAAGCTGAAGTAGATGAGCATCGCCTGGAGGAGAAATCTGATATCTGGAGAGATCAGGATACCTAGTAAAATCTGAGTGGCACCTGCTAGCTCCAGACATTGTGGGATTACACACACACACACACACACACACACACACACACATAAATATATATATATATATATATATGTACACACACATACTTGTAACTCTGGGATAGGGTTTTCTCATTTTGGTTTTGGTTTTGGTTTTGTTTAATGTCAGCTGTCCAGGGGCACACAATGAGATGGATCAAGTGCTAGTGAGAATGTCTTGGTGGTCCCAGTAGCTGTTAGTTGGGAATGTGCAGGGATTTACAGAGACCCGTATCTGTGACTTCAAAGCTGTGCTCACTGAGTTTGGTCAGTCCTTCTTGCCTACGGATCAGAGATTCATCATGATGATTCATCGGTTCCTAGCACCTCTTAGGTCTTCCCAAAGCCCTTTCACAGACACTACACCAAGGGCAAGATGGAGGACGGCATCAGTGGTTTAGAGACCTGGGTTCTCCAAATGCCCACCAGTATGAGACTAGTTAAATGATGAGCTGTCCACCCCATAGAATACCAAGGGCTGTCAGAACGAATGAGGATGTTCTCTAGATACTGATGCAGGACTGCTCCTAGATAGATTGTGAAGTAGAAAAGCAAAGAGTAAAACAATGTGTATAGTCTGTCCTATTTTGTGTAAAAATAGTTGTGGGCCTATCTTTTTCTAGTGTTTATCTAAAGGAACTCTGGAAGACTCCATAAAACCCGCATAAAAGTAGTTCCTGTCCATGGGAGGATGATTGTCAGACAAGGGGACATAGCAGTAGGAAGACAACTTTCTTTTCCATGGTATTTTATTTTACTGTTATCATCTTAATTTTTGGAGCCATGAGTATGCATTACTTACTGATAAAATTAAATTTAAAATATAGTGATTAAATAAAAATATTTTATGCCAAAATTACAACAACAACAATAATAACAATAGCAATAAAAGCTTGCTTCGGATTCTGGCCCCACTCCTTCCCAGGTTTTGTGATCTGGGTGACTCAGAAAGCATCTATGAGCTTCAGTTTCTTTTGAAATAGAATGAGAATAATATACCAACTTGCCAGAGTTGCTGGGTAATCATATAATGTAGAAAATGTGTCAGATGCATCAGGCTTATCTAACTGTCAATGATTTTAGTAAGCTACTTTTCCCAGCTGCCCTAGTTGTAGCTCCTGGTGAGGCTAGAACTGCAGAGCCTTTAGAACCACTAAGGGGAGTTCCATAAAAGTTTCTACAGTGAGGTTTATGTTCCATTTAATTTGTTTGGTCATAAACTATTATGACTCATTCTGAATCTTACACAACTTGCTGGAAGCACCTTCTTTATCATTTTACACTGTTTGCCAGATGCTGAAACCAAAATTCATTGCTGAGAGCAAAAGAAAGAGCTTGTAGCAACTGAGCAAATTGAAAAGTCTCAACGAGCTACTGTGGACTGACACCCAGCAGAGCTGCCCATGATGGGCAAATGACATTCAGCCTGGGCAAAAATGTGGCAAGGGTAGAGAGAAGCACACATATCACACTGTGGCTGACAGCAACTGCGTGTGTGCCTAGGGTGGGGCACTGAGCACTTCATTACATTTTTCCACTGTAGTCCCCAGAAGAACCTTATGGGCTGTGGGTACCATTATTTCTCCCAGATGAGGAAACTAAGGCACAAAGAGGATAATAGCTTGATCAAGGGCATAAAGCTGGTAAATGAAGCATCTAGGACTCACACTCCTGCAGGCTGACCCCGGAGTTCACTGCTGCAGAGCAGTGCATTGACCTTTCTGCAGAACGTGTATTATGCTGAGAGGCTGTTGTTTACAGTTCAGAATAACTGAGGACACTGGTCTTCATTCAGTCTGTTTACTCAATGCCTATTTTGATGCAGGTAGAGTATTTAGGAGGTGATCCCCTGAATCAGTGAGGGAGGGAGGAAGAGAATGGAACAGAGAAAGAAGGAAAGGCAGGCTGGCAACTGGTAACTGCAGGCTGGCAACTGGTAACTCCAGGCTGGGGCCCAGCCTCACTGGCGATCCTCTGACTGCTTCTGGAGGCATTGACTTCCCTGCACTTGGGCCTTCCACACCTCAAAGTCAAGTACCCATTACGGTCAGGGAACATCTTCATTCTATGTCCACCCTTCAACCTATGCAGGAACTGCTCCACAAGGAGGCAGACACCTCCCTGGGTGGGCCCCAGGGGATGTGGTTGGAAAATGGCAGCATCTGCTACAGGTACTAGGTGGCCCCTCTTCAAGTTGAGTTGCTCATTCAAAGTTTGTATATGGGAGGGGCACAAATGGATAGACAGACCAGCCAGATAAATAGAACATAGGATGGATGGATGGATGGATGGATGGGTGGATGGATGGATGGATGGATGGATGGATGGATGGATGGATGGATGGATGGATGCTTGGTTGGTTGAATGGATGGATGGATGGATAGATGGATACACAGATGGATATATAGACAGCCTTTTGAGTTGCCTGTTGCTTAATTTTTATTAAGAGATATTTGAGCATTAATTATACTGTAGGATGAAGTGCAGACTCTGGAACCAAAATGCCTGGATTAGAACCCCAGCTGTGTGACCTTGAGCAGATGACTGAACCTCTATGTGCCTCAGTGTTTTGCCTGAGGGTTAACAAGAGTCAGGCGTCAGTGACATCATAGTGAAAACCTTCAGTAGCTGCTGGTTGTTCCATTTTTCTACTGGTGCCTTGGGCCAGTGATGGCCATCACAGTTGACTCTGAGGCAGGAGCCAGGCTATGTACACCCTCTATCACAAAGACCTACAAGGGAGGACTGTCCCAAATTTACAGATCCAGAGATCCGGAGAAAGGAAATGGCACTTTAAGATCACACAGCTAAACTAAGAAACAGACAAACCTGGAAGTCAGGGCTTTAGGCCCCACCCTTCTTTCTATAGTTTTTTTTTTTTTTCTAAATCCAAGGATGTTCCTTTCTCTCCCCACTCCCCAATAATGGGCTGCATATGATTTCCAAGGTTTAAAACTTGTAAACATGAGGTGGACAGAAGGTTTGGGAACAGGCATGTCTTCCAGGCCCAGCTTGCTGCCCCTTCTGCCCACCCATCAAACTTAGCCTTTCATCAACTTTCCTCTGCCCGGCCTCCCCTCATTCTTCCACTGACCCCATCTTCAATTTATATGAACCTGAGTTGGCAAGCCTCTTATTGTCTTCTGTTCCTGGTTTGGTTCTGTGCAGGGCAATGCCAAGCTGTGGGCAGTAAAGAATTTTAAATAGCAAGAGTGTCCTGACAAGCTCTTTTAAGATGATGGGGTGAGGAAAAGGCTGTGTACGTCACAGGTCGCCCTGCCAGTAGGTACTGCAGCTGACCTGGAAAGAGCATCCGCTTAGGTGTGGCGCTCAGCTGGAATTCAGCCTGGCTTTGCTATTTAATACCTTCATAAAAATATAACTTTGAGCCTCAGTGTTGCCATCGGTAAAGTGCAAGTGTTAATAGCGGCCTTGACATGGTTTTTGCAAGTGGGCATAAAGTCGTCTGTAACTAAGATGGCCATATAATTTCTCATCCACACCAAGATGCTTCTGATAGTGAAAGGGGGGTACTAAGCATAATTAATTTGGAGATGCAACCTGTGTAACCAGCACCATCCCAGGAAACCCAGGAATATAATAGGCCTGAATACATGGTGGAGATTTGTGTAGATTAAGAAGGACCAAGACACCAGGGGAAAGGGCTGACAGGGTGGATAGAAACTGGCTTGTGGGAATAGATTGGTAGGAAACACAGAGAGCCAGGAATAGGAAGATTCTTACAATGTTGTCCTCAAACTCTTCTTTTCTTCCTTACTCTCAGGGCAAAGCAGGAGAGCCAGGTCTACCAGGACCAGAGGGTGCCCGAGGCCCACCTGTAAGTGTGTAGTGTGTGTGGGGAACGGTAGAACCAAGCCCATCAGCTACATGGCTCTCACCACTGTGAGCAGGGCTAGCCCAGACTGCCCAACCGTGGGGTCCTAGAAGTCCTTCTCCTCCAGACGGCTGTGCTTCTGTGCGGTCAATTCAGCTTTGCCACACTACATAGCTGCGAAATTCATTTTCACAATTGCAGCCATGACCTTGTTGTTGCTCAAAGTTTTCTATGTTCTCATCTGATTCATTATAATTTCAATGGGTTTTCTCTGGATAATAGAACGTAAAAATGAATCTTAATTTTAGTTTTGAACACTTTCCATAGCTAAGGTTTTTTTTCCCAACTATAAAAGTAACCCATTCTCATAGCCTAATGGTATTAATAATAATGATGATGGTAATAATAAGAAAAAGAATACAAAAAATGGTATTGAGAAGAAAATTAATTTACTTCTAATTCTATAACAAAGAAGTAAAGTTTTTAATATTCAGTGTATTTTTTCTAGTCCTTTTTTCTATATATGAATTCTAGCATCTATATATGTACATCTATGTCTAGCTATTATACATATAAACAGACACAGATATTGTTTACCTACAAAAATGAACTCTATGTATTTTAGGGTTATTGGGTTTTATGCTAAATGTTTCACCTCTTCATAATTTCAAAATTGTTTTCACAATTTCTTAAATTGCTTTTAGAAAAAAATATGATTTTAAATGATTATCCTAAAATTATCTGGATTTTATCTAGCAAATCAAAATCCTAGCTCTATTTTCTTAATGTTTTTCTTTTAAAAAATCAACCTCCTGGCTCGTATTCAATAAGAAGGAAATAAAATACAAAAATAAATTTTCTGTTCTCTTAAATCCCCTTGTTTTTCACATGATTGCACCAGAAAACACCCAAGAATGAGGAATACGACCTCTTATGGGGATTGCAACACTGAGCTAGTGATCAATTTATTAAAGGTGGTTCTTGGCTTATTGGAGTGACAGGGGCTACATTTCAGCCAGGAAACCCATGGAACCTGTATTGGGGGCAAGACCCATCTGTCAACTGGGAGTTGTAATGAAAGAGCTGAGGTTAGAAAGCCAGGCAGGGAAAAGAAGACCAAGCTCCTCTGGCTGACATAGAATAAGTCAGGACAAAGCTTTGTAGAATGGAGTGGGTTTTCAGATAGAAAGACCTGGATTCAGCCTTTACTTTGTCATTTATTGACTTTGTGACCTTGATTGCAACGAGGACCTTTCTGAACCCCTGTTTCTTCTTCTATGAAATGGCAGTCATAATAGCTCCCATTCTTGCAGAGTGGTCGTAAGTACTAAAGGAGAAGGTAGGACATGTAACGTTCCCAGCAGAGTGCCTGACAGGCACTCTCTCAGTTGGTGCTTTTGTCATGATTAGATGGGAGGAGAGCACACCAGAGTCTCTTCCTCTGGGCTGGCTGAATTTGGAATTCTGGGGTCCTTGAGGAAGATGCCAAGCCCCAAGAAATCCCTAGCCCTTTCCAGGGAAATGTAGCTGGACTGTTTTGAATAACTGGAGAGCACTGTGCAGTCCTTATTCAGTCTTATTCAGTCCTGACAGCAACTCTGCAGAAGTAGGTTCTAGCCTAATTTTACAGATGTGGAAACTGAGTTCCAGAGAAGAGAAGTAGAGCTTCCAAGATCCCACAGCTGCAAAATGGGAGCCATGGTCCCATCTCAGACCTAACTCACAGTCAGCCCAGTTGCATGAAACTTAAGAGCATATGGCAATCCTTTCCACAGATTAATACTGCAAAGCTATGCCAGGCGGGCATTTTTGTTATCCTTGAGCTTTAGCTTTACATCCACTAAGTGCAGATTTTCACACAGATTGGCCTGGAGGTTAGAAATGATGGCCTCAGCTCTGCTAATGGTTTAATCTTCACTCACAGGGCCTGAAACTCTGTAGTGGTGCTTCAGGTAATATGCCTCCAAGTTGCAACTCTGGACAAGGAGACCCCAGCACTATGGCCCGGGATGTAGCTCCCAGAGCTGAACCTACTCAGGGGTGTTGGTAGGACCAGCAATGGCCACAGGAACAAGGAAGGGGCCACAGGACCTAACTCTGGGTGAAGGTGATGTTCCCTACAAGGGAATCACCTGACTCAGGAGCCGTGCAGAGAGGGGCGGGCCAAGCTATATGCTGTAAGCCTGGAACAATCAGGAGGAACAAGGAGAGCAGGAGACACCTGAACCAGTAGGGCAATGCCCCAACACTCTGAGGCATTTGTGGGATGAGCCCTGGCAGCCCTTCCCACAGCATAGAGGGGGCTGGGAAGAAGGGCTCTTGGTATCCAGTTGTCAAACCTCTGGCACCGAGCATGGCACCAAGTAGGGCTCAGTATCCTGCAAATGGTAAAGAATGAGCGGGGGCAACGTGGGTCAAAGCCGGCAGGGAGGTATGCCTGCCCACTTCTGCCCCAAGAGCCTGCTCTATCATGGAATAACTCCATTCTCTTCCTTCTAGGGCTTCAAGGGACACACAGGCGATTCTGGTGCACCCGGTCCCCGGGTAAGTGGGCGCCTCACTTTGGAGGTCCCCCCAGGTGGGCAGAGCTTACACTTCCCAGACAGAAGATACTTGCAGCCTGCAGGCCATGGCAGTGCCTTACCCGAGAGAGGACGTGGAGCACACCAGCATGGAGCAAGCCAGCACAGGGACACCTTTGAAGCACCATGCTCACCTCTTGGCCTAATTCCCTCAGGTGGTTTTTCTGGGGGCCAGACATCATGGCCAACCAGTTTGGCCAAATAAGTCTGGACTCAGGTGTGTCACGCATGTCAGCCCTGAGCCTTGTGAGGTGGTTGTTGCTATTAGGTTCTTTTTGCAGAGGAGGAAACTGAGGCCCAGAGGACATGGGTGATTTCCCAAGGTCCTAGAGCTTATAAATGGAAAGCATCACTTTTACCCCAGATGGGAAGACTCCAGAGACTATTTTCTTATCCTTTAACTCCTCTGCCTCCTCTGAATGCCCAGAATGGAAGTGACATTATGGGTCAGCTGGTTAGATCCCTTGCATGATCTAGATACCAAGGAGCAAGCACAGGTGTAGAGAGGGTCAAGTGGATGAGCAGATAAGGAGGCAGCATTCCAAGAGTAGATGCCAGAGCCTTCAGCTGCTGTTCTTCCCTGCTTGAGCTGCACAGAGAGGCACAGCATGGCTCCAGGCACTCACAGCTGGCCTTGGGTGCGCCACAGACCTCAACTCAGGGCCGCCACAGACCTCAACTCAGGGCTGGGGCTCTGCGTATGGAAGTTGACAGGGCCCCTGGGCCTCTCCACCTCTCCCAGCTCCTCAGGTGCCCCTGTGGTTGAGACAGCCAGTGGCTGAAGCATCTCCTTCCCTAATAGCAGGCTTTTTTGTTCCTAGGGAGAGTCTGGTGCCATGGGGCTTCCTGGTCAGGAAGGGTTACCAGGAAAAGATGTAAGTGGGGTCCTGTGGGACCTGGCTGGGCTGGGGCTGGGGGTGGGTGTATCAAGGAAGTGACACCCAGAAACTGCCCCACAATGGCTGGTGGCAGCACTGCCAAGAGGCACACAGATGACATCACAGGATTGGTTGGCAAGGATGAGATTGGCGCCTCCAACCTAGTGGGTGGGTCCCTGGGCTTTATGGTTGATAAGGAAGCTTTTCTGGATCAGTCATGATTTGTCCATTGGTACAAATGATAGGCCTGTTGGATCCAGCCTTAAATGGACTTGAGAGGCATTTCAGAGTTTCTCGCAGATTATTTCTCCTTCTCTCAGGCTCTGCAGTGCTCAAAGAAACCACACACCCCTCACCGCCACCACCGTGTGCTGTGTTAATTGTATACCACTTGAATGGCTCTCCCTTTTATTTGGTGTTGGGATCTTGGCAGAACAAGAAAAAAAAAATTTTTTTTTTTTTTTTTTGAGATGGAGTCTCACTCCGTCGCCCAGGCTGAAGTGCATTGGCGTGATCTCATCTTACTGTAACCTCTGCCTTCAGGGTTCAAACAATTCTCCTGTCTCAGCCTCCCGAGTAACTGGGACTAGAGGCACCTGCCACCATGCCCAGCTAATTTTTGTATTTTTAGTTGAGACAGAGTTTCACCTTGTTGGTCAGGCTGGTCTCGAACTGCTGACCTCAGGTGATCCACCTGCCTCGGTCTCCCAAAGGGTTAGGACTATAGGCGTGAGCCACTGTGCCAGGCCAGAACAAGGGAAATTTTGACCCCAGGTGTACAAATGAAAAATTTGAGATCCAGAGAGATAAAGGGACTGACTTATGGTCACCCAGAGAGTCAGAGGCAGGAATAGCTTGCCTGGAGCCCAGAATCCACCAGCTCCACATCCCCCAGGGACCAGCCCTTTGCATGTGGCGTCCTGCAGGGTGGCTGGACGTGTGAGATGCAGAGTGGCATCATGGAACTGGCCGATTGGTCAGATGCAGAGGCACCAGGTACTGAGGTACAAAGTTGTCTCATGCCCACCATGTGGGTCCTTCAGAGCCTGCCTTTAAATTGATGAAGTGGACTCTTCCCCAGTGGCTCTTGACACACCGGAGCACGTGGCCCCTGTGGCTGATCTGCTCCCAGGAATGATGGAGCTGGAAAGGATACTCAGGAGAAATCTGACCTAGTTCACATGTGCTTTCTTAGCTGTGGAATCTGTCTTATAAGATCAGTGTGTGGAGCCCTGTGCATACACCTAAAAGTAGAGCCCACCCCAACCCCACCCAAAAAGGGGCTTCTCAGAAGCTGAAGGGCAGCTTGAGAATCGTGATACAGTCCATCCCCTCCCCCTGCACTTCAGTTTGTAGAAAAGGTGATGCAGGGTGCTACCCAGGCAGGAATGTGACTGAGGTCAGCTCGCCCAGTACATAGGGCTAGAGCTGGGATGGGACCCTGGGATGCCAGGTGATGG
Source organism: Homo sapiens (assembly GCF_000001405.40). Classification (NCBI taxonomy): domain Eukaryota; kingdom Metazoa; phylum Chordata; class Mammalia; order Primates; family Hominidae; genus Homo; species Homo sapiens. The sequence goes on along the minus strand of NC_000008.11, from coordinate 138,614,537 downwards.
GCTATGCTTCCTTCCCTCCATCTTAGCCATTTGACTTTTATTTTAAAAATCCATTTTCTAGAGTGTTTTTCAGTCTACTTTGTGTAGAAGCATGTCCAAGTTTCTGATTTTTTATCCATCACAGGGTTAGGATTATGCCCCGTCACAGGGCCGCTTGGAAGACTCTGCAAGGTGGTGGTGAATCACACTGCTTAGCAAGCTGGCAGGTCCTATGCACCTGGGTGGCATGGGTTTTTCACCCTGGTGACTCAGACATGAATGGTTCCAGGTCACCGTCTAGCGAATCAGGAAAAGAACTTCAAGAGAGATTCTCTCCTCTGATTGCTTATCTTATTTCAAGATGGAGCCACCTGAAACCCCTGTGGGACCAGGTGGAGGATGTCTAAGAAGTAACTGAATAAATGGATGCACAAATGCGGGCCTGCGTGCATTTACTCACCCACAGGAAGGGAGTTTGTCCATATTTGGAATAATGGACAATTAATGATGAAACATGCTGGACAATTTGTTGGTTCCTTTGGGTAACTTGGCGAGGTTTGGTTAACATTTGAAATTGGGATGCCATCACCTTCACACAGTGACTTGATGATGACACCATCTCTCTGTCTTTGTTCCAGGGTGACACTGGACCCACTGGGCCACAGGGTCCCCAAGGACCAAGGGGCCCACCGGTGAGTTTTGCTTTGCGACTAATGTGCTTCATGTTATTACAGGACCTTTTACCACAATGATATTTAGTTAGTTCCCTCTGGTGCCACTGTATATATTGTTAAAAAATTGTAATATGTTTTAGCAGTTGGTAAATAGCTGCCCCCCTAAGTCCCCCTAGTCACCTCCCCCAACACTCAGATTCTTTTCTGGGACCATCCCCCACAACAATATAAAAATTACAAAGGTGCCACGGGGCACTGCTGGAGCTCTATAGGACCTTGCCCCGAGGCTGTGCTCTAGCTCTGGGCCACACCAGGGGTTGGTGCTTGCTAGAGGTTAGTTTCCCGAGGCTGCTGTAACCAAGTACCATGAATGGAATGTGGTACGTGGCAGAAATGTGTTGCCTCGTGGTTCTAGAGGCCAGAAGCCTGACATGCACACCAACAGGGTTGGTTCCTTCTGAGGCTGAGACAGAATCATTCCAGGTGTCTCTCCCAGCTTCTGGGGCTTTGCTGGCTCTCGAGGGCGTTCCTTGGCTTGTGGGGCACCACCCTGGCCTTTGCCTTCATCTTCACATTGTGTTCTCCCTGCTTGTGTCTCTCTCCAAAAATCCCCCACCCCTTCCTTTTTTTTTTTTTTGAAACGGAGTCTCGCTCTGTCACCCAGGCTGCAGTGCACTGGCGTGATCTCCGCTCACTGCAAGCTCCACCTCCCAGGTTCACGCCATTCTCCTGCCTCAGCCTCCCGAGTAGCTGGGACTACAGGTGCCCACCACCACGCCCGGCTAAATTTTTATATTTTTAGTAGAGACGGGGTTTCACTGTGTTAGCCAGGATGGTCTCTATCTCCTGACCTCATAATCTGCCCGCCTCGCCCTCCCAAAGTATTGGGATTACAGGCGTAAGCCACCGTGCCCAGCCCCTGCTTTTTTTTTTTTTTTTTTTTTTTTTTGAGATGGAGTCCTGCTGTGTCACCCAGGCTGGAGTGCAGTGGCGTGATCTTGGCTCATTGCAACCTCTGCCTCCTGGGCTCAAGCGATTCTCCTACCTCAGCCTCCCAAGTAGCTGGGATTACAGGTGCGTGCCACCACGCCGCTGATTATTTTTTTATTTTTTTATTTTTAGTAGAGATGGGGTTTTGCCACGTTGGCCAGGCTGGTTTCGAACTCCTGACCTCAAGTGATCTGCCCCACTTGTCCTCCCAAAGTGCTGGGATTACAGGCGTGAGCCACTGCGCCTGGCCCAAAGTTCCCCTTTTTATAAGGAATCCAGTCCTTGTTGGGTAAGGGGCCCACCCTATTCAGTATGAACTTATTTTAACTAATTACCTTTACAATGATCCAATTTCCCAATTCGGTCACATTCAGAGGAACTGAATGTTAGGACTTAAAAATTTGGGGGGGGCACAATTGAACCCCATAGCATTCCATATGATGGATACATATCTGGATGTTATATCTGCCTGTTTGTGCACAGAGGCAAATCCTTCTCTTATCTAAGAGCAGCCTGAGAGGATGGAGAAGGTCCAAAATAGATATTTAGGTGCCTAGTGCTGTGCAAAGAGAAAAGCATAAATTATCCCATTTAAGCCCAGGGGCCATCACAGAAAGGCAGCTTTGATATCTGTGTCTCTCTATATATTATCAATATAATTCATGCTCATTGTAGAGGCAATCAGACAGAATTGAATGTTACAAAGTAACAAGAAAATTCCCTTTTCACCCCCACCCAATCCCACCCTCCAGAGGAAGCCACTGTTAGAAGCATTTTGTGTATCTTTTAAAATATTTTCAATATGCCTACAAGCATATAGAAGACACATTTTGTACCCAACGCTTTATCTTTCGCAACTGGCTTCTTTTGTAAAGCTTGTATGTTGTGTGTTTTTTGAATGAGTAATGGAATAAACAAGTGAATGAATATTGGCTTCCCAAGTCTAGGTCATGCAGCTTGTAAGAGCTTTAGGTTGGTTTAAGACCAAGACTTTCTGATGCCAAATCCTGTATTCTCCACCCTACTGTGGACAAGCATGGGCTTTGTCTTTGAGATCCTAGAGAGGGGGTGTGTGGCAGGTCCTATGAGGTTGGATGTCCCTTCTTTTCAGAACTTAGCAGGTAGAGTCACAGTCTCCCCTGATGGGGCCACAATGACTCAGATGAGCTGAAGCCCAGGCTCCCTGGGTGTGAGCTCTCAGTGGGGTGATATCAACCCCACGGGGAAAACACTGATTCTTGAGGTGTCAAAGAGTGTGTGTCAAATGCAGATATGGATACAGCACATAAACAGATGTGTAGCTTAGCTGTGATATTAAAACTTCATACGGAGAGATTAGGAAAAAATGTGTAAAAAGGCAACTGGGGAGGGAGTGATAAGGACAAAAATTTGAGAAACCCTGCTCCAGAGCCCCCCAGGAGTGGGGTGGTTCTGACTGGGTCCCCCCCAGCTCCCTCACTGGGCTTTTGCATCCAATTCTGGAGTTCAGCCATCTGGGCTTGATTTCCTCCTCTCCTGTATTCATCACATGAACTAGGTGAGTTGCTGCACTGCTCCCAGGACTCAGTTTTCTCATCTGTAAAATGGAGGCAATCTGGACGGAACAAGGAGGCTGTAAGAATCCAGCAAGGTAATCCAGTGAAGTGAGACAACAGTGCCCAGCCCTTGGAATGTGCCCCAAGCCAGGTCTTCTCCATTTCTGGAGGCAAGAGGGGCCTTAGCTCTGCTTCTCTCCCTGGCCTCTTGGCATAGGGCAGCGATCAAATTCTTGATGAGTGCAAACACATTCAAAGGCACAGAAGAGGGAAAGCGAAGTGACTTCTTTTTTTGAGACAGGCTCTCACTGTGTTGCCCAGGCTGGACTTCAGTGGCATGATCACGGTTAACTGCAGCCTCGACCTCCTGGTTTCAAGCCATTCTCCTGTCTCAGCTTCCCAAGTAGCTGGGACCACAAGTGCATACCACCATGCCCAGCGAATTTAAAAAAAATGTTTGTAGATATGAGGTCTCACTATGTTGTCCAAGTTGGTCTCAGATTCCTGGGCTCAGGCAGTCCTCCCATCTCAGCCTCCCAAAGTGCTGAAATTATAGGTGTAAGCCACCATGGTTGGCTGGAAAGTGGCATTTGGAGAGCAGAGAGTACTCAGAACAGGTGTGTGAGGTGGAAGACGGCAGCTGGCCTGGTGAGATTGTGCAGGGCTTCACGTACCACATGCGGGGTGGGGCATGGCCCTGAAATCCCAAGGCCCCCAGAGGCCGCTGTGTGGTTCTAGCTTGCTCCTATCAATTCTCGGGTACATCATAAGGAATCTGATACCAAAAATGAGCTGCTGAAGTTTGCCAAATATCTACTTTGTTTTTAAACACAGAATAGTTCCGAGTTCTTTCTCTGACAACCTCATTTTTACTCCATTGAAATTTCTGTGCTTTTCTGAGCGAGGAGAAGGATTCTGGCAAGGTCACACAACTTTGAACTAGACATTGAATATGTATAGAGTGCTTCCATCAATAGTTGTGATGATTGCGAATGTATGTGTGGCCTGAAAACTGTCATTTTGCTTTCTCTAAAATCTACAGACACCCAGAGGTAAGAATAGGCCATATGGCAACCACCTCACAGCCACTAGTTTCCAACAAGCACCAGTGGAGTGGTGCATTTACATGATTCATTCATTTTCTCCCCAAACCCTGTGAGACAGGTGTGATTTCTGTCCGCATTCACGGATGAGAAATGGAAGCACAGAGAAGTCTAGTAACTTGCCCAAGATCACACTGCAAGTCAGTGGCACAGCCAGGATTTGGACTCCAGCATTCTCATTCAAGAGCCTGCAGCTCAAACACCCAGACTGGCTGATGTGTGCTAGAAGTCCTTGTCACAAAGATCATCCTGGAAGGAGGGGTCTTAGAATAGGAGTTTGGAGCTCAAAAGGGTTGAAAAGGGGAACTGTGGTTTCCATTCCTGGGAAGCAGAGATCCAAGGGGCTTGGCGAGGGACAGCAGGACACAGGAGTGGCTCTGCAGCCCAGGAGGGAACCAGGTTCCAGCCCCAGTAGGCCTCAAGTGCACAGAGCACAGGCACCCACCCAGAACCACCCTGCCTTCTGTGCACATGGCCTGTGTTGGCACCGTATGCTACTGTGTCTTGGCCCTTATCCTCTCTGCAATGTCTTGGCCCTTATCCTCCCTGCGAAGGGAAGATTAGAGAAAGAAGGAGGAGGGCTAGAATTTCCATAGGGATAAGGCAAAGTACATATTTTTAGAGGGACACAGATGGGTTGGTGGGCGGAGGAAGGTGCAGGGAGAAGCGTTATGCAGCGTTCGCGGAAGGGCCGAGTATGGGTAAGCAGTCCACAAATCCAGCTGGCTGCTCTGATTTTAGACCTTACTAGCTCAGCGATCCCTGGCAGGTCTGTGATGGGGATTCTGGGATATGGGGAGAAAGACGTCTGTGCTGCATGATTCCCAGCAGGATCCAGTGACATGAGGCCATGGCCATGCATGTGCTTTGAAGGCTCAAGGTGGAAGCTGTATTTATGATCGCTGACCCATAAGGCATGTCCTTAAGGAGGGGCAGAGCAGTGTGAGATGGAATCAGTGCTGCCTATGTTCAGATCTCAGCTCCTTGACTTGCCTCGCAGGCAGGTGGCTTAGCATTTCTGAGCCTCAGTTTCCCCATTTGTAAAAGGGTGATGATGTTTGTGTCTGATGTGAGCAATGAGTGAGTTAATGCATGCAAAATGCAAAGCTCTTAGAAGAAGTCTGGCATGTAGGAAGTGCCCGGTCAGCATCAGCTACTTTATAGTGGAACATGCTTCCGTGAATCCAACGCATTTGTGAATGCATGCTTCGCACATTAGAGGGCATTCACACCTCTTGGTTAAAGGATCAACGGAGAGTGATTCTCTAGGATGTCCTTGGTTTATTATTTAGCAGGAAACCTCCTGTGTGTCTGGCACTGCATTGGAGACACACAAGGAGGCTCTCTCCTCCTAGGCTGGAAATCCAAAGAACGACAAGGCGTAGACTCTGCCTTTGGGTTACTCGTGGTGGGAAAGAGAGCCAGGTAAAGACACAGCAGCCAACGGGAATGTGCCCTGAGTGGGGGAGTGTGGTGGGCAGAGGAAGAGACGAACACAGCCTGGGGAATTGAAGCTGTGAATTTTTGGCTTCATAGAAATTTGTCTGATCCTGAAAGGGAGTAGCCAAGAACATTCTTGAGCTTTCTTGTTTTTACTCTACTGGGATCCTGTTTGTTAAATGTATTCACCGAAACTATGAATGTGCACAATATATCTCTGTGAAGTTAGAGAAAATTAGACTTGGAAGCCTCAGTCCTGGAATCTGGAGTGAATGGACCTTCCATTTTGTAGCTGCATGACTCTGCACAAGCCATTTTTCTTCTCTGTGCCTCAGTATCTACGTATTTTAAATGAGAGTATAATGATCTCCTTAGTCGGGGAGTACAAGGAGATAAGTGCATGGACATGCTTCCTAAGCTGAGACCAGCACTGTGGCAGTGTGAGCAATTATGTGTAAGCTGGGTTGTATTAGATGGTTTGTTTGTTCTTCAACACAGCAACTGAATGGATGGATGAATAGATGAATGAATGAACGTGGTCATAATTATTTACTATGCCTCAGCTGTGGGCACCATTCACCAGGCTAGACTTTTTCATGCCCACGGACTCATTTGATTTCACAACAATATTATGAATTAAATATTACAAGTTCCTTTTAGAAGTTGAGAAACATCCTCTGAGTAATGAAGTGGTAGACTGAGAGCCACACTGGCTAGAGTAACAGATTCTGTGTAAAACCAAGTCCTGTGCATCAGTCTATCTCTTTGTTCCACCGTCCTGCTCTTTGATGCCCTGGCAGGATGATTACCTCTGTTTCTTCCACCAGGGCAAGAATGGATCACCGGGATCTCCAGGAGAGCCTGGCCCTTCAGGAACCCCTGTGAGTTCTCTTTGGCTGCTATGTGATGGCATCAGGGTGGGCTTTGAAAGGGCTTGTGGATCACATTACAGATTGTCCAGCCTCTGTCCCTAGAAGCATCGGTGGGGACATATGGGTTTGAGTGGTAGAAATAGGTTGGAGGTAAGAGGCTCCATAGGGCCATTTTTTAAGGTTTAAAGTATATATCATGCGATTGGCTCTTTGTTGACTATAACCGTAGGCATCTATGGTCTACATCCATAGGCACCCAAAACAAACATTTTTTAAAAAAATGTTTAACAAAGTTGTAGGGTAGAAGTTTGATGTTTCCAGAGGATGGGAGGATGAGGTCAGACTGAGCAACCCTTACCACCTCAAATGACAAAGTGTGCAGCATGGGAATGGAGGTAGGGACGGGGGTGGGAGACAAAAAGGATCAACAGGTAGGTAGCAGAGAGAGCTCAATGGGCAGGCAGTAGAGAGAGGGTGCATACCAATCAGCAGAGTCCTGGTCAGCTAGATATCAAATACAGGATTTGGGGTTCAGTCCTGGTAGGTGGGGAGACATGGTGGGGAAGATGGTTCTTTAATGGGTTCTAGGGTTGGATGAGAAAAGCTCTGGCCACTAGTCTCCTTCCAATCTAGTCTTCTTGTATTTTTACTTGCTAAAATTGGCTGCCTGACTCAGAAGGCCACCTGCAAGGTGTGAGCCAACTGTCAATTGTACCGGGCAATGGGCTGACCAGGACTTGGTACTTCGGATACTGCGGTGACCAGCTCATCTCAGTTTGTGAGGAACTTTCCCAACTGGAAAATCCTGCATCCTGGGAAACCTACTGGTTCCAGGCAAACTCGGCATCTGATCACCCTAGCGGAGACCCTCCTCTTGTTGGACTAGGGACAGCTATGCAAAAGGAATCCAACTTCCTAGCAAACATAATGACCTCCCTCAGGGGCTGTGGTATGGGACCTGTTGCTGCTTGTGAGACAGAACAGAGGAGGTGGGATTGGGTCAAGAGGCTGGACCCATCACCTCCCCTAGTGCAGAGTTGATCCTGGAAGTACTGACCCATGCATGATGGCTCCCCAGAAAAGTTGAAGTTGAAAAATTCCCAAAGTCCTTTCCCAAAATGTGATTCTACCAAGTGAGCTTTGGCCGCCTCATGGGCAGTGGTATGCCATCTCACTAGAGCACTCCTTGGAGAGCTCCACACATCTCAGGGTCTTTGTTAAATATCTGTCTCAGTTTGTTTTCGTTGCTTCAAATGGAAAGACCCTTGGCTGTTTACAGGGAGACCTCATCTTCTTCCCCTGGCTGTGACAGCACTACCAGGAGTCCCAAGACCCCGTGTCTTTTCCTAACCCATGCCCCTCCATCATGGGAGGATTTGTGTGTTGTGTGGATGTCTCAGGCCTTTTGATTTCAGAGTGGTCACAAGGTTTCCAAATCTGCTTGAGTTGGTACGTGACCTTGAGGAATTAATTCTCAGTTTTCTCTTTGCAGGGCCAGAAAGGAAGCAAAGGGGAAAATGGCAGCCCAGGACTTCCTGGCTTCCTGGGTCCCCGTGGGCCTCCGGTAAGCAGAGAACCCCAGTGGGGCCCAAGATACCTGGCTCCAGGTAGTGATGTTCACATGCAGTACCTTCCCTGCCACCTCCTGTGTCCTCAGTTCTGTCTGCTCAGGCCATGATGACCTGTGTGGGGTCAAAGTTGCATCATGGTTTAAGAGACAGTGGAGTGCCCAGAGGTCACACCTGCATGGCAATCTCAGTGCCATCACTCCTTAATCATGAGATCTTAGGAAAGTGTCATAACCTCTTATGCTTTAGCTGTCTCATTATGCAAACGAGGATAACGACAGCATCTACTTCTGAGGATTAAATGAAATCATTCATATAAAGGGATCAGCAATGGTTCCTGACCCACTGCAGGTGCTCAATAAATACAAACCATTGTAATGATGCATGTGGTGGGACAATGGTGTTGATCATGATCCTAGAACTTGAAGGACCCCTGGAAATAATAGTAAAGGTGAGCAAGTTTGAGCCGTAGGGTCAGAACATGTAAGTGATTTACTCAAAGCCATGTGGTAGGTTTGCACTCCAGCTTGTCCTTGAGTCAAGGTCTCCTGACTTGACAGCTTAAGGCAGGGGGAAGCTGTAAGGTAATCTTTGCCAAGTTTCTGGACAGGGAGATGCTGAGGGATTCAAACATTTCCAAGTGGAGCCCTCTGGTGTCATCTGCATATTGCAGTCCACTCCCTGGACTGCTGACCTGATGAATGAGGCTTGCATGTAACATACCAGAGTAGAGAGCTTACCCATGTTCTTGTCCATACCCTCCAATTTAATTCTGACCCCTCTGCATGCCCCACTGCCAGCCAAGCCCAGCCCGTTGGAGGTGGTAGCCCCTCTTACCCTTCTCTACCATGCTGCCCAGGCTTTGCACGGTCCCATTCACTGATTTTTACGTGGGCTTATTCACTCCCTTGCTAAAGGCCAAGTCTCCTTCTCCATCCCCTTGTTAATAATCTGCTGCTACTGAGCAGCCAGGCACCCACTCCTGTGGATGCACTGCAGCAATTGCTCCTGAGTCATGATAAGAGTGGGGTGCTTGTCCAGCCCTCACTACATGCCTGCCACTGCCCAGTGTGCTTTTGGAGAACTAACACATTGACACCTCACAGTAATCCTTGAGGCAGGTACAACCACTGTTCTCATTTTACAGATGAAGACACTGAGGCACAGAGAGCTTATGGAAGTTGTAGGGAGGTTGTTTAAGATCACAGAGCCAAACAGTGGAGGAGCCAAGAATTGAACCTGGAGCCCAGTGTCTTATTGGTTTCTTGTTTCACACATTATGGGCCTACTTCTCAGAGAGGCCTCCTGATCACAACAGGACTATTTGTAAAATCGATATCCTGGAGGCCCTCTTGGTGGAGTCATATCCATCCCATTGACAAGGAGCTCTTAACCCGTGGCTCTTCTTCCTAACCTGGGGTGATTTTTTGCTTTCCCCTGCACAGGCTGGCCAGAGAGCCTGTCTGGGATGTCCTTGGCCAGGTAGACCATCGATTGTTGTCTTTGCTGGAACATGACTTGAGTGGAAATGTCAGTTTTAAAGACAGTCTTAGTACTGACATTGGGCTGATGCTGCAGAGCCACTGATATTCTGTTCTGTTTTCCAGGGAGAACCAGGAGAGAAAGGAGTCCCAGGCAAGGAGGCAAGTATCACACGCCCACTCACCCCTTGGCAACCCTTTACCACCAATGGGCAGTCTATGCAGGCTCAGGCCCTGGGCTTAGAAGGGCCCACACTTGCCTTAACACTCTCTACCTTCACTGTTTTGAAATTCTTAATGCCTTTTGAACACCTGGCTCATGTTTTAATTTTGCCCGGAGCCCCACAAATTATGTAGCCAGTGCAGGGGCACCGTCTTGGTATGTCTGTTTCACTTGTTTATTCCTCAGCATCCAAGCTATCAACAAATCCTGTCAACTCTGACTTCAAATACCTGTAGGTTTTGTCCAGTTCTCTCTGTCTCTGCCACTGGGACTCTGATCTGATCTGTCACCTGCTCTCACTTGAACACTGCAGTGATCCTCTAATGGATCTCCCTTTGTCCAGCCTTGCCCCTCCACAGTCTTCTACCCAGCAGACAGAGGGTCTGCTGAGCATAAGCATATGGAGACACTGCAGTACAACCTGCAGGTCTGCCCTCCCCCTGCACTCTCCGTGGAATCCAGGCTGCCACAGTCCCACCACTCCCCTCCTTCTCTAAGCTCTAGTCACTGGCCTCTTAGCTCCTGAGACGTGCCAAGTTCTTTTCCAAGGGCTCTCTTTTCCCATGCTTATTCCTACTCAAACTGAGGTCTCAGCTGAAATATTGCCTTTGCCAACTTTCCTTGACACTGAAGCAAAGCAGACCCCCCACAATGCTTGGTTTTAGCACCCTGCTCTGTTCTGCTGTAGCCCAGGAGACCAGCACAGACTAGATACCAAAAATATTTGATGAGAGATGAACAGAAGAATGACTGAATGCAGAGAAAGTAGGTCTATGGAAATTAGCTTCTCCGTTTCAAGGCCTGCATTCTCCCCCTTGAATGAGGAAGACGCATTTTTACCCTGTGCCTTTGGGTCACGTTCTTAACTTCAGGGAGGTGGTCACTTCCTTGAAGCTGAGTCGGATAGCTTCATATTCGGAAAGTGTTTACTCCTCACCCCAGCCATAGGGTGCCACTCACTGAGTGTATCATTCATTCATTGCCCAATCATTGTTTACTCTGCTTCCTGGAATGAGGTAAAGAGGAAATACCCGTAGCTCCCATTTCTGAGGGCTGCGTCAGCCCCATGTGCTTGTACTTGGGCTGCTGCCTACACGAATTCTCTTTGGACTTCTCGAATAAATTCTAGGCTAAGCAGGCATCCTAAGTCTTCCAGATATGATCCAGCTCTCCCCTTAGAATGGGAGCCTCCTGCTTCCTCATGCCCAGTATATCTCCACCTTCTCCCATCCAAGGCTTGGTCCTCACTCTTCCACGCACCTATAATGCCTTTCCTGCCGCCTTTTGTTGTTAAATTTTATCCAACTTTCAAGGCTCTGTGCTTCCCAACTTAAAGATTCATCCAGGAATACCGAGGCAGCTTTTGGTAATTATGTTACAGCAATTAAATCAGTCTGCCTTGTGTTAGAATCAACTCATGCCCACCGCCACCTCATGGACAGGTTGTGAACTCTGTGAGGATGAGGACCATGTCTTATCTCTGTCCTCTGCATAGGTCTCAGGGCTGAACATGGCACCTGCATGAAAGGGATGCGATGAATGTTTCTGGGGCTGAAATGGCCAGGCTCAGAAGAGCTCAAGAGTACTCTCTTTGACTTTCTTCTCTTTAATCAATGTAGAGTCTATCAACCAAGAGATGGGAAAAGAGCCCCCGGGCTGAATTTCCTTCGCCAATATCAAGCTCTGCTTTCCAAATGTGTGCTGTCTAAGAGGCAGGCAGACAAGCATACCTTGGTCATCATATCTGGGGAGAAAGAAAGTTAGGTGTCAGCTGGCAGGAAAGTAACCCATGCGTGAGAATGGACACTGGCCAGAGGGATTAGTCAATGCTTTAGAGAGGAGATGGCAGAGGAGCTGGGGGCAGAGAGGGAAGAAAGAGACATTCCAGGTGGAGACAATGACAGAAGCAGTGGGCACTGTGGGCCGTGTCCCTTGTTCCCTGACGTGACTGCCCTCCAGAAGGGAGTGGGGACTGTGGGAACATAGAAGAGGGCCACTTCTCTAAATGTTGGGTGATCGGGGGGCTTCCTGAAGAGGAGACCTGCAGGCCAGGTGGGAAGTAGGTATCCGGACAGAGAGGTGGGGAGCATGCTGCAGGCACAGGGCAAGACAAGGAACAGAGGCCATGAGACCGCAGAACTATCTGTCCCCTGCACTAGAGTCATCCAGGGCAGTGACAGCCTGTTGAAGACAACAATTCGTGCAGGGCCTCCTGGACATGTTAAAGGGAGTGGGGTTTATCCCACAAGAGGTAGGGGAGGAATCTGGAGGGGCCAACCCAGGGCTGGTGCCATCAGTCAAAGGTGGACAGTGCCAGGAGGAAAGGAGAGAAGGCACAGTGTGCCGCCCCCACCCCCACCATGTAGGCATAAATCAGAAAGGAGCCCTCGGGGGACCTTATCTTTTGAGGGTCCCTTGTCCTCAGCATGCAGGACTGTGAAGAATATCCAGCAAGGCAAGGACACCAGTGCAGAGGGCCCGGGGCAATGACTGTCCTTTCTTTCTCCTTGCAGGGGGTCCCTGGGAAGCCTGGAGAGCCTGGATTCAAAGGAGAAAGGGTGAGTGGAGAGCACAGGCACCTTGAACACGCCGAACGCGACCTTTGCACAGTGGCCACAGGATGTTGAGCCTGGCCTTTGTCCAAGGCAGTTAGTAAACACCCGCCTGGATCATGCCGCCTGTAGTGATTTTGTTCACTTTTTCCTGGATGATCACCAGCCCCACAAAGGGAGGTTCTTTTCCTCCCAGTATTGTTTGTACTTGATGTTATTATTATGTTTTTCCTTTTTTTCTTTTTGGTTATCATTTTAAGGACTAAAATCATCACAATTAGAGATTCAAAGGCAAGCCTTGGGAGACATTGACAGATTTCTTTCTCCCCGTGTGCGAATGCCCGCCGAGACGGGCTCGGCTCCCGAAGTGCCAATTTGCCAGGAGCCAAATTTGTCGCTGGAGGTGACAAGGGAACAGATTTTCCCATAATGAATTGCCTTGGCGTTATACTCAGAAAGCCTTTCTTTACATTTCATTTCTCCAAAAAACAAGAGGGGAAAAGACTTTTTTTTCTTTTTTTTCTTCTGAAGAGCCTGTGGAAGGCGGACGCGTTCTCACACTCACGACTGCTGCTCCCTTTGGAGGCTTTATGCGTCTCGTTTGCCCACAATCCTGCGTTTGGTCAGCCTCACGCTGTCACACTGTTGCACGACACGGACATGGACGTCCCAGGCACCCCCAGCCCACCCCCGCTTGTTTTCCATGGTCCTGAAAAGAATTTATCTCGGCTTTCTTCGCAAGTGGGGTGGGTGGGGAGCCGGCTGGCTTCTCCCACAGCCAGAGGAGTGAGAAAAGTGGGGGCAGAGTCTCAGGGATTCTCCCCCCTGGATCTTCCTCCTGTCTCCTTCCCATGACTTTGATTCCTCTATCCCGTGGCTGTTGGTTCCTGAGCGATGGAGCCAGGGACATGAGGGACATGTGGCTGAGAAGGCGTTGATGTTCCCCCCCGAGAATGCGACTCAGGCAGCCGTGGGAGCTACTGGCACAGGATATGGGCTTGAATTTCGGTTGAGAGCCAAGGAACTCAGACCACCAATGGCATCTCTTCTTTAATACCTAATCAATAGGCGGAGAGCTTGCCTTTTCCCTGTTAAGTGCTTTCATGGCACATTGCCAGGGAGCCATTAGACTACCCTTTTCTTTGTACTCCTGGGAACATTTGAAATATGGGATAAGTCCTGTCACCACAAAGTGATTGTGAGATATTTAATGAATAGAAAATTCTGTACCATGCATGAGATAGGGCCTTAGCATCCAGGTGTACAAATATCAGGACTTTACTAGACCCCTGAATTCAAGATCACTGACAGAGATTGCAACGTCCTGTGAAATGCATCACGCTTGGAAAATTGAAGTGACTTCTTTGGACCTGGCTACATTATTATTTTTGAATTCACTGATTTTGGGTTATTGTTGAAATATTAAAAGCAATACAGGTACATTGTTCAACAGTGAAAATTGCAGGACAAGTGAATGCAATGAAAACTTTGTGCCCCTTCCATCTCACCCCTTAGCCCCATCTCCTCTCCAGGGTCCATCACAGGGCTTTGGCTTTTTATCTTTTCAGAGGGAGTCTGTGCACACAGAATTGTGTGTGGTGTGTGTTATAAATGTGCATTTACCTTGTATTTAACCCCCTCCCCACTCTGAGCATGTCAGACGTTATCTATTGTCTCACTCCTTGCATTTTTCATTTAAGTGCGTATGTTAGAGACGGTTTGGTGACTGCACTGTTTTCCTTTTCTGTGGCTCTGGGTCACGTTCTCAGCCATGCCACACATTTACGATTACCATCTGGTGTCTCTTCTTTTTCTCCCTGTGCCTCCCTTTCTCAGCTACATCCCAGCAATGGAGTTCCATTATCTCTGAGGCCATTAATGTGGCTGCCATATTTTCAGACCAACTAATCATTTGAACTTGCTGGTCAAACACACAGTAGCACATAAAGGCAGAGGACTGGACTGCCCTGGGCTTGCCATAGTTCCCAAATCATTGGTCCCGCACTTCCAGCTCTGGGTCAGCTGTGGGGAGAGATGAGCCCTAGGCAGTGTTGGAGGCCATTGGATAATCCTCTGTGAACTCCTTAGAGCTGAGAGAAAGGAGAGAGAGATGACCTGGGAGGGAGACACCTCTGTTGAGAGAGGACCACTGTCTCTCTAGAGAGCAAAACCAGGCCATAAAGGGGTCAGCAGCTCCACCATCAGTCTCAGTTGCCAGGGCCAGCCTTCTCCAGGCAGCCCGAGGAGCTGCACTCTTGGGATTGAGAATAGGATTGGAATTCCGCAATCAACATTCTTATCCTGTTCTCTATAGACTACCTGTGTGACCATGGGCTGGTGGCTTTCTGTCTCTGTGCCTTGCATGTTTTCTTTTTTCCTTTTCCTTTCTTTTTTAAAAAACAGAGTCTCACTCTGTCACGCAGGCTAGAGTGCAGTGGCATGATCATAGTTCACTGCCGTCTCAAACTCCTGGCCTCAAGCGATCTTCCCACCTCAGCCTTCCAAGTAGCTGGGACTATAGGCAATTGCCACTGTACCTGGCTAGTTTTTTTAAAAAAAATTTTGCTAATGATGGAGTCATAACATCTTGCCCTGGCTGCCCATGTTTTTGTTTTGTTTTGTTTTGTTTTGTTTTGTTTTTTGAGACAGAGGCTTGCTCTGTCGCCCAGGCTGGAGTGCAGCGGTGCGATCTTGGCTCACTGCAACCTCCGCCTCCCGGGTTCACGCCATTCTCCTGCCTCAGCCTCCTGAGTAGCTGGGACTACAGGCACCTGCCACCACGCCCGGCTAATGTTTTGTATTTTGTTTAGTAGAGACGGGGTTTCACAGGGTTAACAAGGATGGTCTCGATCTCCTGACCTCGTGATCTGCCTGCCTCGGCCTCCCAGAGTGCTGGGACTACAGGCGCCTGCCACCACGCCCGGCTAATTTTTTGTATTTTTAGTAGAGACAGGGTTTCACCGTATTAGCCAGGATGGTCTCAATCTCCTGACCTCATGATCTGCCAGCCTCAGCCTCCCCCATATTTTCATTTGTACAATCAGGACAGTGCATGTGATGGATTCTGGGGCTCTTCTCACCCCAAGCCACACATGGGCCACCCAGGGCCAAGGTCTCCCTTTCAGTGATCTAAGAGGCAGACTGGGGGAACCCCTTTTGCAGCTGCATGGGGTACAGCTTCCAGCCCTGAGACACATGCTGACATGCTTATTTCCTCCTTAGGGAGATCCTGGGATCAAAGGTGACAAAGGACCTCCTGGTGGAAAAGGCCAGCCTGGGGACCCTGGAATCCCAGGCCACAAAGGCCACACAGGCCTGATGGGTCCCCAAGGACTACCTGGGGAGAATGGACCAGTTGGACCCCCAGGGCCTCCAGGCCAGCCGGGATTTCCAGGACTGAGGGTAAGGATGCTAATATGGCTTTGGACTCGGGGCTCCTCGGGGCCTAAGGGGGAGCCAGGGAAGTGTGTGGACTTCAGAGGCACCAGTTTACAGATCCCAGTCTTCTAGTGACTGAAGGTATGACCTGGGGCAGGCTACTTTTCCTCTCTGAATCTGCCGTTCCTTGTCTGCAAAAAGGGAAAACAAAATCCTCTTCTGATTTATGATGATCAAGTGAAATAACGTGTCTAGCTTAAGAAATGCTCAAAAATAGTCCCTCTTCTGTTCAACCCTCTTCCTCGTGGTAATGAATCCTTAAGACTTAATTTCTTGGGCTGTAGAACTCTTCTGCCCAGGACCTTGTGCAAAAGGCAGTTGAGAAGACACCCAGCTCCCAGGGGTCTGAACTTCACTGTGGGATGGTTTACCATCCATTTCGATGCCTGGCTATGCCACTCTTGTATCTGCCGACCTAGAGTACTCCTTCGTCCCCCTGCGTCTCTCTTTCTCCAAAGCTGGGAACAAGGGCTTATTTAGAGTGATGATGGTTTTTTCTTTCTTTAAACATCCTTTATTCTAGTAGCAGCACTTTCATTTTACACAATCTCATGACACAGGCATACACGGGCTATAAAAAGATAAACGCAGAGATCCCCTGGTGGAAGTCCATGTGACCACTCCTTCCGGCTCAACAGCCCATATGGTCTTCTGGAGACCCTCATATTTCTCAGAGCCCAGGTCTGGATGACCTCCATGTCCCTGCCACTTCTGATGCTCTGCAGTCGCGTCAGTTCCTGGTGGCTGTGGTCAGCCTGGGTTTCAGGTGCCCTGAAAGACGCCAGGCAGCCAGAGCCTGTCTCTTGGCCAAGTCAGTGGAGAGGCTGGAGCACTCAGCTGACTTCCAAAGCCCTCTTGGAGCTTTGCCAAGTTCTGCCAGTCCTGCTGCTATGGGCGGTGATGAGAATACTGGGACTAACATAGAAGATTCTTGGTCAGAATAAAAGAATAAGGAAACAGAATCTATCTCATGCCAGGTATGGGGCTACAGAGATGAGCACCGTAAGACCCCTGCCCTTGAGGGGTAGACAGTGCCCTGGAGCAGTCAGGCAGGAAGGGACCAGCTCTGTACAGCCTGAGGACAGCTCCTCTAAGTTCTTCTAAGAATCACATACCACTCTTTGAGCTTGGAGACAACACTTGCTCCTCTGGTTGTCAAACTCATCAGCTTCTGTGGACCAAGCACCAGGACTTGGTGAGAAAGTTGTTTAGAGCCACAGTGGACCTAAGCAGGGAAAACCAGAGCATGGGAACCAGAGTGGCCAAGTAGCCAGGCAGGGGAAATCCACATGAGTTCACATAGAAGGCAGCCTGTAGGCTATGTCCAAAAGGTGGACACAACTTTGGCAGCAGAGATTAGGGGCCAGATCTCCCAGGTCCAGTGCGAAGAAGGGAATATGAGTGGAATTAATGGGCACAGTGGCTTCAGCAGGAAGGAAATCCAGTGAATACGCTGGAAGGGTATGGAAGGAAGGGCAGTAGTGGCTCAGAGAGCCCAGAGTCCGGGTTGCTGTGTAAAATGGGATGATGCTGCCTGCATAACAGAGAAGAGAGGAAGGGATTAGAGATGTGGAAAAGATTGGGCTAGGAACATGTGCTTCCCTGTGTGGGTATATACCACCTACGAACTTCCTGGTTTCCCAAGTCCTCAGGGTTCTTAGGTGGCAGAAGTTACTGGGAAGATGAATGACTCCACCTTCCCTCCCTCCTAGGGGGAGTCTCCATCCATGGAAACCCTGCGTCGGCTTATTCAAGAAGAGCTGGGGAAGCAGCTTGAAAGTGAGTATCTGGACTGTGTTACGGTCTTGCAGAGAAGAGCCCAGGAAGCAGTTCTCTCACTCAGCCTTGAATGCTTTTGCATCCTGGAATAAGAAAAGCACTTGACCGGCAGCTCAAGTGTAGACTATCAGGGTTGGGGAATGCCCTGAAGACTGTTCTGTCCTTTATCTGACACATACTTTCTCTAGGACTAGTCCTTCAGCTTTCACTTGGTTACCTCTAGTGAAGGAGAGCTCACTATCTACAAAAAGAGCTCTGCTATGATCAATCATTTATTCTGTGCATTGAGCCATTTATCTAGTCTGTAAAGAATTTTGTTTAGTTACTGCTATGAGCCTCATGAAACTCACAGTCCAGAGGAGGTAGATAAACAAATAGACAAGATGATTTTAGTAAAGTCAATAGAGGTTCTTAAATTTTATTTGTCACAGCAGGCATTAAAAGAGGACAGATGAACATACCTAAGATAGTTCAGAGGCCAGGGAGTGGATTAATGAAGGCTTCCTGGAGGAGGGGCCATGTGAGCTACAAGTTGAAAGATGAAATGTGACCCCAGGTCTATGGAGCAACATGTATGAAGGCCCTGAGCAGGGCAGGCAGGCCTAGTGCTTTCAAGGAACTAAAATCCTTTCAGTCATGTTGCATTGACTCATTGTTAAGTCCCCAGGTCTAGCATGTGCCTGTGCGTAGCAGATGCTTAGGGAGGGAGGAAGGTAGGAGGATAGTAGTAATCGTGCCAACATGTTGGCATTTGCCAAGATCAGGTGAAGTTCTCAGCACTTGCAAGTGTTAACCCAAAGCAGCCTCCAAACAATCTCATGAGGCTCATGTAATTATTGTAAGAATTGTTAGAAGCAGAATTATTAGGGGCTAAGTAACTTAAGGTTGATGAGCTGGGAAGATCTGGCCAGGATTTGCACCTGGGCAGCCTCACTGAAGGTTCTGTGTTCTTCATCACCAAGCTCTCTTGAACAACAGCCTTTCCCATTCCCTCTGCAATAGGAAGTTAGAGGAGAAGAAAGTCACACAAGTTCTTGTTGCAGCAAAGAAGAGAAATCCATAACTACTTTCCAGGAGCACAAGGACAAAAGGGGAGGGCACGTTTATTCACATGATCATGTCTCAGTTATCTTGCACCTCCCATTGCGAGAGTCTGTGCTGGGAGCAAGGACACAGCTATAAACAAGACGGCCCTCCTTCCTGTCCTCTTGGAGTGTCCAGGGGAACACAGTCCATTTCCATGCAGGAAAAAGAACACGATCTTTTTCCTGTATGGAAATGAGGGCAAAGGGCTGTTTTCTGAAGCACACGTTAAGGAGTGGGTTTTGGGTGGGAGAAGGAGGCGATGAGAGGAGGGAAATAAGGAACAAATTGGTGGGCACCATGGGTGGGTGGTGTTCTGAGGTCTCATGTGTGTAGATCTCTGAGTTCTACCTTCTGAATCCTGGATTCATCAGTGACAGAAATAACCTTTGCTTTTGGGGGATTTCTAGCCCAAGAGCAGAGACAAGAGCCGTTTCAAAATGGTTTGGATAGAGAATCTGCTGGGCTGAGTCCTTTCTTCCAAACAGGCCTTTGAGGAAGGAGCATCCACTCCACTTTAACGATGAGAAAATCAAGGCTCAGAAAAGTTGAGCAATTTGTCAAGGTCGCAGAAGCCAACCACCTGTCCTCCTGCCACCTTGTGAGAGGAGTAGTAGGAGGGAGACACTCTGGGAAGTGATCAACCAGGCAGTCAGAAGAGCCTGACTCTACCCTGGTTTCCCCTATCAAACGCCGGGGGCCTTGGGTAGCCTCCCAGCCTCTGGTTTTGGTCACACTGTCTGCAAAATAGCAGTTTGGGTCTGATTACCTATGACTGCATGGCTAACAAAGACTGCCCTTGGTGGCCACCAGATGTGCATATATCCCCTGTCCCATTGAAAGGCTGCCAGACCAGCACTGGACCTCTGGGTTTTTTAATCAGTTCTGTCATATTAACATTTTAGATGTATAGGATCTCCAGTGACCATCATGTCCAGCCCTTTAGCTTATAGATGAGGACTTTGACATCGGAGAGGAAAAGTGACCAACATAGCTTTGTGTAAGCCATTTACCTCCTCCACCCCAGCATCAGTTTCCCCAACTGACCATTGCAATTGCTACTGCTGCTACTGCTGTCCATGCTACTATGGCTTCCGTCGTTCTGCGCCTGGGGTAGCAGCCAGCATCTCCTGAGCACTTAGCAAGTGCCAGGCACTATTCCACATGCATCATCTCACTTACTCCATCCTCATTCCAGCCCAGTGGGGTAGGGTGCGGTTTCTTTGTCTCCATTGCGTAGAAAGGGACACCAAGGCTGAGAATGGTCAAGTAGCTTGCTCAAGGCCACCTGGCTGTCCGTGGCTGTCCTGGGATCCCAGCCTGGGCAGACTTGCTCCAGGGGCAGCGATGGTCACTACTGATTAAGTCACCCCATGGCCAGCCGCAATCAGAAGGTGCCCATACAAATGCTGCACATGTGTCATGTGACGTGTCATTGATGTTGTTTCTGCAGCTATTATCGGCCCCTTGGTTCTGAGTTGTCAGTGAGTAGCCATCCTGTCCTATGTCCGTTTCTGCAGCTATTATCGGCCCCCTGGTTCTGAGTTGTCAGTGAGTAGCCATCCTGTCCTATGTCCACTATCTGTTCTTCATGAAATGCCTCTCTTTTTCTACTTTACAGCCAGACTCGCCTACCTCCTGGCCCAGATGCCCCCGGCGTACATGAAGTCATCTCAAGGCAGACCTGGGCCCCCAGGGCCCCCTGGAAAAGATGGGCTTCCAGGCCGGGCCGGCCCCATGGGGGAGCCAGGTCGTCCTGGGCAGGGGGGTCTGGAAGGACCCTCTGGACCCATAGGTCCCAAAGGTGAGTGAAGACCTGGAGGAGATATGCTCCGTGTACTCCTGGAGGGCGGAGAAGGAACAGGGCTGGGAGGTGGCACTGCATGCATTATTCATGCCACTCTCATTCCCTGTAGCTTGGTAACACCCAGAGTTTTGGCATCATATAATTTTATCATATGCATAAGAGGCTTTCATACTTGACATTTTTACAAAATTATGCTTCTGCTAGGAAGATTGAATCAGTTCCTTCCTACTTTCTTGTTCTCTCTCCATCTCCGCTGCTCAAGTTTCAGGGAGGTAAACAACATGCCTCCTTTTTCCCCTACTGAGTTTAGCACTGAGGAATAAGACATTTAATCTCAATGGAGATTAAATGCCAGCCTTAAAATTGGAACAAAACAGCTGTTAACTGCCCAGGTCTCAAGGCAGTGACTTATCAGGACATCAGAGCTCCAGCCAACAGAAGGTCTCTCCTTCAAAGGGCGGAGGCCATATGATTTAACTCATCACACAGTGGCAAACAGGTCAGAAGAAGCCAAGTGTCAGCAGAACACTTACTCTCTCTGCAGGAAGACAGATGTGAGAGAGAGAGGAAGGATTAAAAAATAAATTTAAAAACTTTTTTTTTAACAAAAGGTTTTTTTTTAAAAAAAAAATTTACTTCAAGTTCTGGGATACATGTGCTGAACGTGCAGGTTTGATACATAGGTATATATGTGCCATGGTGGTTTGCTGCACCTATCAAACCGTCATCTAGGTTTAAAGCCCTGCATGCATTAGGTATTTGTCCTAATGCCCTCTGTCCCCTTGACCCCCACCCCCCGACAGGCCCTGGTGTGTGATGTTCCCCTCCCTGTGTCCATGTGTTCTCATTGTTCAGCTCCCACTTATGAGTGAGAACATGCCGTGTTTGGCTTCCTGTTCCTGTGTTAGTTTGCTGAGAATCATGGCTTCCATCTTCATCCGTGTTCCTGCAAAGGACATGAACTCATTCTTTTTTATGGCTGCATAGTATTCCATGGTGTATATGTGCCACATTTTCTTTATCCAGCCTATCATTGATGGGCATTTGGGTTGGTTCCAAGTCTTTGCTATTGTAAATAGTGCTGCAATAAACATACGTGTGCATGTCTCTTTATAGTAGAATGATTTATAAAAGGTTGTTTAAAAAATATTTTATCTATTTTTTTAAGCTTGCCTGCTTTCAAATAGCTTATATAATTAATAATAATTTTTGAATAAGGCAATTTCAAATAAAGATAAAAGACAGGAGACCAGCCCCATAATTCACTCCTGTCCGACCG
This sequence comes from Homo sapiens, assembly GCF_000001405.40. NCBI lineage: Eukaryota > Metazoa > Chordata > Mammalia > Primates > Hominidae > Homo > Homo sapiens. Next base: position 138,592,734 of record NC_000008.11, on the reverse strand, counting down.
ATTAGGAATAAGCATGGGGCAGGGAAAGGAGCATGTGGTGTCATTTTAGCTGCTCTGGAGTGACTTGGAGTTAGGGAGATGAATGCTTCTAACATTGTCCTCTTTTGATCTCCCATTTTCTTACTAATTCTTAATTTGCTTATCCATTTCCTATAATGTTTCTCCTACTTGAAAGGCTTTTTGTTAAATTTGTATATTCTAGTCCTACTCATGTGATTTCATAAAACAAAATATATAAAATAAATGTCAATAAGAAAGCATAAAACAGAGAACATCAGATTGTGGCAGAATACTGACCAAACACGATTATTATAACAATAAAAATGAATGGTCTGAAGTCCCCGTGAACCAGCAGAATTTCAATTGGGGTTACAAGAGAAAATACACTGCATGCAGCAGATATTCAAGAAACAATATGGCAAAACAAGTGATTGATTTAAAAAACAAGGGTGAGAGACAGTTTAATCCAATCTCCACTATCTTCATTCAAATATGATCTCAAGTGTCCTCCCAGAGAAAATGGATCACTCTCTCCTCTGCATGTCTGTAGTGTTTTTTTGAAATTCCTATGATGGCATTTATCGCATTCTGTTTCATACTAGAATGTTCTTCTTGCCCTATTTGATTTCTCTTATTGAATTTCAAGCTTCTTGAGAGTAGAGCTGTGTGTTACTTATCACTGCACATGCCCACATGCGTGTTGAATTGGTTATATACCATCCAGTTTCTTCCTGACAAAGGTTCAGGTACAATGCTTTGAAAACACAGGAAGCATAGACATATAAGAGGAGATGCATGCGGACTTCTGTGTGTACGGCATATGAGAGAGTGTGTAGGTGTGTACATTTGTCTGAATGAGTCAGTATGTGAATATGAGTGTATGTATACAGTTGTTAATATGGTTTGAATATATATATGTCTGTATGGAATTGGGTAGATACGTGCTTGAGCAAATGTTCATATGTAGATATGTGTTTAGGAGGGAGTGTTTGTTTATTTTGGTGATTCCATGTGCATACTTCTGAATGTGAGTGTGTGCTGGAGTGTGTGTGTGAATGAGTGTGTGAGTGGGAATTGGGGTCCTGTGCGGCATGAGTGTGTGTGCTCAGGGTGGTTTAGACTGGAATGCCACAGCAGCCCAGTGCTGCCCCTGCACCTCCCGCAAGGTGGGACGCCCAGTTTCTGTCCTCCCCGGGGGTCTCCACCATCAAAAGTGCATGTTTTTCTTCCCAGGTGAGCGAGGAGCCAAAGGTGACCCAGGTGCACCTGGAGTTGGCCTCCGAGGCGAGATGGGACCCCCTGGAATCCCAGGTATGACTCATTCTGCAGTCTCAGGGGTAGGGTGTGAGCTACCCTGGAGACCCAGCACCCCTGCCCGTGGCCCCACAGGACTCAGCAGTGAGCGGAGAGGAGGGCTTAGGCTCTACAGATGAGGAGGAGACAGAGATCACTCACTTGGTTTCATTAAATATTTCTAAAATACGACCTTCTTGACTTACTAAGAAAACTGTAGTGTATTCTATGAATTGTTGAAGTGTATCCCGCGAGTTTAAAATTTCATGAAATGGTCCTGGGAAAAAAAAATTGACTTGGGCTAAATCAGGAACTGCTGGGGACTGTGTTTCTCTTTCAGACATTTCTGGTGCACATTCACTATTGTAAGTGCTAAGGACTCTCGCATTAAAAAATGTGTCTGTTTTGTTTAACCTAGCACTTTCGAAATTCACTTGAAAGAGAAGTCCTTTTTCTTTCACTATACAGTTGTTAATATCCTTTTAGTATTTCTCAGAATATGTTTTGGGGAATGCTCACCCAGTGGTAGGGTGGTTAGCTGTCCCAGGGCTGAGGATGTTTCTGGGAACAGAGGATTTCAGTTTTAAAGCCAAGACATGACTTGAGAAAACTGGGGCAAGTTGGTCATGCTACCCAGTAGCCATGTTGGAAGATCTCTGCAATGCAGCAATAATCACATTCCAGAATTAGATGTATAGGTAGAAGGTAGAAGAAATTTGACTTTTGAGGCTTCTATTTTTTATTTAACTTTAATTTCTGTGTTTGCCTGAGGTCAAATCTGAATATTGATCTTATAGAGAATTTCGATTTTAGTATTTATACCTTCATGATTTTCCAAATTTTCTAAAGTGGATATTTATTATTATTTTTGTTAGATAAGATAATTAGAAATACATTATTAATATTTATTTTTATGGCTCACCTATTTTCAAATAGCTTACAATATTAAGAATAACTTTTAAAAGAAGGCAATTTCAAATAAAGAGTAAATGGCAGAACAGAAACCATTTAAAAGGAGGAAGTAACTGTACCAATAATTATCCCATTTCAGTGGCTCTTAGCCCAAGGAATGAATAACACTGAGGCCTCAAAACTTGATCTAGGCAGGATTATAGATTAAATAGCTATTACCAAAGCATTAATAGAGTTAGTGAAATATCTACAGATCTTTTTAAGTAAAAAGTTTACTTTGTGTTTATTTTATATGATATTTTCTGATAAGACGATTACTAAGACATAAGAAGGGATGTCACTACTAGGGTTAACCACAAGGCTTAGCACTGACCTTCCGAGTTGCCAAAGGTAAGAAGAAAGATAGGTTGATTATATATGATGTCATGATGCTTACTAAGTGAAAGGATAGAAGTTTGTCTATAGGCAATATTTTCTGGGTCTCAATTTTGGACTATTTTAAGTGTCACTTACTTGCATCCTAGATGTTGTCTTTGGCCATGATTTTACAGAATAGCTTAATGTAATCCAAATATGTGGTTCAAATTTAATGTGTAGATAAAGCTGAGAAAATACAGATTTGGAACAAGTTGGATGTTACACAATGGAATGTCACCAGGTGTCTCTAAGGTCATGTGAATTGGGGCTGAGGGTTAATGATCAGGACTTGGTGTCCACTCTCCACTCAGACTCATTCCCTAGACCCATGTAAGAACCCAGAAGGCCAGGTCTCTCATCTGACTCTTCAGTGGAGAAATATGCCCTACCTGGTCTCAATCTACCCTTGTTTCTTTCTCTCCAGTGGTACCTGGATTACTATCCTAGGTCAAATAGTTAAAGCAACCCCTTCTTCTACATATTGAGGTGCTCCTGCTACCTGGTGTTTATGTGGACCACTCTAGTTGCTCAGAGCTCCCAGACCATGGGGATGCTCTGTCTGAGGACGTTTCAGGTCCTGAGTTCATAGTGAATGGAAGCTGTGAGTTCAGGGCCCATCCCCTCCCAGAAGGATCTTGAACCACCTTCTGTTTCTTTTGCTCCTTGGGCCAGGTCAACCCGGGGAACCTGGCTATGCTAAAGATGGACTTCCTGGGATCCCTGGCCCTCAAGGGGAGACAGGACCAGCTGGACATCCTGGCCTCCCAGGACCTCCCGGTCCCCCAGGCCAATGTGACCCTTCCCAGTGTGCCTACTTCGCCAGCCTTGCTGCCCGGCCGGGTAATGTGAAGGGTCCCTAAAGGACTCTGGAAAGCCAGAAGACTGCAGTGGATTTCTGAAACTTGAACTCAGAGCCCAGTGGGAAGCCAGAGGTCTTGAAAGACTTCAGCCATGTGTTCCTTTTTTTTTTCTTTCTTTTATCGTTTGCTTTTTGTTTTATTTTCTTGAGAGACCTCAAAATTATTAAATCCAACAGACGCTGCCGGTCGGTCAGATTATTATTAATATTATTGTTGTTGTTAATTATTATTATTATTTCATATGCTGATGCTTTGTGAGTTCTTTTCCACTCCTTTAAAGTTGGGAAAACTTGATTCGTGGGGCAGGAGATTGTTTCTTCATTCTTCTGACAGCCCCCATCTGACGCGTAACTGCCCATTTTAAGGAAACTCTTGGTGCTACAAAACCCTGACCAGACACTTGGCAAATTTACCTCTTTCTTCAAAAGAAAAACTTTAAGAAAATGAGCCAATGGGCTTCATTCTCAGTCATGCCCGGAGATCACCCAGGAGAAATAATACAAACACCACCACTGTCCAGAGAGAGTAAAGAAGCAGAAAGAGAAAGAATTTGCAACCATGAGGAATGTTCCCACCTCCCGACGGGACGTGCATTTGGAAAACACAGAATCAGCCCTCAGGGTGCACTCCAGCCACCTCAGTGCTCTAAGCTCACAGAAGTGAAATAATGTCTGTGGGTTGGCAATGGCTTTGTGGGATCATATGTCTTGGCCAAAGATGGGAAAACCTATGTTGAAGAGGCAGCCCTTGAGTGTTAATTTGTCTTCTAAACTGTGTAAGGCCCCTTCAAGTTCCTCTTGTTGGTTTCAATTATATTAATTATAAAACAAGTGGATGTGGTGACCATCCACTTGTGTTTCCCTAATGATGGGCAGTTGGCCAGGGCACTGACCAGAGCTGGGAAATTTGTATCTCCAAGGCGGCTCTGTCTCTGAAATAAATGGCATCAAGTGCATGTGTGTATGCGACATGCCCTGCCTGAACAGGTGCTCAATAAATCCAAGTTTCCTTCTCTTGAGTTCCTCTTGATGATTGATTTCTTGTATTCGACTTCCACCTGAATGTGAACTCCTCAAGCACTGGGATGTATCTTTTTCTTGTGAGAACCGTAGCACACAGTCCACATGTTCAGCCCACCTGGTGAATGAACGAGGGAGTGAATGTGTGTGCCAGACTGAGCTAGTCCAGGGCCGTTCATTAGCCTCCCTTCATATGGAAGCAGACATTTAGATGTGCACATTTATGCAGGATCACAGTGGGGAGGGAGTGAAGCAAGTTGGAAGGTTTTAGCAGAACCTTTCCTGTTAAACTGCATCTAGAGGCCAAATGAGTCACCAATACTCTTCCTGCATTTGTTCTTGACTGACAGATTGACTGGTGGACCGACTGATCGATCCATTGATTCATCCATTCATTAATTTGTCCATTCACCCAAGCTGTTAGCCACTTACAGACTAAAGCAGTAGATGTTTATCAAGAACTTCCTTTGTGTGATCCCCTGTTCTGGATGCCTCTAATTGATTTAGAAACTGGGAACATAAACATTTCAAGAAGTTTGATGTTTCCATGGGTAAAGAAGTATTATTGCAATGATTTAAAAATGAAATCTGATACCCATTCCTTGTGTTCAGTCAGCTGGTGCTGATTCTGGGGCTGGATGGGTGTCAGGGGTCCAAAAGAAGCCATTCCTGTTGGTGCAGAATGAGACAGCCTCCCTCTCAGTCTTTCTCACGTTTACCATCTCAGTTGGTTTTCACAACCATTGAAGATGCAGGGGTATTACTCTAATACCCTTTTTCATTTGAAGAAACTATCTCAGGGACCTCAGAAATACTCTCATCCAGTGACTTTTAACATTTTCTGACCATGACCCACAGTAAGAGGTGTAATTTCTTAGTGACTCAGTACATGCATACATATATAAAGCAAGGGTTTTGAAATAAAATATCTACCTGATCAAGTGTGCTTGATCGAACATTTACTATTCTATTTCATTTTTATTGTTGTTGTATGAAATAGACTAAGTTTTAGAGCAGTTTTAGATTCACAGCAAAATTAAGAGGAAGGTACAGATTTCCATGTGCTCCCTGCCCACCCCCAACCACCCACATACACACACAGCCTCCCCCACCCACCCACCTTCCAAATCCCACACCCTAGCGGTACGTTTGTTACAGTTGATGAATCTACATTGACACGTCACTATCACCCAACATCCACAGTTGACATGAGGGTTCACTCTTGCTGTTGCACACTTTATGGGTTTGGACTAATGGATACTGATATGCCATTATCCACCATTATAAGATCATACAGAAGAGTTTCACTGCCCTAAAAAGTCTCTGTTGTCTGCCTCTTCATACTCCTCTTCTCTCCTAACCTGTGGAAACTGCTGGTTTTTTAAAATTGTCTCCATAGTTTTGTCATTTCCAAAATATCTAGTTGGTATCATACAGCCTTTTCAATTTAGCTTCTTTCACTTAGTATTTTGCATTTAGATTCCTCTGTGGCTTTTTCTTGGCTTAATAACCCCCTTTTTTTTAGTGCTGAATAATATCCCATTGCCTGGAAGTTTCAGAATTTATCCATTTACCTACTGAAGGGCATCTTGGTTGCTTCCAAGATTTGGCAGTTATGAATAAAGCTGCTATAAACATATCTGTGCAGGGTTTTGTGTGGATGTGATTATTCAACTCCTTTGGGTAAATACCAAGAAGCACAATTGCTAGATCGCATGGTAAGAACATGTTTAGTTTTGTAAGAAACTGCCAAATTGGTCTTCCAAATAGCTGCATCCTTTTCCATTCCTACCAGCAGTGAGTTTCTGTTGCTCCACCATCTCACCTGCATTATGTGCTGTTAGTGTTTGGGATTTTGGTCATTCTAATAGGTGCGTAGTGGTATCTCATTGTTGCTTCCATTAGCAATCTCCTAATAACATGATATCCAGCATATTTTCATATGCTTATTTTCCACTTGAATATCTTCTTTGGTGAAGTTTATGTTCAGATGTTTTGCCCATTTTAAAAAATTAAGTTGTCTGATTTTAATTTTTGAGTCTCAAGAGTTTTCTGTATATTTTAGGTAAAAGTTCTTTGTCAGAAACCTGGCAGTCACAGGCCTGAAGTTCCCAATTACTGGTACAGGGTGAGGTGTTCACCTGCCAGGTGGGACCAGAGGTCAACAATGTGAGCTGGACAGAAAACCAACCCAAATGTGTTGCATTGAAAGGATGGCTTTTCATTCTGAGACTGGAATCTCTCTAATTTTTAGGGTTTAAAATGACTCATACTGTGAGAAATAATAGTGAGAGAAAGAGAATGTGGGGTGTGTGTGTGTATGTGTGTGTGTGTGTAGAGTAATATTTACTTCTTTGTTTTTTATATCCTTACTTGACAAAATAAAGATCTGGCTCACCTCCCTTATATAGTTCCCAATAATTATTATTTTGTAATTAGCAGTTCGTAATTCCCACACCTGGGAATATCTGGTGTAATCCAAATCCTTATTTTTCCCCCACAAATGGGAAAAACAAGGCTCAGAAAGAAAGAGTGATTTTCCCAAAATTCTAAGTGTGGAGCCCAGTATTTGGATACAAGAGTTCATACCACTTCTCTGGTGAGTCCCTTGATATGCCTGATGGTAAAAATTCATAGGGGAACTTTATTTATAACAGTATAGATTCTAGGGAACTATTCCAGAACCACTGAATCAGGGTCTCTGGGAGATGGTATGGAATAATCAGTGTTTGAAGTCTCCCCAGCAGATTTTAGAGATCTCTGCCCTACCCACACTTCCTTTGCTGTCTCCCTCCCAGGCTAAGCACCATTGAGGCCTCCTGCTGCTCAGTTTTCCTGAGTCCCATATATTTCAACCCAAACCTTGGGGCTCAGTGTTTAGGTAAACCCAGAACAGGACTCAGATGTCCCCACAGATTTTGAGATCTTCAAAGATGAGATGCTTCATCCTCACTACTGTGAGCTTGGAAAGATGCTTTCCTGGGTTGGGAAGAAACAGATAATTCACTCAAGTGGCCCAAGGAGTTGGGCTCAAACCTGGAGTGACCAGCACTTTCTAGGCAGCCCTTCCTACTTGCTTTCTGCCAACTGCTACAACCTGAGGGTCCATCTCTGCAAACCCCTTCTTTCTTAGAATGCCATAGGGTAGGTACAGAAAGAGTTGATTCTGTGTTTTGGAGAAACTCAGCACCTGGTTCAGTAGATGTTCAATAAATACACAGCAGATATTCAATAAATAATGGATGAGACCAGGGGTTTCCCAAAGACCTCCGAGGTGTGTTTTGGGATACCTGGGCCCACATGGGGTTTCTCCCATATAGGGTTGGTCATACAAGCTCACTCCTCTTCCAGCTGGAGGAAGGGGAATGAGTAGAATTCTGCCATATTGGCCTTGGCTCAGGGACCACTTTGCCTTCTGCGCAGGGCACCTGCATGCTTTCTTGTTGGGGGCAGGTTGGTGACCGGCAGCCCTGGCTTCTGTGGTCTAGGACTTGGAAGAACTTCCCCAGCTTGAGTGCAGCCAGGCTGCAGTGCTGGGTGACCCCCGTTCATTTGTTGATTAGCCTCTCTCTGATCCCTAAGAACTGCCCAGCTGCTTGGCTTTAGTGTTGCAGCCCATCCCTTTGCCGCCCAGTGCACTCCAGTTGCTCAAAACTGGAGACATCAAAGGAATAACCAAGTAACCTCAGTTTCCTCCTCCATTAACTAAAATTGACAACATTAATTCACAGGATTTGGGTGAGGATTAAATTTTTTAAAAGTAGGGCAAACTAAACCATCCTTTACAAGAGTCTCTTTGCCACCCTTTAAGAACACTTGAGTCAACTTTGCTCATTTGTTTACTTTAATTCAAGGAGAGGAGCACTTCTTTTTAAACCAGTGGGTGCTTACCTATTTTTCAAAGCATGTTCCTTTAAGCTTTATCATTTGTTCCTTGCAACACAACTGTGATGGGCCAGGCATAGATCTTTGCCCTTCCATTCATTAGGAAACTGTCAGAGGGGTGAGGCAATTTGCCCAAAGTCATGCACAAATCTCCCGTCTCCCACTCCCTGGAGAATGCCCCACCTCCCTACACTGTGACACAGGACACAGAAGCATGCTCTAAGCCAGCAGACAGCAGCCTCACTCTGGGCCACCTTTGTCTATGTCCCTCCTGGACTCTCCTGGTGAGGTGAAGAGAGCTGACACTAACCTGTGTTTTTCAGAAATGTTCTCCAGGGCAAAGGAGAAGCTGTTCATTAAATCATTAAAAGGAGGGAGGGTGTATTTCTGGTTGCATCTTTGACGTGGTTGAGGACACGCTATTTTAGGGGCATAATTTTGTTTCTCTTCCTTTTCTTTTCTTACCAATTTTGAACATTTGTCTTCAGGTTGCTTTGATGGTGCTATTTTGTGAAGCTAGGGTTATGAGGGTAGTGTATGTGGTTGAAGATAGTGGGCTATCTGCGAAGCTGGCTTGAAAGTTCATTTCGGAAGAGAGGGAACATGGGGTAAGTGATGTATCTGTTCTCCAGATACTGAGGCCTGAAAAGGCACAGACAATGAAGTAATACCAGACACAGACATTTCCAGACCAACTAATTCCCCATTTCTTTTTATTATTATTATTATTCTTTAAGTTCTAGGGTACATGTGCACAACGTGCAGGTTTGTTATGTATGTATACATGTGCCATGTTGGTTTGCTGCACCCATTAACTCGTCATTCACATTAGGTATTTCTCTTAATGCCATCCCTCCCCCCTCCCCCAACCCCACGACAGGCATTGGTGTGTGATGTTCCCTGCCCTGTGTCCAAGTGTTCTCATTGTTCAGTTCCCACCTATGAGTGAGAACATGTGGTGTTTGGTTTTCTGTCCTTGCGATAGTTTGCTCAGAATGATGGTTTCCAGCTTCATCCATGTCCCTACAAAGGACATGAACTCATCCTTTTTTATGGCTGTGTAGTATTCCATGGTGTATATGTGCCACGTTTTCCTAATCCAGTCTATCATTGATGGACATTTGGGTCAGTTCCAAGTCTTTGCTATTGTGAATAGTGCCACAATAAACATACGTGTGCATGTGTCTTTATAGTAGCATGATTTATAATCCTTTGGGTATATACCCAGTAATGGGATTGCTGGGTCAAATGGTATTTCTACTTCTAGATCCTTGAGGAATTGCCACACTGTCTTCCACAATGGTTGAACTAATCTATACTCCCACCAACAGTGTAAAAGTGTTCTAGTTCCCCATTTCTACAAGCATTCCTCCTAAGGTGTTCTTGGTTATTGTCTTCACTAGTTACAATCCTGATGTTTGGGAAAAAAGGAGTGAGAATGAGGAAGGTTAGCCTTGTTCTGAGAGGCATGCTTGGCTAAGAGGCCTCACACTGACAACTTGACCTTTGGCTGCATAGTTAGCCAGGATCCTTTGTGTGTGGCAGGACAAGCTGTTGCCATGGAGACATTTGTGAGGTTGTTTGGCCTGGTCTCACTTTGGTTCCCTTCTGGAATGCCCCCTGTCGTCAGTGAAGAATAGAGAAGTTGGCAGGGATGACAGAGCTCCCTGCCACTCAGAGCGGGGCTATTCTCCATGGTCCGAGTGGGTGGGGCATAGTGGGCAAACGACAGTCCTTCACTCTGAGCAAACACGGGTCAGGTGCTGAGGATCCGACAGTGAACAGGATACAGGCCCATTCTCAAGGAGCTCGCAGTCTAGGAGACTGGTCTATAATTAACTCCCAAAGAGTGTTTCTGGGCAACACATACAGAGACAGACATGCATGGAACAGAATCTGGCAATTGAATTTGATTAGAGCTATAAATAAAATTTATAGGTATTATAGAAGACTCCACAGTAGAAATAAAGATACTATCATCTGCCAGTGAGCATGCCCACTGAGTGCCTGGGGCCTCACACACTTTCTCTCACCACAGTCCTGGGGAGCAGGTGCTTTTCGCCCCATCTTCACAGGGAAGGACTTAGCGGCAGGGGAGAAGGGCCGCCCCCAGGCTTCACAGCAGCAAGGAGTCAAATCCTGCTATGAAATATGAAGTCTCTGAGGCTTGGCCTCTCGCACCCAACCACCCCACACAACTGGATGTAGGGTGAGGCTGAACCGCATTTGGGACCTCTCCTCATCTTATTCAGGAAATGAGGAGCTCTTCCTTCTGTGGGACTCCACCCTGGGGACCCTTCGGTTCTGTTTTTCAGAATCTTGTTTTCAGGGCATAGGAGTTGTCTGATTTTCACGGGAACCTGTTGAGATGATCCTTTGAGGACATGCAGCAGGCCTGCAGAAGGCAAAATGCACCCTCTCTCAGAAGGGATACATTTAAGGAATTTGATCCCACAGAAGGAATCAGGACACACAACCCCACTCAACTCCCTGCCTGCCATAGCACAACAAGGGTTTCTGAGGGCCACAAGGAGGAATTTAAGCCCACGGGGGTACATTGGAGAATGCTGGGTGGACTTAGCCCATGACACACAAAAAACTATTCCTCTTGGAAAAGCGAACGTCAGATGCCTCACAGCTGAATGTGGACACCTGAAGGGAGAGTCCAAGAAAGGAGTGGATGAGTAAAGTTAGGAGATGGTGGTTCTCAGGGTGGCATTCATGAAAACACTTGGTCAGAAAGGCCCAGAGACAGTGAGCACAGCCATGAAGGACCTGAGCCCCCGCCACGAGAGGTCTTCAAGCAGAGAATGTTCCAGGCACGGCAGGGGCTCAGGACGCACCCTTAAATGGGGTCAGCCTAGGGAAACTGCACTAGCTTCTGGGGATTCATAGTTTAAAGCTGAGGAATGGGGCTTCGTTTTTCGGGAGGATAATGAGAACAGCATGCGGGGTACCAGGTGGTTACTAAGAGAAACATGGTAAAGGAACAGGTCACGTGGCTTGTGTCAAAGAGAATCTTTTAGGTCACAGTTGGGTAGCAGCAGGGGTGGAGTGAGGTGGGGAGAAAAGAGAAGTGACAATGATGAATCATCTTCTACAGGGCAGACATTGGCCTAGACACTGTAGGAACGCTGTTTCATGTGGCCCTCGTGGCCAGCATCTGAGGCAGGAATTGATACTTCTGCGTTTGAAAGATGAAGCATTCAAGACTCAAAGTCGATGCTCCCCAGATCCAGTAGCAGGGGAGTGCAGAGATGGAAGAAGAGCCTGGGTGCTCTCTTTCTTCTTGATGGTGGGGTTGCCCAGAGCTCCAGGTGAAATGAGTTCAAGAGCAGGTGCCACTGGAATGCCAATCCGGAATTGCTGCTGCTTGCAAGATAACACACCAGGAGATGAGGAGGACAGAGGCCCAGCCCCGGCCAAGCTCCAAGGGGACTTGTACTAACCTCTATCCACTGGAATTGAGACGAGGGATGGGAAGACACAGGCTGGGCTGTCATCATCCCAGGTCCTGGATGGGGCTGAGCCTCTTGTATTACCAAGTCTGCCACTGTTCTGGTGACAACCAGGAGCAGCCAGACCTCAGGTCGGGGACAGACCATACCCAGGACCAGCCTGCTGGGACCCCTAAGTAGCCACAGTTCCCTGAAAGGAATTAAGAGAGACAACAGAGAAATAAGTCCCAAGCTAAAGAATACTGAAGCTGTAGGGTGGCTTAGAGACAATTCTGTAGTTGAAACAATTAAAGGTTCAGAAAGGGAAAGCCACTTGGCCAAGATCAAACAGCAAGAAGGTGCCCTCAGACTGCAGATGGCTGCCATGCCCGTGAAACATGTTGACCATTTTTTAAATTCAGCACCTTGATTTTTGCCTTAATTTATATTTGACTTCTTCATGAGGCATAACATCTGTATTTTTAAATCAGATGATAAAATGAAAATAAGATGATTACACTGAAAAATGTGTCTATCCATGTCCACCAGTGGGCTATGAACACCCTTAGACGGACACCACTGGAAAGAACAGTGTGGGGTAAGGGATCAGACAGAACCAGTGTCCAGTCAATTACTAGTCCCCAGAAGAAGGCACCTGACTTCTCTGCCTGCAAGCAGGGAGACGTAATCCTGACCCCCAAGGGTTTTAGTGAGGTTTATCGGAGATGCTGTGAAGGACACAATTTTAAGTCCAGACAGGATCAATAAAGGGTGCTCTGTGAAGCCAGGTTAGTGCTGAAGGCAAAGAAAGAAACTGGCAACACTGATCCTTTACTTAAAATTTGGTATTTTGTTCATCATGGATTTTTTGCATTGATTCTGATTTTTAAAAAATACTGCATTGACATATTCATCTTGAGAATATTTGTGGCTCACCCATACTTCTCCCCCACAGGCGAGCTCTTCACTTGTCTCACCCCTAATCCCTGTCCTGCTGGAGTGGGCTGGTGAAGTGCCAGAGGCAGCCTGTTTTGGCAGGAAAACCAGACTGTCCCCAGGGCTGGGCTGGGTTAACTCTGAGATAGCACCAGGCAACGTACAAGTTAACCCAGCTAGCAGACCAGATTACTTGGGCTGAGAAGCCACGGAGTTAGACAAATATTAGAGGCTCTGAGGGATGATTTCTTCCCACCTCCTTACTGCAGGGACAGGGAGATGAAGCCCAGAGAAGAGAAGGGGTGTCTGATATGACTTGCCTAGGCCAGGCTCAGTGGCTCACACTTGTAATCCTAGCACTTTGGGAGGCTGAAGTGAGAGGATTGTTTAAGCCTAGGAGTTTTGGTCCAGCCTGAGCAACATAGTGAGATCCCATGTCTACAAAAAATCAAAATGGCCTAGTGGTACATGGCTGTGGGTCCCAGCTACTAGGGAGGCTGAGGTGGGAGGATCACTTGAGTCTAGGAGGTAGGTCTGGTGAGTGAGCTATGATCATGCCACTGCACTCCAGCCTGGATGACAGAGCAAGACCCTGTCTTAAAATAATAATACTATTAATAAAATGGCACACCCTAGTGCAAGAGGGAGGCAGTTCATAAGGCGCCCCTTCCATTCCTCTCCAAGGTCCTATGCTGGAGGGTGCCCAGCATACCTGCCTCAGGGGCTACTTCAACTAAAGCATCTGCAGGAGCTAAGACTGAGCCCCAGGGACAGAACTGGCTCCCAGTGGAGTCTCTCTAGACTCCCAGGGGAGAGCGTCCACCTGCACAATCTCACTCATCTCTACCTGGGGTCCAACCACCTTCAGGAGCTGCCCTAGCATCTCATCCTCCCTAACAGCTGCCTGCAGTCTCTGTACCCTGAGCTGGGGCCCTGTGCGGAGGCCTTGAGAAGCCTCCCTGAACTGCTGCCAGCTGTAAGGGTGCTCAGAAAACCCTGGACCTTCTAGTCTGCTGACCCCTGGAAAGGAAAGGTGGCAACCTACAGATGGATCGTTCAGCTTCCGTGGTCCTGTTTTCATTCCTGTGTCCTGGAAGCCCAAGCCTCACCTGCCTTTGGTTCTTGGGGCCTCAGCTGCAGAGGCCCAGCCACTTACTCAGCAGGTGGGAGGAATTTCCTGGCTGGAGGTTTTCTCCTGAGAGGGAAGCCCTGAGTGTTTCACTCCCCATACGTGGCCTGCCCTATGGCTCATTCCTTCACTGCAGAACTAGATGAGATTCAGAATGCATTCCTTATTAGCCGGAAGCTACTCGATTCGTCATTTAATGACTTATTTTTAAGTCTAAGATAGTCTGTTAGCAGCGTTAGATGAGTTTCTTAGCCCTCTGGTAAAAACAGGAGCTCTTTGTGTGATTGAGTGCATGCTTTTCACGGGTTTTCTCCATTTAGCATCCATTTTTCTGGGACCTCTGGTTAGGAAGCCTCTTAAGGGTGCTCATTAACAGGCACATTCTCTGTGTCTGGAACATTCAAGCAATTGATGATCTTGCACATATACCCCATGGGACTGAGTGACAGAGATGGGGCTTCCTCCCTCTCTGGGGTTGATTTTAGCCACCTTTCCTCTGATGCCCACCTAAGGAGGTGAGTTCCTCCAAACTTTAGATTACAGCAATACCGTGGTTTCCTGCTGTGCATTTTCTGAGCATGCCTACGCCAAGACTTGGAAGCTGTAGACAGTGAGTCTCCTTCCATGCCTGTGGCCATCTGGTCTCTGAATGCCCTGACAGGCACTCATGGTCCGTCCTCAGCCGCCTCTTCAGGCCCAGCTCTATGAATTACACCTCCAAGTCCTTCTTCATAGACACACTCAAGGATCTTCAGTTCTCTGAGTGCCCTACCATTCCCTGCAAAGTTGCCCTTCTGGCCAGGACATCCTCCCAGGCCACTACTGCACCCTCTGCCCTGACTCTCTGGCTCCCACGTGTCCTGAGGGTCGACTCAGCTCTACCACTGCTGTGGGAGCTGCCCCAATGCAGTCAGACGGAAAGCACATTTACAGTAAGGGTCCGACTCCTGACTTGGAAGGACATGGGCCCTCCTCTCCCACTTTCCAGCGTATGCTTTGGACAAGTTTCAAAAGCATCTCGACATGTTGATTTCCCCCTCTCTTAATGGGAACATAAATAGTGCCTTCTTTATAAGTTTGGAGGGAAGTTTAAATCAATTATTCTATGAAAGGTATTTCAATATCTGACATGTAGGAAGTATTAAAAAAAAGCTGGCATTATCAGCAGCATCGCCATTATCATCATCATTTGCATTATTAGCATTGAGCTGAGAGAGCTGTTCTATGACCCCTTTTCCTTACAGTTCCCAGAGCCTCCTGTGGCCAGGTAGCTTTCAGCGACATAACAACAGGCAGGGAAGGATCA
This sequence comes from Homo sapiens, assembly GCF_000001405.40. Classification (NCBI taxonomy): domain Eukaryota; kingdom Metazoa; phylum Chordata; class Mammalia; order Primates; family Hominidae; genus Homo; species Homo sapiens. Next base: position 138,577,540 of record NC_000008.11, on the reverse strand, counting down.
GTCACTTGCCTTTCCTCCCCTGTGCCCCATCTTAGATAAGGCACAGGCAGCCTGCTGGTAAGCTGGACTCAGGGGGTATAGGGGCTCACTGCTCTTTGGATCTCCAGTCCTCAAGCTAAACCGCTCTTTCATGCTTCCATTCCTCCACCCTCAAGATCCAAAGGGCTTCCCGTCCCCTCCATCCAGCAGTGAGGACAGGAGGAGTAGAAGATGATGGAAACCCACTCAAGGAGCCTGGCAAAGAGAAGAGGGGAGGTGGGGAAGGGGCTATGGGTGGGATTGGAGTAGATGGAGACGACAAGAGCTTCTGATTGCTCAGAGGGTGTGAGAGGTGGTGTAGGAGAGTCCAGGGTGAGTGGTCTCTGCCCACCAAGAGGATAGCCCCAAGCTCTGGCTCCAGTTAAGTAAATCAGAGAAGTCACTTTCCAATCCTCGTTCCACCTGGAAATCCATGTGAGTGGAATTGTTTCATTTTAGCATGAAACAAAAAGTGATGAATCCTTCCTTGAGATCCCATATTGCATCTATATTTATTTTTTATCTATCTATAGATGGAAAATGGCTTTAAATCAATACCTCCAACTCCAGCCAAAAACCACCAGGTTCCTTCTAGTTTTCTCTTTCCACATTTGTAACTCTGTCTTTCAACAATGAGAAATGGGCTCCATTGTCCTAATATCTTTATTTATTTCACCAATTCCCTGTACACTCCCATTGCCACTGCTGTTATACCCCCGACCTGATCCAGGCTCTGACACCCCCCAGGCCACCTCCAACCCCTGTGGCCCTTCCCGGAAGTCATTCTCACCCACTGAGGCCGTGTCATCCTGAGCAGGCTGCCCTCTCCCCTCTCTTTCTGCATGGCTCTGCCTCCACACTGTGTTTTTCTCACCTTGACTGGGCTCTGACACCTCCAAGCAGGCATCCTTACCCAGCACAGACTCTGAGCTCTTTGGCCAGTCCCGCCCCTCTGTGTGGACATCTTGCTCACCCTGCTGGGGCTCTGACACCCACACAGGCTGTACCCCTCGTCCTGCTTGGGATCTGTGCTTCTCTGTTTTCAGAATCCTTTCTTATCTGCCCGGTGGATTGTTAATCCCTGAAGGTCAGAGTAGGCCCATCACAAAACATCACCTTGTGAGACTGGGCATCAGACTGGCCTTTTCGTGTGAACAAAGCCACCCAAGCCATCCAGGTCTGAGTGGAGAAAGACCCTGGGAAGCCGCTGGAGATCTGCCTCCACGTTCTGATGCCAGAGCTCGGCCCTCTACTCAAGATCCTTCAATCACACTGCCCTCCCAAGCCAGGAAGCTGGGCCCTCACCATTCATTGCAGAGGGCTCTTCAGAACCCGCAAGAGAAGAAAACAGTTCCAGGCACCATTTGACTACATTATTGAGTGACAAAGAGAGGACAGAGAGATGAAAAATTCAAGTGACCTGCAAGGCTGGAGGTGTTCACACTCTAAGTTCTGCTCAATCAGCTGCCCTGCAGCCCCTGAAGCTCATCCGGCTTTAAAGCACCGCCCAGCCCCACACTGTCACCAACCAGCTGGTGTCCACGTGGGAATGAGCATCCCTGGACATATTGGTCCCTTTGGAAATGTGGAAACTTCTCAGGTGCTGAGATGGGTGACTTCTTTATTCCACTGCTTCAGCCCCTCCCATGCTTCTCCCCCGTTCATCCCCAGCCACTGCCTCAGTGTGAGTTTGCTCATTTCCCACCTTGGGGGGACCAGTGTCCTTTCTCTGGTCTTCCCCTCTCAGTCTTCCTTCCCTCCTGCCTCCAGGATGCTTATCCTGAAAGCCCATGCCAGAGAGTCCTCTCCAAGCCTCAGCACTTTCTAATAACCTTAGATTGCCTGAAACCTTCCACAACCAACCTTTTCTGAGTTCCTATGTATGCCCAATACTCTGCTAGCATCTTTCACAAATGTGTTTTATCAGACTCCTTCAACCACATAGTGAGGCCAATTTTATGATGAACCTTTCCACACTGTAGACACTGAAGAGGTGGAACGACATGTCTAGGAAGAAGCCCGTGCTGAGTGGAAGAGCAGGAATGGAATGCAGGCCTCCTGGCTGCAGGTCCAGAGAGGTCATCTCACCTGGGAAAAGCACTGCCTTCTCTCCAAGAATATTATGTTACCAGCACTGCCTTTCAGAAACTGGGCCATTTCCCTAAGGTGGTGTAGATTGGTTTTAAGCAGAAAAAAAAAAAGTTAAGTCAGGAAGGAGTCACTCACTTCTTCTTTCCCTCTGTGGGTCAATTAGCACTTATTCAGTGAGCACTGTTTTTCTGCTCAGCACTGAGTGAGGCCCAAGAGAACCACAAGACTTTATTGCTGCATAAAGGACCTAACAGCCCAGATGGAGAGAGGAGCTGAAGCAGCCAAGTGGTCTCTCTGGACTGGGTGACATGACTCCAGCTCCATGTGAAGGTCTGTGTTGCACACCTCTCTGCCATCCGTGGGTGTGTGTGACCAGTAATTCATTAAATGACTGCCCCTCCTGTCCTTTCCATTGTCCCTGCTAGGGCCACATGTGGATTTTATAGAAGAGGAAGCCCAGGCATGCGGGAGCAAGTGTTTAACACTCATCTGACTGGCTCCGCAGACCGGGAAGCCTTCCTAGCATAGCTGTTCCTTTACTTGCAGTCCTTCAGGTATTGGAGGACCATGGTCAAGTGGGCTCAGTGAACCACCTCTTCTCCTCCCTAAGAGGCATGCCAGAAGAGCAGTTTCCTTCCATAGTGGATGGTGGAAGTTAGGAGGAGAGATTGGGGCAGGAGATCGGTAAGCTTTGCTACAGTTTGAATGTTTTTGTACCCTCTAAAATTCATGTTGTAATGTAATCCACAATGCAAGAGTATTAGGAGATGTGGCCTTTGGGAGCCTATAGATTTATGTGGCCTCTGCCCTTATGAATGGGATTAAGTGCCCTTTGAAAGAATTTGATTGACAGAGCTGTCACCTTTTTGCCCTTCTACTTTCTGCCATGTGGGGACACAGAGTTCCTTCCTCCAGAAGATGCAGTGTACCAGGCATCATCTTGGAGGCTGAGAGCAGCCCTCATCAGACACAGAACCTGCCTGAGCCTAGACCTTAGACTCCTCAGCCTCCAGAAATGTGAGAAATAAACTTCTGCTCTTTATAAAATCCCAGACTCAGGCAATTCTAGTAAAGCTGTGCAAACAGACTAGAACAAGCCTGTTTTGAAGCCTACTCTTTGCTGATTCCTGCCGCCTTACATTCTCCTGGAAGGGCCTTCTGGGAAAAGGGGAGTTGGTAGGAGGGGATGGAGCTCCTGTCTTCCTTGCAGGGTCAGTGCCCTGGACCCTACCAGTTCACAATCAAAGGGAGAAAGCTCTTGTTTTTCAGATAAGTGAAAGTGAGAGATGGCCACTACTGTGCCTTAACCACATAAAAATATATAATCTTTAGAGTCAAGGTCTCTGATAGGTGAGCTTATTATCCACATTTTACAAATGATGACCCTGAGGCTCAGAGGAGATACCTGTTGAAGAAAAACGACCTGACCCAGTTTTCACACAGCAGTAAGCAGAGAACTCAAACTGAGGCAAGGATGTCTTTTCCCTCCAGGCAGTAGGTTACTATTGGAGTTTTTTCCCCCTTATTTTACAGTGTATGGGTGCTTGATGATAGCACTTAAAGACGATGCACTTATTCATGTATTGGAGGATGCAATTGAACACATAGCTGTGAGCTTTTCAACTGGCTTTGTGGGTTACATCCAGGAGGGCTGCCTTTGGGCTGTGTCTCTATCAGCAACCACATGATCCATAACTTACTAGAGAGGAATTTATTTCTACAACAGGCCACTGTTCTAGGCATGAGAGATACAATAGTTAAAAAATAATTATGGCTCCTTTCAAGAAAGTTTTATTCTAGCAGAGATAGGCGGTATAACTCTTAAAGACACACAGACACACAGCCAATACATAGATATTGAAAAGGGCTACTAGTAAGACAGAGTATGTTATTATGATAGAGTACTTGTCTTAGGGAGTTTGGGAAAATCTTTGAGAAGATTACGTTTGAGCTGAAACTTGGATGTTGAGAAAGAAACTAACAAGCACAAGTCTGTTGGGGAAGAGAGGGGATTTAAAACAAAGAAACAGTATATGCAAATTTCCTGTGGTAGGAAGCATCATGCCTTGTTTGAAGGGTACTGAAGAGAGCATCTGTGGGGCAAAATAAAGACAGCTGAGATTAGAAAGAGAGAGGAAACTGGTTGGGAAGGCCAGTGAGGGATGGAGTCAGGGGCTTGGATTTTATTCTAGGAGTAATTACATGGTCGAAATAATTGTGTCCCCCTACAATTCATATGCTGAAATCCAAAACCCCAAAGTGATGATATTAAGAGGTGGCAGCTGTGGAGGTGATTGGCTTATAAGCATGGAGCCCTCATGAATGGGATTAGTGCCCTTATAAAAGAAGCCCAAGGGAGCTTGTTTTCCCTTCCTCCATATTAGGATGCAGTGAGAACAGATCCCTTTATAAAGAAAGAGGCCCTTGCCAAACACCGCATCTGCCGGCACCTTGATCTTGGACTTCCAAGGCTCCAGAACTGTGAGATATAAATTTCTGTTGTTCATAAGCCACCCACTTTATGATGTTTTGTTATAGCAGCCCAAATGGACTAAGAAAAAAATGAAACACCAGCAAAAGTTTTTCAAAAGTATTCCTCTGGCAGATTTAGGGGAGCAAATTGGCAGGTGTGGGGGCCAGGTGGGAGGTGGCTGCCTGAGTCCAGGTGAGGAGGAAGGACTGGGACCAAGGTGGTGACTGTGCAGGTGGTAAAATGAGCTATTTGGGGAAGGTTTTGGAGATGCCACTGAAGAGCATTACTGATGCATGTTGTGGGGCAGGAGAGGGGTTCTTCTATATTTTGGCCTGAGCATTGGGAATACATATCTGGAGTTCAGAGAGAAGACCCAGCTAACCATGTAAATTTCAGAGTTTTTAGCATAGAGATGGTGTGATGGTCTGGATTTGGGGTTCCCCGCAAATTCTTATGTTGAATCCTAGTCCTCAACATGAGTATATTTGGAGGTGAGGCCCCTGGAAGGTGATTAGCACATGAGGATAGAGGCCTCATGAATGGCATTTAGTGCCCTGGTGAAAGAGGCCCCAGAGAGCAACCTTGCCTCCCTCCTCCATATGAGGTTACAGTGAGAGATGGCCCTTCCCAGACACCAAATCTTCCTGCCCCATTATCTTGAACTTCCCAGGCTTCAGAGCTACAAGAAATGAATTTATGTTGTATATAAGCCATCCAGTCTATGGTGGTTTGTTATAACAGCCCAAAAGGACTAAGAGACAGGGCATGTACCATCTGGCAATGGATACAATCTCTTCTCCTTATGCATTCACTCTTCAGAAAAGAGAGCTGAGCCCCAGTCCATTGCAACTCCTAGAGGTCCTAGAGGAGGAAGAATCTAAGAAAAGCTTGAAAAATATTCAAGTAAAATAGGCCGAAGCCAGCTTGGTTGGTGTCAAGCAAGCCCATAGAATAGAGTTTTTCATAAAGCAGTGAAGAGTCAGACATGTCAACTATTACTGAGCGGTTAGTGTATTATTATTCGGGGTTCTCTAGACAGACAGGACTAACAGGATAGATGTATATATGAAAGGGAGTTTGTTAAGGAGTATTGACTCACGTGATCACAAGGTGAAGTCCCACAATAGGCCATCTGCAAGCTGAGGAGCAAGGAAGTCAGTCTGAGTCCCAAAACCTCCAAAACAGGGAAGCTGACAGTGCAACCTTCAGTCTGTGACCAAAGGCCTGAGAGCCCCTGGCAAATCACTGGTGTAGGTCCAAGAGTCCAAAAGCTGAAGAACTGGGAGTCTGATGTTTGAGGGCAGGAGTATCCAGCACAGGAGAAAGATGGAGGCCAGAAGACCCAGCCAGTCTAGTCTTTCCACAGTCCTCATGCCTGCTTTTATTCTGGTCACTCTGGCAGCTTATTAGATGGTGCCTACCCAATCTGAGGATGGGTCTGTCTTTCCCAATCCACTGACTCAAATGTTAATCTCCTTTGGCAACATCCTCACAGACACACCCAGGAAGAACACTTTGCATCCTTCAATCCAATCAAGTTGACACTCAATATTCACCATCACAGTTTGGTAGGAGAACAGAGAATTGGTCCTTGACTTCAACCAGCAGGAAACCACTCATAAAGTTAATAAGGAAATTTCAGAGTCATGATAGATGTGAGGCCTAATTTAGTCACCTGGGGACACATCAAAAGTGAGAGTGTAGAGAAATTAATACAAAGAACTCCCTTAATGGGTTTTACTGGGAAGAAGAGCAGAAAGGGATGTAGGGATGGATATGTATCTATGTATCTATCTCTCTCTATATCTATATATCTCTGTGTAGATATCTATATCTATACTTGTACCTATTCAGATATACATATATCCAAATATACATATTCAAATCTAGGACCTAGGAGTGCAAATTCATTTCCTTCAGCTTTCTAGTCTTGCTTTTGTCCTCTTTCCCAAGGGTTGTCATCTGTTCCTCTGAGTCACTCTTACTAGTGAGGGTTTCCCATCTTTGTAGGCCTTGCCAGTCATTAGGGCCTTGGTTCACGTATCAAACAAAATAAAGAAGGTTAGGTGCACAGAGTTTAGGTTTCTTGCGAAGTGTGACAGCAAAGACCTTTTGAACGGTAAATGGCAGCTGATGATGGAGCATTTGGATAGACTGTTATGAGGCTATTATTCTATAGGTTAAAGCCAGTAAAAGGTTTTTTTAAGCAAGTGAGTAATGTGATTAGCTTTGTGTCTTAGAAAAGTAGTCACTTACTACATGTTAGGAAGTGATCTAATGAGTAAATGAGAGAGAGATTAAGAGAAGTTAATGAGTAAGGACATAATTGAGAGAGATTTAAACATAGAATAAAAACAGGGTAGCAGGTCATTCTAAAAACAGCTAGGAGGCTGGAGTGGAGGGGAAGAGACCTGAAGCCAATTAGGAGGCTCCTTTGAGATGGAAAATGAATGTGAGATGGAGAGATTCATTAATCCAGGTTGTCTGAAGAGCAGAGAGCTGGAGAGGCAGAGTGTGCTGGGTGTAAAAGCCTGGAGAAACAAGCCACCTTTCCCACTGGTAGAACAAGTATTTCCCGCTTCGCACCAACCTCATTAGTCAAGGACTTCTTGCCCTTTTTAAAAAAAAATTTTTTTGAGATGGATTCTCACTCTGTTGCCCAGGCTGAAGTGAAGTAGCGTGGTCTTGGCTCACTGCAACCTCTGCCTCCCGGGTTCAAGCGATTCTCCTGCCTCAGCCTCCCGAGTAGTTGGAATTACAGGTGCCTGCCACCACACCCAGCTAACTTTTTTTGTATTTTTAGTAGAGATGGGGTTTCACCATCTTGGCCAGGCTAGTCTCAAACTCCTGACCTCGAGGACCGCCTGCCTCACCCTCCCAAAGCACTGGTCTTGCCCTCTTCTCTTGCCAGTGTGACTTTTTGTCCCCAGCCTTCTCAAGCACTGAATAATCACAGCTCCCCAGTTGAGAGAGTTTCGTAAGAAGATAAATAGCATAATTACCCATGTGTCAATCCACATGATGTTATTGCACCGAGCAAACATTAACTTGAGCTGCTGCTGCTAAAACAAGATTAAAATCTAATCAGGATGTTCAAGAACTACTTGTCCTACCTTCAATTTGTGGTATGAATCATGGTTAATGTTTCTTTTTTTCCCCAATTGCTCATTATAACCTATGCCATTCACTTCAGAAATGCGATTATCCACCACAGTAGCCCCAGTTGTAAAGACCAAGTGATATTTCACATTTTTATGAGTGGAGGGGTTAAGTGTCTTTTAATAGTTCTTGTTGAGAAACTTGACCGGGAGTTGTCCTTGGTCCAGTCTAGGGGATATTCTCTTGTGCAGGGCGAGCAAGTAAAAATAGCAAGAAAAACCCTGAGCTTGCTATCCATCCAGAGCTATTGATTCAGAAACAGCAGTAGGACATCTGAAACAGGCCAGCGTTGAGGAAGAGGTTCAAGGGAGGGAGGAAGATAGGAATCCGGTAAAGAAAGAATCCTACCAGGAATGCCTTCATCTAAGAGGAAAGAACCCTGGGTCAGTCCGGGGTCCAGGGACAGCAGGAAGAATTGGAAGCTTTGACAAAAGAATAAAATGTGAAGTCCTTTAAAAAATGTTGAGTGAGTTCCCACTCTGCATGATACCTTCGGTGTTGCAGATTTAGGGATAAATGGAAAATTCACCATCCCTGTTTTGATGGAGTTTACATTCCTTAGAATAGAAAAGTCTGGAACAAGTAATTAAAAGTATGTTGAGCATTAGAAACTTATTCAGAAGTAATTCTCTTGTAGCTCAATTGTGTCTGACACCTCTTTTGAAGACTCCAGAGTTCCTATTGTCTGACTTAGCTTTCAGATAATACAGGGGCATTCTAGATACATGGCTCCACCCTTCAACAGGTAAAACATACCCACCATCCTGAATGTACTCCTGCTCACAGGCACAGACTACATTCATCCAGACCCTGGCAACACCCCTACCTGTGCTGCCAGTATCTGCCCCTCTCAGTACTCAAAGTTGCTTCATCTGAAAACGATTTAAATTCCTATTTCTTCCAGAAACTTTCTTTAAAAAATTGGGAGATCATGAACATGTTTTCTCAAGTTTTAGCTAGTTACTTCCCTCCTTCAAATGATATTTGGCACATAACACTTATTCCATTATGTGTGTCTATCTATCCATTTATCCATCTATGCATTTATGCAAACAACCACCCATTCATCCATCAATCCATTCATGCAACCACGTACCCTTTCTTCCTTCCTCCTTCCTCCCTCCCTTCCTTCCTTTCTTCCTTCCTTCCTTCCTTCCTCCCTTCCTTCCTTCTTTCCTTCCTTCCTGTCTCCCTTCGTTCCTTCTTTCCTTCCTTCCTGTCTCCCTTCGTTCCATCTATGTGTCCGTCAATCTATCTATAGAATGTTTCTACATTTGATATCTCACTTTCTTTCTACAACAACTTCCCCAGTACAGCAAGGCAGAAAAAATACAATTATCCCCATATCGCAAAGGAAGTTGGGGTCTCCAGGCCACTGCTTGGGAGAATCATTAACTATTGTTTTTAATATACCCCCAGCAAGACACTGGAATGACCAAAGATCTTGTATGAAATTTAGACCCCTTTTGTGACTTGATTGGGGGTCCCTTGTCAAACCCACGTTGTTGTCCTTTGACTTGACGCTCTGGGCAGGGTGATGAGGATTCCCTTATTTTCTGGATATGCTGGGAGCTGATTGCCTGTTCCCATAGAAGTGCCCCCAGGACCTCCCATGGTAAATTCCTGCAGGCCAGAGTTTGAATTGTAAGTCAGACTTTTTTTTTTTTTTTTTTAATGTAAAACCTGGTTAGAGCTTTCTGAAACATTAATGCTTTAATGTTTTCTAAAGTAAATTGTGAACATTCTAGGCAACATATTTTAGATCAGATCATCCCCAAACTGCTTTTATTAAAAAAAATCTGTCCTTGATGGGATGACAAACAAATGCCTAGTTCAGAGAGGTTAAGGGTGTTGCTCAAGGTCACAGCTAGTAAATAGCAAAGCAAAAATTCAAACAAAGCTCTTTTGTTTCTTTTCTTTCATGTTCTTGTGGGTCTTACTGTTCTGAATGGCAAATTTACCCAGTGGAAATGTGTATTTGATTTGTAGTTTGAATTTTCAATGCTACAGGCTTATGGCACCCACAAGTAAAGTGTGGAAATGATAGCCCAGTTCTAGAGCAGACAAATTTTGTATTCTGTTCTATGGTGGGCAAATTTCAAATTCAATGTTCCCCTACATATGGGACATTCCTGTTCTTTGGAAAATCATGTAAATAATTCTGTGCATATCATGATGACTTAACATGAATTTAAAAGGCAAAAATTGGCTTCATGATAAGCAGCATGAATATGAGCAGATAATCCAGAGTAAAGGAGGTGAAGGTTCATCGATGGCTGTGGCTCATTCTCAGACCGCATCTGGAAATGGCTGCCATTTGTGGTCACTGGTCATCAGAAGGACATACATTGCTATGCATACTCCTGAGAGCTATCAGAGGAGAGGGTCTGAGACCCAAGACAGTGAGTGATGACTGTAGAAAATGGGATTGTTTAACCTGGACAAAAAGAGGCAGGAGCTAGCAGGAGCGTGGAGCTTGAGCTTCAACAGCTTGATGGCCATTACCTTAGGAACAGATTAAAAATCATGGTGTGTGTGACTTTTGAGGGCAAGGATATACATGTACATTTTTTTGGATCAATGTAAGAAATACACGTCCAGCAACTAGAGTTGATTCGCAATAGATTAGGCTGTTTTGTGAGGAAACAATCTTCCTGATACTGCAAGTATCTAAGCAGAGCCTGGAAATCACCCAGCGTGGAGCTTTCAGTCCTGCTGAAGAACAAGACTCAATAATCTCTCCAAGGCTTAAAATGGAACCATCCCTCCTCAAGCATGAAAGAAGACAGGGTCCCAGAGTTCTCTAGCTCATGGCCAAGACTCTCCAGTGTCATTCCTCCAGCCCTCTTGTAAGACCATCTGGGCGAACCTTTCCTGCCTGAAACTTTGGTTAAGTGTCGTTACCACGGGAAGCCTGGGATGCCTGGTCATTCCTCTTCTGGACTCTCCTTCCTACTGGCCATATGTATCCTCTGATCTGATCAAAATTCTTTCCCTCTGCAGCCCCTGAAATCACCCACTCTGCCCTCTGAACTCACTGTTGTCCATCAGATGAATCTCCTATACCCTCAGTGCTTCCTCTGAACATCCCCTTTACTACCTTCCCTTACACACACACACATGGTTTCCTCTGCAGCTCTCCCCATGGTAGATGTTTTCTCCCCTAGCCTCATGCTATTAATCCTAGAGAAGGAAAGGGTGACCTTCCTTCGTGTTGCTGCTTCCGGTCTATTGTCACCTCCTCCCCTTACCTTCCCCACTAAACAAGTCTGTGAAGCACGTGTTATCAGACCCTCCCTCCATCAAGCCTTCTTGTTGTAGTCATCTTCAGATGTCCTCATTATTTGATGAGTTTAATGCTTTGTTCTCTGTTGTAATTCTTGGTAATTTCACTATCCTCATAGATGATCTTTCTAATATGTCATCCCTGGTGCTCCCTAATCCCTTCTCCTCTTATGGTCTTGATTTCCACTTTCCTTCAGTCAGTCACTCCAGTGAGACTTACTCTAGCTCTTAACTTGACAATAGTCCCCTCTCCATAGTCTCACCCTAAACATTCCACTCTCTAACCACCTCTTCCTTTCATTCAAATCCATTTTCTCCGCTGTTCCACACCCAGCAATTATTCCACTGACAGAGGTCTCCAAATCTGTTGACCCAACACTTCTCTTCTTATGAAGCTTATATTCCACAATCTATCATCATCACAGCCTCCATGCCCTGGGCCCCTTCTCCCTCATGTAACTCTCAGGAGAAAATGCCAGCTGTGTTTAGATTCTTTATTTTTCCTGTGTTCTCTGTACTTCCCCTACAACAGCTGTTCATGATAGAGAAAAATTTTAAAGTCATTCTGTTTGGTTGCCTCCTTTAAAATTAATGATCACTAATACTAGATAAACTCTCGGGGCTACCTGGCAATGCTACTTATTTTCTTTGTCTAGTCACCATCTCATATTCCTAGATGGCTGTTTTATATGCTTTCATTGCCCACAAACTTCTGACACCTTCTTCTCATCTTTGCTCTCAGATGATGTCTTTAATTTCTGTTTTATTCAAGTGATGAAACAAAAACTTCCACACACTCACCACCATAGCTAATAACCTCTTACATCTTTGCCCATCATCTCCATGTCCCCTCCTATTGCTTTGGATGAATTGACTTTGTTCTTATCCACAACGACCCTTCTACATATGCCTTAGTCCTATTTCCATTTCAAATAAAAAAGGACATTCTCCAGCTATTTCCACCTTGTCTCCTGCATTAAATATCTCCCCTCCCTTTAGACGACTTACACCAGCACGCACTACAGCATCTCCCAATTTCAAAACAATTACCACTTCTCTTGACTTCCCTATCCAGTTACTGCTCACTTTCTTTGCTCTTTTTTATAGTAAATTTCTCAAATATTCATCTATATTAATTGTATCTCAATCTGTTTTTAACATTCTCCAGTCAGCCACTATTCCAATAAAATAATTCTTGAGATGGTCATTCATTCTATCTCATTATTGATATTCCAGTGGTCAGTTCTCAATCCCCATTTCACTTAAAAAATCAGTAATGTTTGACAGATATCACAATTTTTCATGTTATTGAAAGACTGTCTTCATTCGGCTTCTAAGAAACCATCTACCTATCATGTCACTTTAATCTCTGTCTGTCCCTCTCCCTCTTCCTCTCCTTCTTGTTGCTTCTTACTCTCTTCGACCCTAAACACTGAACAGAACTCAGTTCTTAGACCCCATCTCTGTCTTTATGACCTCTTTCTTGTGTGACTTCATCCATCTCACCATCTGCAATGCCAAATGCATGCTGATGACTTCCACATTTCTGCTTCCAGCCAAGACTGAACATCATGTGCTTTTTTTCTTAACCTTATCGCATGGCATCTTCATTTGGATGTAATAAGAGGCTTTTAAAATTTAACATGCTTGAAGACAACCTTCTGATCTATTCCCATATACATGCACATATTCATGCTCTTCATACATTGTTGCCCATCTGTTTTGACCACCTCTTATCCCATTGGTGAAGAAGTGATCCTCTGCCCTAAATGGTACATGATGGCTGAACACATGCCACCCAGGACTGGGCAGATGAGACTGGCAGCAGTTTGTTAGCTGCAAATACTGACAGCCTGGGGAAGGTGCACACCACAACACCCATGCAGGGCTCTACTGGGGTTGCATTTAGGAGCAGAATAGAATAAGTAAGCGTAGGCTGTGGGAGGCAGGCTTGCAGTGATCAGAGGGATTGAAAGGTGAGCACCTGAGCATGGTGGCTCATGCCTGTAATCCCAGCACTCTGGGAGGCTGAGGTGGGTGGATCATTTGAAGTCAGGAGTTTGAGACCACCCTGGCCAACATGGTGAAACCCCGCCTCTACTAAAAATATTTTAAAAAAAATTAGCAGGGCATGGTGGCACATGCCTGTAGTTCCAGCTACTAGGAAAGCTGTGGCAGGAGAATTGCTTGAACTCAGGAGGCGAAGGTTGCAGTGAGCCGAGATTGTGCCACTGAACTCCAGCCTGGGCAACAGAGTGAGACTCCATCTCACAAAAGAAAACAAAACCAAACAACAACAAAAACAAACAAACAAACAAAAAACCAGTGAGATGCTCCCTGGCTCCTGTGGGAGGATATAATGGGCTGGCAGGGAGATGAAGCCCGTTAGTTTGAGAACCTGGTGGAGTGCAGCTGGTCCAGCTGATGGAGAACTAGCCAGTGAGGAGCCTTTTCCTCTTAGTGGCGGCATATCTGGCAGAAGCAGTGGAACTAACAGTGAGACCTTTACAGTCCTGTGGGGGCACAGAGATGTCAAAGCAACACATGGAGCACTTAGGTCTTATAGTACCATCCACATTGAACAGCTGCATCCTTCTAGTTGCTTAGGCTAAAGTCATGACGTCATTCCTGACCTCTCTTGTCCTCTGGAATTCCACATCTAATTCCTCAGCAAGTTAGCTTAATTCCCATGACAAATCTCTGAGTTAGGTTTTACTATTATTGTGTCTTGTTTTACTATTGTTGTGCAGTTTTTTTTAAACCAATAAAGTAAAAGAATAAACAAAGGCACAGAAAGGTTAGGCAGCTTACCCCAAATCCCACAGCTAGTGAATGAAAGAGCCCAATTCCAGAGTCTCCCTTTTTATCCACAAGGGTGACTGTAAGTGCTGTCACTAAAGACTTCTAGCTTTTCTCTTTTTTGAGCACAGAGTGTGATTTTATTTCCCTAAATTCCTGGAAGTTAGCCAATGCCATTGGATTCTCTTTGGTCAAAGAAATGTGAGCTGAAGTAAGCAGTGCTATTTCCTGGGCTGAGGTTTTCAGCATGTTTTAGTTGCCTCCCATTCGCCCCAGTGTTGAGGAGGGATTCCTAGCCTAAGGTTATGGGGATGGCTACACACATGACATGCAAACTGGATAAAGGAGATAAACAACATTTATTAGTCACATACACTCACAGCTCAATGGTGAGGACACTGCACGCCATGCAGAGACATAAAATGGCTACCCAGAGAACAACCAGGGGCTGTTGGGGGCAGGCTTTCTAGTAACAGGCAGGGGAAATGCCCCCTGGTCCACAGGGAGATACGATTGGCCTGTTCGAATAATTGCAGACTGGCAGGGAACTGAAACCCGCTATTCAGGATAAGCAGGAACTGTGCCTGGCCTGCATGATAAGGAGGCTGGGAGACCTTATCCAGGAGAGCAGAGTGAGGTGGGAAACATAGAATGAGGCCATTCAAGGTCCTCCTTATCTCTCCAGATGTCAAAGCAGCACATAGCATTAAGCCTTGATTTTAGCCCTAACACCTTGCAGAGCCAGTGTGGGGCTGCTTGTGCCCTTTCTACTCTTGTGATAATCATGTAAAGACACAGGGAGACAGAGTCTATGGCCCTCCCCCTGGCCGACTATGGCCTGCAGCATAGCCTCAAAGATCCAAACCAAACCAGACTCATGCTGTGAGAGAAAACTACACTTCTGGTGTCGTGACAAGCCGCCTTCTAACATGGCCCCTAGATTCCTGCCCCTACTGATTACACACCTTCTCTTAGTTATTTAATGAAACCATGGTCTAAGTGTGCTATGAAGGGATTTTGCAGTTGCAATTAAGGTCCCTAATAAGTTTGAGTTAATAAAAAGGGAGGTTATCCTGGATGGGCCTCACCTAATCAGGCAAACTTGTAAATGTGACCAGACATTTCCTGAAGACAAAGATTCAAAGTGTGGAAGGGTGTGTGGAGGGGGTCACATGGCAAGGACCTCAGAGCAGCCTCTGCAAGCTGAGAGTTGTTCTGGCTGACCACTATCAGGAAAATGAGTACCTTAGTCCTACAACCACAAGGCAATGAATTCTGAATTCTTTCAACAACCTGAAGGAGCTTCTAAACAGACCTTTCCCTAGTGGAGCTCACAGATGAGAATACAGCCCCAGTTGATAACTCAGTTTCAGTCTTGTGAATTTCTGAGCAGAGGACCCTGCTGAAATGTTCTGGACTCCTGAATGAGATGATAAATTTGCATCTTTTTAAGATGCTAACTTTGTAGTTACACAGGTTAATTTCCTATGAAGAGGTTTTGCCAGTTAATTACATCTGCAAAATCTCTTCATAGCAACACTGAAACCATGGTTTTATTAAGTAACTGGGAGAAAGTGTGTAATCAAGGAGCAGGACTCTAGGGGCCACCATGGAAAGGGGCTTGTTGCAACACCAGAAGTGTAGTTGTCTCTCACAGCATGAGTCTGGCTTGGTGTGGGTCTGAATCTGCTCTGCAAGCCATGGTCAGCTGGGGCCAGTCTGCAGACCTTGCCTCCCTGTGTCCTTCCATGATCACATTACACATTACACGGTGATATGGTTTGGTTCTGTGTCCCCACCCAAATCTCATCTCAAATTGTAATCCCCATATGTTGAGGGAGGGACCTGTAATCCCCATGCGTTGAGGGACAGAAGTGATTGCATCGTGGGGTTGGCTTCCCCCATACCGTTCTCATGATGGTGAATGAGTTCTCATGAGGTGTGATGGTTTTATAAGTGTTTGGAAGCTCTCCCTTCGCTCTTCTCTCTCCTGCTGCCTTGTGAAGAGGTGGCTGCTTCTCCTTCCACCATGATTGTAAGTTTCCTGAGGCCTCAGCCATGCAGAACTGTGAGTCAATTAAACTTCCTTTGTTTATAAATTACCCAGTCTCGGGCAGCTCTTTATAGCAGTGTGAAAATGGACTAATACACACAGAAAATAGTAAACTATAGTTGTGTTAGTTGTGCTAAGCTGAGATACGGTGTTTGGTCATGACAGTGTTACCACAGCATAACCTATTCATTTGACTGGTGAAAACATTATAAACAATTGCCTTCTCTGAAGCATTGAAAACCCTTGTAGTTATACAATAATCCAATTATTTATTTTTCCAACTAAATGGTATGCTCCACAACTTGAGGAAGACCTTGTCTGTTTTATTCACCTTTGCATCCTTAGTGTTTATCAATGAAGTTGTCACATGATGGACATTCAATAAGTGTTTGTGAAATGGACGTATGAAAGGAGATGAGAAAATCATATCCAGTAGTGGCACCAAGCAAAGATTAATCAATTCATCCTGGGTAAAGGAAGCATTCAGGGGGAAGATCACGTAAGAGGTGTGAAGAGGAGAGAGAAGGTAGACAAGATGGAGAGAGGATTCTGGGCAGAGGTGACAACACATATGGAGGGGGCTGTCAACTGCCTGTCCCATGCGAGCCTTTGACAGAAGTTGAGTAGGGCTACAGTATGTGGAGTTGGTGAAATGCAAAATTAGTTAAAGCCAGAGGCTTAGATTGTGAAAATCTGCCTGTGCTCACTGAAAACATCAACATTTTAAAAATGTCTCACCTCGTCTCTCAATGACACACTCAGAATTCCAATCCAAATAGTGAAAGCTGTCAGAAGGTAGCAAACAGTAGCAAGCAAGTGTGAAATTACAGAGCTCTTTTTCCCAATAAAAATACATAACTAGAGCTTGACAAATCATTTTAGGCCAAGATTTAAAAAAAAAAAATGTCTCAAAGCTGAAATCCTGGTAAGGACTATTTTGGTCTGACAATTGTCTGTGATGTGACACTCAAATCACTTGGGCTGCCAGGACACAAATATCTATTCCTTTGCAGTACAGTTGCTATTTCTTTTTATCTTTTCAAGACTCCAGTCTAAAACATTGAGCCTAGTCACTTGTTTTAAGGATGCACCCCCCAAGACTCATGGCTTAAAGAAAAACAATAATTTTATTCCTCTATCTCCTACCATGTGTCAGGGGATTTGCATGCATTGTCTTATGGCATCCTATTGTGCTTTGGTTTAAATGAGTCCCTCAAAGTTCATGTGTTGGAAATTTAATCCCCAATGCAACAGCATTGAAAGGTGGGATGTTTAAAACATGATTAGGTCATGTGGGCTCAACTCTCAGAAATGGATTAATGTTGTTATCTTGGGAGTGGGTTCCTGAGAAAAGTAGGAGTTTGGCCTCTTCCCTCCTCTATCCTTCTCATTCTCATCCTCTATCCTCCCAAGATGATGGAAACATAAGGCCCTCTCAAGATGCCAGTACCTTGATATTGGACTTCTCAGCCTCCAGAACTGTGAGAAACAAATGTCTTTTCTTTATAAATGTGGTATTCTGTTATAGCAACACAAAACAGATTAAGACATATTGGATCCTCTTGTATAGTTGGGAAAATAAGGGAGTGGGGAAAAATCCGACTTTCCCAAGTTGGTAGAGGGGCACACATTACACCAAGGTTTTGACTTAGGACTGATAAATTGCCAAATCCTTTTTCTTTCCACTATAGCAAACTATTCCGGAATTGTCTCTATTTAAATAATAATTTTGGATGTATGAATCATGTTTATTTTATCACACGATTTTTCTAAATATTTTGGAATAGGCAGAGTATTTTAAAGATGAAGAAATGGATTCTTGGGGATGTTAAATTCTCTATTCTCAGTCTTCTTTCGTTCGTTCCTTCCTTCCCACAGTCACTGATCATCTAAAATGGATTAGTCAATGTGCTAGACAATAAGCATTAGGAAATAAAGAATACAGTCTCTCAACTCAAGGAGCTCAGAATCAGTGGCAAAGACTGATTTAGAAAATCAGATAGTTACAGTACAAAGTGGCAAATGTTGTGATGGAAGAATGTGAAATATTTAATGGGACCACAGAAGTGGGAATAAACAACTGAGTCATGATATCAGTGAAGGTTTCAGAGGGTGGCGAGTGAGTTACAGTGGATGAATGGAGCTCTCCAAGTGGCTAAAACACATGAGGGGCTGTCCCAAGAAGAAGGAAAGGCATGCTCAGCAACAAAGACTCTTCATTCATTCACTGGTAATTTATTGACTACTTAGTATGTGTCAGAAGCTCTGTGAGGTCCCAGGGTCAGTGGTATCCTAGAGGGATGCTAGCTCCTGACCCTCAGGGAGTTGAACATACAGTCACAAAAAGGAACTGCATTAGCTTCAGGTCCTCCAAGAAACAAATGCCAATGTGGGATTAAGTGTGCAAAGATTTAGTTAGGGGAAAGGCCTCTGTGAACAAAAATAGAGAGGAAGAAGGGAGAGGCTAGAGAGCTGCAGATGGTTATATAAGTCCAATCTTGAGTGACAACAAAAGAAGAGAAGGCTGGGCAAAAGCTTCCTAGACTGCCACGTAGTCTAAATAGGGTTTGGCAGAACTGCTGGGGGTGGTCCTTGAGCCAAAGGTAGCGGTCTAAGGAGTCCTGTGTCTCCCAGGAGCAAGTTGGCTTTAGCTTTGCTTCTGTGCCCAGTTACTGGCCAGTGGGTAGTTGCCTGTTGGAGGCATGGCCTTGTTGCAAACACAATGATGGATATCAAATCACAGGAGCTGGAGCCCTAGGTCTTGCAGGGGTTCCCTGTAGTTGGAGGATAGCAAGGTGCAATTCTTATGGCCACCCTAGGGACATTAACGAAGGAACCACACAGAAGCTTGTGAGAGTCCATCCACATTAAGCACTAGGTAAAGATAGAAGGTTCTATGAAAACCTATGATGAGACTCAACCAGTGAGAAGGACAGAAAGGGCTCTCCAGGACATGACTGAGTTTAGGTAAGAAGGATTAGGCAAAGGGATGGGAATAGAATGAAGGAGGAGAATTTCAGCCAGAGAGAACTGATGCACAACGGACGCATAGAAGGAAGGATCTCATTGAAGGAACTTAAAATATGCCTGGTGGGAGCAGAGACAGCAAGGGGTGAGTGGGAGCTGAGGTTGGCAATGTAAACACTGGCCAGCCCTGCAGAACCCTGCATGCTAAGGAAAGATTTTTAGTGTCTGTTGTAAAGCAGTGAGAAACCACTGGAAGGTTATACATGTAATCAAATGTGCATTTGACAAAGAGCAAGGAAGCCAGTAGTGGCTCAGTCTGAGTCCTGAAAAGAAATTGCGTTCTTTTCTGTCAAGCTATGGAAGGAGAAGTGGGAAGATTTAGGAGTATATATCTGCCTTCATTGCTGCAAGAAGTCTCCATGTGATCTAAAAGTAGTTAGAATTAACTTTATCTGCCCACAAAATATACTTATATGAGCAATATTTAATGACACGCCAGTGAAAAGCAAGTAGACCACTGTCCCCCAGTCACCTGGCTCTCCCCCAAGGGGCAGTTGCTCTAATCTGGTTCACGTGCGTGCCTCCTTCAGAGCTGCTCCTCATATGAACAGCAGCACACCCTGGCTCCGGCACCTTATATTTTTTCACTGAATGTGTCCTAGTGATGCTGGAAGTCAACATGGTGAGGACCATTTCCACCTGCACCCTGGACACCAGCCCTCCATTATAAACCCTGGGATGCCGCGAGAGCCCAGATTTATGTCTGTGTGTGGAACACTGAGCTAGGCTCTCTTAAAGCTCTGCCTGGCCCACTTCCTGGCCTTTTTCCCTCTACCCAGATTCTATGGTTTACAGGAGGTCCCGTGGGAAGCACCGTTTCTCCTCAAATCAGCAAAGGTTGCAACATCAGCTTCCTCTCTCCAACCTGTCTTTGGTGATCTCAACCTTTATAGAAAATTAAGTCTTTGTATTCTTCCCAGAAATGGCAGAAGGATTCCCTCTGTGGCTTAGGGTAGGTGGAGGAGGCTAGGATATGGGTGAGGTGAAATAGGAAGCAATTTCTTTCCCTTCCTCTTTCTTCCCTCCCTCCTTTCTTTCATCTTTCCCTCCTTTTTTCCCCTCTTCCCAGGAGTGTTTCTTGAATACTTCCAATGTCTCAGACTTGAGTCTAGACACTAAAGACTAAAAGTACAAAAAAGACTATAGTTGACACCATAGCAGACCCCACAAATCATGCTTCTGTCCACATGGAGTTTATATTACAGTTGTGGAGAAAGACAAAAAAAATGTTTTCAGGAAATAAGTCTCCTGAAGAAAAATTAACTAGAGTAAGTGAATAACATACACCACCAAGGACTATTGTTTCAGTAAGACCAGCCAAAGAGGCATCTGAACTTTATGTTCATTGCAACACCATTCACAATTGCTGAGATATGAAAGCAACCCAGGTGTCCAACATCAAGTGAATGGATAAACTATGATTTTAAATCTATAAAGTAGTATTTCATGTCAATTTTTAATATTTCCAAGTCAAGGGCCTTGGGTTATTGAAGGTTTGATCAGAGAAGTAGGACAACAATAAGTAATGGATACTAAAGAATTTGCCATGGGATAAGACCTTTATACCATTATGGGAGCTGGTGGAGAAGCCTATGCAGGGCTGTTGTCTCAGTGACTGTCACTACAGCTCATTCAGGGCACTAGATACAATTGTATCCCATTTTAAGGGTACAAAGTATCATTTTGGCAATAGATACATTGCATCTCATTTTTTGTCTCAGTTGAAGACAAAAGCTAGACTCAAAGCAAGACAGAAAAGGACAAACTGGAATCCATAAGGCCATTCCTTCCAAGCTCAATGATTTGATGACAATACAGGAGAGCTGTGCCAAGGGGCTGCGCACATACCTGGCCCAAGACTCAGAGAAGCCTGAGGAAGTGATCTGGTGGGAGCTTTGGGAGTCATGGGCCTGTGTTCTGCCTCCAGAAGATCTCTGAGGATGTGAGCAAGCTGCCACAGAGCCTGGTGCCCCGCGGTAACCTTCAGAGCAAAACAATGGGTGCTGCTTCTCGTCCTGCTTCCAAATCCCATGGAGACTTACTATTGCAGGCCCTAGATGAGAACCAGGCAGGGAAGGGAATTCTGAAAAATGTGGCTCCTGTTTGCTGGGTTAACCCAGTACAAGTCTCCACAGACTTGCATTTATGTCTGAAGTACCTTCTTCAGAACCAAAACCAGAGGATGGAGGTCTCCAAAGAGCCACTCATAAAATTAGCTAATTAAGGGGGTTCTGTCACAGGGGAGACTATTTTGTTTCCTAGTTGGAAGCCCCTTATGCACTGTGCTTGCTGATATGGCTGGGGTTCTTGGAGCAAGCAATGAAGCTTTGGGGGATGTATTAGTCCATTCTCACGCTGCTATAAAGAACTACCTGAGACTGGGTAATTTATGCATATAATTTTACTCATAAATATTTTAAAACATTTCTTGTTAAATGGATTATTGCCTATTATTTTGTTGTCATTGTAGGTAGGGATTTCTGCATTATGTTTCCCAATTATTTGTTTCTTCTATCTTTAAAGATGATGTACTCATGAATATTGATTTTATACATCAACTTCTAAGTGAATTATCTTTTGCATTTTTTTGTTTATTCTCTTAGAATTTCCACTTTTATAACCAGCTCATCTATACATAGTAATAAATATACTTCTCTTTCAAATATTACACCCCTAATTTATACCCAGAAGTGGGATTGCTGGATCACCTGGTAATTTGATTTTTAGTTTTCTGGGGAACCCCCATACTGTTTTCTATATTCATTAATAAGCCTGATTTAATCATTCTGCATTGTAAATATATATCAAAACATTACATTGTATCCCATAAACATATACAACTCTTATTTGTCAATCAAAAATAAGATATTAAAAAATTAGAAAAAAGACTATAGTTGACACATGCCTAAATCCATGAGTCTTCAAAGAAGTGAGGTAGGTGGGATAAATACTATGCTATATACATATGTGTATACATGGTTCTGCTATCATGTTATACATGTGTTACTAAAAGTCACTGTACTATTCACAATCATAGAACAAAAATCAGAGTCACAACACTAAAAAACTTTATCAGTGACATATTAGAAAAGAAACACTGTAGCACCATTTTATATGTACAAAATGGTTAAGAAGTAATACTATAAAAATATGCTTTACATATTTATTATACTGGTTTACTGTGTATGGGTTACTGAGACGTGTAGAAGGAAGACGATCTGATAGGGGATGAGTGCCCCAGTTGGATGCCCCTATCCACAGGCTTCAGCGAGGTCAAGGACCAGGAAGGAGGTCATTGTCATACTTCCTCAAGGTGAGAAGTGGCACTGGCTCATGACAGGCTGGTGGCTGTGGAGGAGGTGAGGAGTGTGGGAATTGTGGATGCATTTGATGGTGGAGCCAATTTGATTTGTTGATGAATTGGACATGGAGTGTGGCAGAAAGGGCAGAGTTGTAGTTAATGTCAATGACAGGGAGGAGTAAATGATTTCAAGATCTTTGCACATGTTTAATCTCTAGAACAGCTCCCTTTGTTCATAAAAGGAGATGAGTTTAGCGTATAAACTCATATAGAGCAGGTCACATGGCAAAGATGCTGAGCAAGCAGGTCCTGGCATCAGGCAGGTCTGGTCTTTAAATATTCTGGATCTGGGTGACCTTGGGCAACTTATTTCATCTCCTCAGGACTCTCAATTTCTTTAGCTATAAAATAGGTCATAATAGTCTCTACCTCACATAGCTTTGACAAGGATAAAATTCAGTAATGCCATAAAGAAACAAAACTATGCCCTGCACATGGGGGGAAACACCAAAAAAAAAACCACCCACATTATAATGATTAAGATGAAAGAATTCACATTTTGTTTGAATTACCTCTTGGGACAGAGTCTGACTATCAAAAAGGGGAGACAGATTGATCTGGCAAATGCTCAGGATTGGACAAAGTATCAGGAAAATGGGTTGACTCTGTCCCTGGATAAGGCAATTTGTTTTTCTGGCATCAGTTGCATCATCTGTAAGTGCATTGTGAATCTCTATCTCATATGGGTTTGGGTGACCATCAAGTAAATACAACCCCATTTAAAGTGTCCAGCACCATGCTTGGCATATAGCACTCAATTGATGTTAGCTGACTCTTAAATTGAATGAGTATATTAGGCACTAGTCAGGGACCTTTTATGTGGTTTAATGAGAGGAACATCTTGAAACAGGATTTAAAAATCTGCACAATGTAGCCTTTTCCAAATGACCGTAATTATAATTGCTAATAACTCTGCCCTGGCATTTCCTAGAGCCATAGCCCTGTCAGGTTGAAAAAATAGTAATATTTAAAAAGATTGGTCATCAGACCTTAATATATTTATTTCACAAAGTCTTCAGGCTGCCTAGCAACCATTGAAGTTTCTATTCTTTTAAATTATTTTCCAAATGTCACCTAGTCACTAAAACCCACGTTCCATCCTGCTGGAGGAAAAAAGAGTGTTTAGTGGTTCGTGATGCTGATATTACCACTCCACTTCCCACCCTTCGTTAGGGAAACAAAATCCTGCCACAGGGAGCACTGTTGATTAGCAAGTCTCCCTCTGAATTAGTATTTTTCATCTCTGCCACGTGTCCTGTTCATACATTGATTATTTATTCTGCTTCCTAGGATGATCTCTGAATAGCACTAGAGAAAGTATTAATAAGTACCTCACATGAAAAGGTAGAAGAAACAACCCCTCAATCCTATCTGTACCTCCTTCAAGGCACCACATGGAGCTGAGGCAGAGTGGGTATTCCCAGAGCACCTGCTCAGCTCACACAAACTGAGCCCTGGAGAGAGGAGGGCCCTTGTCCGGGCAAACTTACAGATCCAGTGCCAGAATTGAGGTTAGGATTCATGCCCTTTGGCTTCCAATTTCCTAGTGTTCCTGTGATCTGTGCTGCCTTTTGGAATATGTATAGCATTTTGAGGAGCTCAGTCTTGAAGATATTTGGGCATGAAAACTCGGTGTGCACATAAGCTTCAGATATGACCACAGCATAAGCTTGTCAGGGTCGGAAAGCAGTCTAATTCATCCATCTTTACGTAACTCTGATATTGGCTGGAGCATTCCTGCAGCTTTCTAGGTAAAATTGTCTTGGCATCCCAAATTCCACAGCATGTGGAAGTCCAAAAATCTCCCCCAGCTTTAGACAAATTTATAAAAAGTGTTAACTTTCTCTTCCTCCTCTTTCCACTGGGCTCTACTTCCTTGTATTCAGTCTTGTTATTCTACTGTATTAATTCAAATATGACTCATTCCTTAATCTGTTTTCTCAGAGAAACAAAAATACACGAATTTCAACTGCAAAATACACTTCATAAGAAGAATTGGTTCTACTGAAGATCTGGGGTGGGAAGATTGATGGTGATAGCAGGAAGAACTCAGGTTGCTTGACATATCATAAATAAAATCACAGTAAATATTTGAGTTTAAAAACATTATCTTAGAGCATTGTCCCCCCAGAAATTCCACTTTAGTCTGTGCTTCTCCTAGTACAAATACTTTTGGGTACCACTGAAAGCCAGACACTAGGAGCTGAATATACAGAACAAAATAGGCAGGATTTCCCTGTTTGATAAGTTAGAATATATTTTAGGGGGCAGATTTTAAGCATCATGTAAATAGCAACACAACTGTAAATAGTTCCTAAGTCCTGGGGAGAATTCCAAGAGTGAAAAGGAGTGCACAAAATCTCTTAAGGTCTAGGCTCAGATGTAACACAAAATTCCACCATATTCTATCTTATTGTAAGTTCAGCCCATGCTCAGGGGGTAGGGAAATAGATGACACCTCTGTACAAGAGGTTCTAGCTGAGGGTCTGATTGAAAAGTGCATGGCTATAGGAACGAGTGGAGAACTGGGTGAAAATCCTAGAGTAGCTTCTTCAGAACCAAAACTAAAGGATAGAGGTCTCCAAACAGCCACTAATAAAACTGGCTAATTAAGGGGCTTCTGTCACAGGGGAAGACTATTTTGTTTCCTAGTTGGAAGCTCCTTATGCACTGGGCTTGCTGACATGGCTGAGGTTCTTGGAGCAAGCAATGAAGCTGTGGGGGATGTATTAGTCCATTCTCACACTGCTATAAAGAACTACCTAAGACTGGGTAATTTACAAAGAAAAGAGATTCAATTGACTCACAGTTCCAAGGCTTAACAGGACACATGAATGTGAGGCCTCAGGAAACTTACAATCATGGCAGACGGTGAAGGGGAAGTAAGGACCTTCTTCACATGGTTGCAGGAGAGAGAGAGGGGAGTGCTACCCACTTTTAAACAACAAGCTGTCATGAGAACTCACTCACTATCATGAGAACAGCAAGGAGGAAATCTGCCCCCATGATTCAATCTCCTTCCACCAGCCTCTTCCCCTTACAGGTGGGGATTACAATTCACGATGAGATTTGGGTTGGGACACAGCCAAACCGTGTCATTCCATCCCTGGCCCCTCCCAACTCCCATGTCCTTTTCAAATCTCAAAACACCATTATGCCTTCCCAGTAGTCCCCCAAAACTTAACTCATTCCAACATTAACTCAAAAGTCCAAGTCCAAAGTCTCATCTGAGACAGGAGAAGTCTCTTCCACCTATGAGCCTGTAAAATAAAAAACCAGCTCGTCACTTCCAAGATACAGTGGGGGCACAGGCATTGGGTAAATGTCCCCATTCCAACTGGGAGAAATTGGCCAAAACAAATGAGCTACAGGCCCCATGCAAGTCTGAAACCCAGCAGGGCAGTCATTAAATCTTAAAGCGCCAAAATAATCTCCCTTGACTCCATGTCTCACATCTGGGGCACACTGATGCAAGGGGTCAGCTCCCAAGTACTTGGGCAGGTCTGCCTCTATGGCTATGCAGGGGACAGCCCACATGGCTGCTTTCACAGGCTGGCATTGAGTGCCTGCAGCTTTTCAGGGCTCACAGTATGAACTGTTGGTGGATCTACCATTCTGGGCTCTGGAGGACAGTGGCTGTCTTCTCACAGCTCCATTAGACCATGCCTCAGTGGGAACTCTGCATGGGGTCTCCACATTTTCCCTCCTCACTGGCCTAGTAGAAGTTCTCCATGAGGGCTCTGCCCTTCCAGCAGACTTCTGCCTGGACATTCAGACATTTCCATACATTCTCTGAAATCTAGATGGAGGTTCCCAAACCTCAACTCTTGCCTTCTGTGCATGTGCAGGCCCAACACCACGTGAATCCAGACAAGGCTTGGGGCTTGCACTTTCTGAAGCCCAAGCTGTACCTTGGCCCCTTTCAGCCATGGCTGGAGCTGGAGTGGCTTGGACACAGGGTGCCATATCCTGAATACAGAGCAATGGGGCTGGGATCATGAAATCATTTTTCCCTCCTAGGCCTCTGGGCCTGTGTTGGAGAGGTTGCTGTGAAAATCTCTGAAATGCCCTGGAGACATTTTCCCCATTGTCTTGGCTATCAACATTCAGCTCCTCAGGACCTATGCAAATTTCTGCAGCTGGCTTGAATTCTTCCCTAGAAAATAGATTTGTCTTTTCTACCGTATGGTCAGGCCACAAATTTTCCAAACTTTTATGCTCTGCTTCCCTTTTAAATGTTAAGTTCCAATTTCATGCCATCTCTTTGTGAACACATATGACTGTATGCTGTTAGAAGCAGCTAAGCCACAATATGAATGCTTTGCTACTTAGAAATGTCTTTCTACTAGATACCCTAGATCATATCTCTCAAGTTCAAAGTTCCACAGATTTCTAGGGCAGGGGCAAAATGCTGCCAGTCTCTTTGCTAAAACATAGCAAGAGTGACCTTTACTCCTGTTCCCAATAAGATCTTCATCTCCATCTGAGACCACCTCAGCCTGGACTTTGCTGTCCATATCACTATCAGCATTTTGGTCACAATTATTCAACAAGTCTCCAGGAAGTTCCAAACTTTTCCACATCTTCCGGTCTTCTTCTGAGCCCTCCAAAGTGTTCCAACCTCTGCCGGTTAACCAGTTCCAAAATTGCTTGCACATTTCCAGGTATCTTTATGGCAGTACCCCACAGCCTGATATCAATTTTTTTATATTGGTCCATTCTTACACTGCTATAATGAACTACCTGAGACTAGGTAATTTATGAAGAAAAGAGGTTTTTAATTGACTCACAGTTCTGCAGGCCTAACAGGGAGCTTGATCAGGAGCCCTCCAGAAACTTACAATCATGGCAGAAGGTGAAGGGAAACCAAGGACCTTCTTCTCATGGTGGCAGAAGAGAGAGAGAGACAAAGGGAGAAGTACTGTCCACTTTCAAACAACCAGATCTTATGAAAACTCACTCACCATCATGAGAACAGCAAGGGAGAAGTCCACCTCCATGATTAAATTACCTTCCACCAGGTGCCTCCCCTGACATGTGGGGATTACAATTTGAGATGAGATTTGGGTGGGGACACAGATCCAAACCATATCAGGTGAGTCTGGTCTGGTAGCAAGTTCAGGCAGAAAAAGGAAAGAGGACCACTCTCCTCATGTTTCCATTCCCAAGAATTATAGAAATGGACCCTACCAATTCATAGGCCCCAGAGTTTGGGTCCATGATAGTGTGAGATTGGGGGTTTCAGGCTGGCTGAGGACTCCCACACATGGGGCTGACAGGTGCTTGCAGCAGTGGAATGGAGTGCACCATGAGTCAGCCTTTAGAGGGCGAACAGGAAAAAATAGGCCTGTTTGTGAGGGAAACCTGTGCAAAGGGGGAATTGTAAAGCCAATGCTTGCCTTCCTCAAGCCCATCAGCAACAATCTCATCACAGGCAATCACTTATGGAGCTCCCTGCTCTTTGCTCCTTTCCCCAAAATGAATGGGAAGGAGGTGAGGGAACACTACATTCCCTAGCCTGAACACTACATTCCCTAGCCTCCCCATCGTGTTTGTGGGGCCACTAATGAAGCACCAATTGGCTTGCACAGATAGTGGGGTAATAAGGTGGGGTGTAGGGAACCTTGAGTAGGATACGAAATAGAAGTACGAAAATGAATAGATGAGGTATAATAATTTAAACATGATGGCTTCAGTAACCAAAAATGACTAAAAATACCCTTGAACCTTACTCGGATGCTAAAAACCAAAAACAAGAACCTGAAACACAGCCCAAGGGGAAGAAAGATTTTTCACCAGAGAAAAAGTATAACTGTTTCATGTCTGTCTCCAGCATATTTAGGCTTCTTCCTAAAACTGCAACTTAATGATTATAATATCGATTATCATCATAATGATATGTCAAGAGGCTTTCCTGGGTAACATCAATCTCTTATTTTCTTCCTTTGAAATTACCTCCACGTTTATCCTCTTTAAATATCTACAGGTAGAGGCTACAGGGAATGAATGAGGACTTTTGAAATGGAATTTTATTTTTTTCTCTTACACTTCTGCTGTGAGTTTTAAGTTATCGCAAAGTAGTAGCCTTAAAATGTCTCATCTTCTGACGGTTTATCGTTAATCATAATATCCATGAGTGTCTTTCTGGAAAGAAGAGGAGGAAAGATATTTTCCCAGCAGCAGAAGAAATTAATGGAAAAAGTAGATGAATATCAAGGGAAAGATTAGTTCTGCTGGAAACAAAACAAAAAACCATTTAAGAGACAGACATGAATAAAAGGCAATGCAGGCTTTTGTGGAGAATTTAATCCACTTCTCACAAAGGAATCAAACTACAGAAGAGTGAGGACCAAGGGCATTCTTAATGAATTCATCATTTTTTGTTCATTAAAAATTTAAAGTTGATAAATACTAGATAGTTAAAGTAGTAAGTGGAATTCATTACATATAATAAACTGACACTTGAATACTTGATGTATATTGAATCTGGCTGGTGCTGATTTTCTATAAATACTAACATTTAGTGATTGTCCCTGAGCTATTCATTAAATTTCAAAAACCAATGAATAATGAATAGAAAATCCATTTGTTCATTAACTTAGAAAATAAAAAAAAATCTCCCTCCCTGTTATGTCTTTGATTAATTTGGCTTGGAAACAAGTTAGCAGGTCCATAAATATTACTTCAGGGTAGTATCTGGCTCAGGAACCACTGTTTTATGGATTTGAGAAGGGATGTGAGCCTGTCTGTACTTAATCAGTTAGAACCTGGCCTGGCAATGGTGGGCTACCTAGGACTTGATTCAAGTCAGTTTTGCTACAGTGAAGAGCTGAGGATCATCGCATAACACAGTTCAGTATGTACCTCTCTGGCAGTGCTTTAGTAAAGCATGGTCATTTTTCTAGAAGCAATTTACTGTCTTTAGTGGTGGAAATCTCCACATGGACCGGGAGTAGAAGCATATTTCAGATGCATCCAACAGATCCAGATCCAATATAGGGCACCTCTGCAGACTCCCTTTATATTTGTCGTTGCAAAGATGCCCCCATCACTTTGGCCTGGTTTAGTTTTATTAAAAACTCTTCCATTCATGCGTCTATGTATTGATCCGTCCCTGCATCTATAAATCCATTCAATAAAACAAATACTTGTGGAGAACCTGCTGTGTGCAGACACTCTTCTGAGTACTGTGAGCAGAGCCACAGACAAAATAGGCAAAGTATTTGACCCAAGGAACTTACATTCTAGTGGGGACAAATGATCAGAGAAATAAACCAGACAATTTCATATGGTGACAGATGCAAAGAAGAACACACACAGGGTTCTAGGATAACAGGGATAGACTGTACACAGACTTCAGGGCATTGTGTGGAATAGCCAGAGCCCAGAAGTGGGGAACATCAGGGCGGTCCCTTCCTCCCTCTCCAGCCAAGCTGAAAAGAGGTAGCAAAAGAGACACGGAGAGAACAAGACAGAGAGGGAGAGGGTGAAACAGGAGTCATGGGGAAAGGTTAAAGAAAGCAAGGAGATGGGATGAGAGGAGAGAACAGAGATGGGAAGCATTTCACACATTGTCCTTTTTAATTATTATGAACCAGAGAAAAGAAAATTGAATATCTGAAAGAGAAATCAGTTACTAAAGGCTAGGTAAGTAGGAGGGAACCAGAGGGGAAAACGGCTTTCAAAGGGAAGAAAACTGGACAGAAGGAGAAGGTGAAAGAGAAGTGGGGTAGTGAGGACTGAGCAAGGTGTTGAAGGGGAGCAGAAAAGGGGAGGAGAAAGGAGGGGGAAGAGAGGAGACAGAGGGAGACAGGGAGAGAGAACGGAGATAGGGAAAAAGAGAGGGAGATGGAGAGAGGAAGAGAGAGAAGGAGAGAGAGGAGAGTGAGAGGGGAAAAATGAGAGAGAGAGAGAACATGAGCACACTAGAAAAGGAAGAGTCAAGTGAGAGCTTTTAGAGAAGAAATGATAAGGGAAAATCCCAGGGAAGAGAATTATTTGGGTGGGAGATGAGAGAGTAAGAGAGGAACAAATTAAAGAGTGATGGAAAGAGAGACAGTTTATAAAAGTTAAGGAAGAAAGAAACACATAGATGTAGCAAAGGAAACACTGGGATTTAGGCAATGAGGCAAAGTAAGGGAGAGTGGGATAAAGAGAAAATGCAAATGAAAACAAGAGAGCTAAAGACTTAGAGCAAAACCAGGGGCATGGGCAGCAGCACCAGGCCATCGTTAGAACTTCCTGGGGAAGGCCCGGCATGGTGGCTCACACCTGTAATCCCAGCACTTTGGGAGGCCGAGGCGGGCAGATCACGAGGTCAGGAGATCAAGACCATCCTGGCCAACATGGTGAAACCCCATCTCTACTAAAAAAATAGAAAAAGTAGCCGGGCATGGCGGCATGTGCCTGTAATCCCAGCTACTCCTTGGGAGGCTGAGGCAGGGAGGTGGAGACTGCAGTGAGCCACTGGGGAAGGTAGGGAGGACGGAACCATAACCAGGGCCATCCCTGCTGTGCACTGTCCCCACCAACATTGTACCCCCTTTCCTGCTTCTGTCCTCTCCTCCCTAGATTATTTCTGAGTGCCCTATCTCACCCTTTCCTTTCTCCCCAAGCATGACCCTCCTGCCTTCCTGGGGCTCTGGGTTAGGCTACTTCTCCACACACCCCAGGCCCCATTCAGCCTGCATGGCTGCTGTGAGGTGGAATCAGGCACAAATTGCAAAGAAAACAATCAGAAACTTAGACTGACAGCTCCACTGGAGGCTTCCCTATGACACAGTGATATGGCTTGGATGCTTGACCCCTGTAAATCTCATGTTGAAATGATCCCTGATGTCGGAGGTGGGGCTTGGCAGGAGGTGTTTAGGTCCCAGGGATGGATCTGTCATGAATAACTTCGTGCTGTCCTCACAGTAATGAGTGGGTTTTCACTCCATTAGTTCACTCGGAACTGGTAGTTGAAAAGAGCCTGGCACTTCCTCCTCGTTCTTGATTCCTCTTTCACCATGTGATGGACTTGCTTCTGCTTCACCTTCTGCCACGAGTAAAAGCTTCCTGAGGCCTCACCAGAAGCTGAGCAGATGCTGGCACCATGTTTGTAGAGCCTGCAGAAATGAGAGCCAAATAAACCTCTTTTCTTTGTAAATTACACAGTCTCAGGTACTATTTTGTAGCAATGCAAAACAGACTCATACATGGAATTAACCTTTTCTCCAGCCACAGCGACTCATGGTCCATGCTAGAGTATCCTTTCTCCAGCCCAAAGGCTCACCAGCTGTTTCTTCATTTGTGTGGTTGCTGTCTTTCTCCACCTGCTAGGATTTCATTTTGTCTGTTGTTTGTTCACTTCTGTATCCCTAGCACCGAGACCACCACCTGGTGAAGGTCAGCTGCTTAGTAACTATACGTAGGCTAAACAACAGGAAATTCTTTCTACCTCAAGCTGGATAAGATCTAGGGTGATTTTCAGCTGGAATATCCCACCAGGCAGAATTCTAAAATGACCCTCCTCTTTAACTTGTATAGTCCCTTCTCCCAAGTGTGAACAGGACTGCAACCTGATTCTAACAAAGGGAACTTTGCAAAGCTGACGAGGTACCATGCCTGTGACTATGTTCCCTTACTTGGCAAAGGCCAAAGGGTTTCACAGACATAATGAAGGTCCATAATCAGTTGACTTTATGCTAATCCAAATGAAGGTTGTCCTGGGTGCTCATGACCTAATTGAGTTATCCCTTTAAAAGAATATCTGGAACTCAAAGACTTGTTCTCCCACTGGCCTTGAAGAAGGAGGCTTCCATCACTTATTCAGCTTCAAGGAAATAATTTTTTTCCAACAAACTGAGAGAGTCTGGAAGTGAATCTTTCCAGATGAGAAGGCAGCCCAGTCCAATCTTGTGGAGCTCTGAACTTATGCCCATACTCCTGACCCAAGCAATAGGTCAGGAGACCTATTTTAAGCCTCTAAGTTTGTGGTGATTTGTTATGAAGCAATAGAAAACTGATAACACCATTCCATTCCATGCTGTCCACTGTGAATAGGAAAAGGAGAAACTTATTTCCCATTGCAGGTCAGAAGTAGGGGAGCCATGATTCCTAGATTCTGCAAAAGAGGATATGTCAAGCTGATGGCAGGTGTATGTTATACCTAGGAATATACAGATTTTTCAAAATGTGACTTTATTCATCCCAAAGATACACATTTGTGGCCAATAATCAGTTAGAGGTGGACTGAAAAACACAGATTGTTGTTTGATAATAGCTGATAGATCTTGGTTATGACATTTCATTTTCCTGACTTTCAGTTTCCTCATCTGCTTTAAACAAGAAGAAAAGGAAAAATAAGAGTGTATTATTTTCTATGGCTGCCACAACAAAACTACCTCAAATGTAGTGGCTTAAAACACACATTCATTACCTTACTTTTCTGAAAGTTAGAAGTTGTGCATGTCTCTCGCTGGGCTAAAATTGAGATGTGGGAAGGGATGTGTGCTTTCTAGAGGAAAATCAATTTCTTTACTTTTAAAAATCATTCTCCAGCTTTTAAAAGCTGCCACACTCCTTGGCTCATGGCCCCTTCCAATATCTTCAAAGCCAGCTTCAGCAGGTGGAGCCCTTTTCACATCTTATCATGCTGACCTTGCTGCCATGTTATTGTCTCTTTCTCCAACTCTCTTTTCCTTTTTAAAGAACAATCCTGCTATGTAGGGTCCACCTGGATAATCTCCCTATTTTAAAGTTGGCTGATGAACAACCTTAATTCCCCTTTGCCATGTAATCTAGCATATCACAGCTTCCAGGGATTAGGATGTAGCCTTCTTTGGGAGTGGTATTATTCCACTTACCACATCTTACAGAATTGCTATAAGAATCAAATGAGCCATTGAAAGTCAAATGCCTTGTATAGTGTCTGGTACACACTAAGGGCTTAATAAATTGTAGCAGGCATTGCTGTCTGTGGTTTCCAAATCTGATCCTCTTATTGAACTTGGGAAGTAGGCTGCATAGGTGTTATCACCCCCATTTTATAGAAGAATGTATTGCAGCTCAGAGAGGTGATAAATCTTGCCCAAGGTTACCAGCCTGCCAGCAAGTGGAAAGGTAGGCTTTTTCAGATCTGCCACAATAGATCTTGCCTTAGAATTCTGGGGCAGGATGAAAGCAAAGTCCTGAATGACAAAGCAGTTTCTGGCTTTTAAGAAATGACTTCAAAGCCCCCAGTCGTGCCTCTCGGCCGGGCTGTGCCAAAGCTCTAATGGAAGGCATTAGTCAAATTGGAAACAGGCTGTTCTCATTAACCACAGAGGAAAACCCCATTTCACGCCCAGATGGAAAGCATCCCGCTGCTATCATCGAGCCTTGCTCCTCTTGCCTGCAGTCTCTCTGGGATTTATTCCCCGACCCTTACCTCTGGGCATTCACGGAAGACCCCACTGAGGATGTACAGCCTGAGTTTGGGAGGCACTCGGGCCATCACATGGGACTGAGCGTCCGATCCTCCATGCGCCATTCTGTGCTAACGGCAAGTTCTTGGAAGGGTTTGGAGTGTGGGCGACATGCTCACAGCGGGGCTGCAGGAACTGGGGTTTGCTGACAGCGGGATAAGTGGAGGCACCCCACTACAGTAGACACTGGGAAAGAGAAGAGAAGACAGAATCATGAAGTTTTTCACCAAATACTTCCTGAGTGCCATCTTGGGAGCTGAGCACTGGGGATGTAGAGATATTGAGACCCTGTCTTGGCCCTTAAGGAACTCACAGTCCAGTGTCCATCCAGGGCAGACAGATCTCTGTACCTAAGAAAGCCTGTGGAGGCCAGCCATCAGCTTTCCTCTTAGAGGTTATGGGGTGGTGGGTGCAAGGAAGGCAAGAAAGCACACTGGATTTATATCCAAACAATAGGTTTCAGTATCATTCTGTCATTTGAATCTCTAAACTCTGCGTGCCTGAAATGGCAATGACAGCAAGTCCCTGCAACCCTAGGTAAATGTGATGGCTGATGAGAGGGTGTGTTCCATCTTTCCAGAACCTATCTCCACTGAATTCTCTGTTGTATTCCTAGTCCCTGGAGCAGTGCCTTGCATGTTTTTCAAATGACGGAATAAAAGGAACTCCTGTGCAAACAATAACACGCTCATCAAATGCAAAGAATTTCCTAAATTTTAAAAGAAAAACTATGCACAAATTTGCATAGATAGTTCACTCTATCATTACTGAAAGCAATAAAATGTGGAAAAAACTTAATAATGATTAAATAAAAACAGGCATATACACTTGAGATATTTTGCAGGCAATTACAATTATGTTAAAAAATCTAGGCAAAGATGGAGAAAACATTTATCTTAAAAAGTAAAGAGAATAAAATGTAAATGTTAAATCTTATATACCATATTATCACTGCTGGGTAAAAAAAATTCTACAGAGTTTCTTGTCAAAATTTATAAAGAGGAAAATAAAAAGCTAAAGGAAAACATATTAAAATGTTAACAGAGTATGTTTCTGGCTGGTAAGTGAGTAATTTTATTTTCTTCTTCCTGCTTTGATGTAATTTCCAAATCTCATTAAATGAATATATATTACTTTTGGAATGGAACAAATAATGAACCCATTAAAATCATTGCAATGTTTCTTATTATGGCGTGTACAGTGAATATTTTCTTTATGCTCAGCTAACTAGGTGTTCTTATGCTCTGACTCATTGAAGATTGTACCTCCTTTACCAAGAAAATAAATTATAGACTCAACCAGTCAACCCATTAGCGTTTAGAATTCTAATCACTAGCATTTATTTGTCATTGAACAATAGCAGTTCGACATATTATCTCATTTGAGTCACAATTTCCTGCGGGGTTAGCCTTCTTTCAGTACCATAACTACTTTATTTTTGAGTTTTTCTTGTGTCCTCTCTGTACCAGGCATTGTTTGTAAGGGATTATTTTTATTCTGATAACAAACATGTGAGTAGAAAACAGAACTGATGCTCAAGAAAGTGACAGTGTCAAAATCATGAAGCTAACTGCAGGGTGCTGATATGGTTTGGCTGCGTCCCCACCCAAATCTCCACTTGAATTGTATCTCCCAGAATTCCCACGTGTTGTGGGAGGATCCAGGGGGAGGTAATTGAATCATGGGGGCTGGTCTTTCCCACGCTATTCTCGTTATAGTGAATAAGTCTCACGAGGTCTGATGGGTTTATCAGGGGTTTCCGCTTTTGCTTCCTCCTCATTCTCTCTTGCCACTGCCATATGAGAAGTGCCTTTCACTCTCTGCCATGACTGTGAGAACTTCCCCAGCCACGTGGAACTGTAAGCCCAGTTAAACCTCTTTCTTTTGTAAATTACCCAGTCTCTGGTATGTCTTTATCAGCAGCATGAAAACGGACTAATACACGTGCAGAACCAGGATTTGAACATAAACCTTTTGTCATCATTCATTCATTCATTCATTCATCCATCATTCATCTGTAAATAATGCATTTTCCCATATTTTAAAGGGCCGAATGTGTATCATGCTGAGAACTGTGTGAATTATATGAAATACCCAAGGAGATGGACTTGGTGAAGTGTCACCTCCCATCACTGTGAGCCTCTCTTGCTGCTTAGGCTGATGAGCAGCTGCCTTCCAGGAGTATTAGAGCAGGGCTCTGCCAAGTATCATAGGAACCCCTGGCTTTAGAGCCTTTCGCTGTTGCAAGATAACTTAGTAAACATCAAGATCATATGTTGGCATGACCGAGCCTAGCAAGGAGGTCTATCACTGGAATCTCAGCATCACACAGTCTTAGGGATCTGGGTCCTTAGGGAATCCTGGAGTTCCTTAGACCTGAGAATTAGACTGAATAAGACATTCCCACATTCTGGAACAGGGCCCACTCCCATGCCTACCTTGTGCTAGGTGCTGAGCTACCTCCTTATACTCACCTTCCTAGTAAATTTCCACAGCCCTATGAGGCGGGCATCATCCCCATTTTACAGATGAGAAAGGTCTGAGAGATGTGATGTGACGTGTGCAGGTTCATGGGGTCTCTAAGGGTCAGATTTGGGATCCAATCCCAAATCTGCTGGCTACAAAGCTGCTGCTCTTTTTCTCATTTCATGTGGCCTCCACCAGGCAGTGCCCCAGGGAGCATTGACCACTGGATGGCTGAGAGGATGCTGAGTGTCTCTCCAGGCATTGTAGGACAGCCCTAGCTTTGATTTCACTTGTTTGAATTTCCTGAGTTTAACCCTAATATGTAATTTTAAGAGCTACTGTTTTTCTGGCCTATTTTTGTTGGTGTGGCTTTAATTGCTGCTATTGTTTGTTTGCTTCTTGAGGGGATAAAACTGCAGGCCTTACATGGGAAGCTTTTTGATTTAATGTTGGTTCTTTGTTGTTTGGGTGCCTCCTTGCATCTGTGAAGAACCAAATCTGTTATACAACACATCACCATAGACCTCTGCACTCTTAACATCCTCATTACCACAACTCCAGATAAAGACCTTAGAAGGTTGTAGGCACTGAAAATAGTATAACGCTTTATGTGGGATTGAAATAAAAGCAGTAATAAACCATAAAAGTAAATGGAGAAAAGTCTCATTTGTTCTTATTCTGCTGCTGCTTTTGAGCATTCAGACATAAAATCTCTCCAAAAAAGTTTTTTCAAAGATTATTTTTAATGCCTCTGCTTTGCTGGTATCCCAAGCATGGAGCTAGTGTCATTAATATTGAATGATTAAACACAAATGAATTGAAAACTTCACGATATGATTTTCAATTAATTATTGTTTTGTTTGTCCCAGAATGTAGGTCAATGCGCACAGGCATGTGAGTGTCTCATACACACACACACACACACACACACACACACACACACTGGGCCAGGGCTTTCCTCCAAGGCCTTACTAAAACTCAGAATGTGCAGTTGACTTTTCACCCCAGTGCACTGTCTAAGGATCCTCTAGAAGAAGGAGATCAGAATAGATGACATATTCCTTGTAATCATAACAGTGTCTGTTGATTGAACACATGCTATGTGCTAGTCCTGGTACCAGGAACTTCTCATTCTCCAGCTCATATAGTCTCCATTACTTGCAGTAAGGGATGTGGTTATTAAGCTTTCTCGTAAGTGAGAAAATTGCAGCTCATAGAAGGAAACTTCTCACTCATGGGTGATTTCTTACCCAGCAGAGGTCCTGAGTGGGGACTTTGGGACACTAGGCCCACCCACTTTCCCTTTAAGTTCAGTGAACTCCTTCCAGCTCCCTGGGATCACAGCTTCCTCTCCTAGGCTCTCACACTTCATCTCTTTGGTGATTTCTTCTACAACACTAACTAGGGGCATCCCCCAATGGCTTCTGTCCCTTTCTTCCGTAGAATATGGGGTTGGCTAATACACTTTTTCTATAAAGAGTCAGACGCAAATAGTTAAGGATCTATGGGCCACACAGCTACTGTGACAACTACCCAACTCTGTCGCTGTAGCAGAGATGGCCAAAGTCAATCCATAAATGAATGGGTGTGGCTGTGCTCCAAGAAAGCTTTCTTCATAGAAACAGGCGACCAGCCCACTCACTATAGTTGGCTGACTTCTCTGTAGAGGGGATCACGCGATGAAGCTCTGATTGAGATGAGAGTGAGAGTCAGTGTCAGCTTCCTGCCATTTTCCTTAGAGAGGGCTGCCTCTTCTCCTTCCCTTCCTCCATTCTGTGGCCTAGAATCCAAATGCCACCATGTTGCACCGTGTGGATCACATTGCACTTTTGGTTGAGTGTGAGTTGCCAGGAGCCTGGGTCCCTGAAATCTTTGTGAATCCAAGCTGGACTGTAAGTCCTGAAATGTTTCCCTCATGACTGAATAAAATTGAGAGAAATAACTTTGCCTTTTACCAGCCACTGCCATTTTGGGTTTTCCTTCACTCAGAGCTGAACTGTATCCTAATTAATATTTGGGTGAAGCCAGGTTCACAGGTCCCCAACTTATAATGGTTCAAAAGATTTTTCCCTTTTACAATGGTGCAAAGTGTTACACATTCAGTGTGTTCCTCAACTTACAATGGGGTTATACCCAATAGATTCATCATTAATTGAAAATATCCTAAGTTGAAAATATGCTTCTATAAGTTGAGGAGCATCTGTATATGTTTTGTAGAGTCCACCTTCTTCAGATCTTTTAAACACCTAGAGTGACGTTTCGGCCATCTCTGACCTTCCAGCACCCTCTTCATGATTTCCTAAACTTCAGCTTAGCAATTGCATTTCCACATTCTCTCAGTGCCTTACAATATCCTGCCTTCCTTCCACTCTTGAACAAATATTTATAAAACATTGTATGCTGAGAGCAGCTCAAGACATCAGGGACGTAACTATAAATGAGAGAGGCACGGTACAGATTCTCGTGGAGCTGCTCTGGCAGTCCCAGGAGTGACTCCTTTCATTTTCCTACTGCTCTTGGGCTTGTCGTTTATTTATTGATCTCATTTTTTTCTTTTCATTTTTTTCCTGTTCTCCCCTTATAAAGCCTTTGCCCTCTGACCTGGGTATGGCTCTAACTCACTGTTGCATCAAAGGTTCATCTCTTTGTCCTTCTTGACCTCACTCTTTCCATACCTGTGAGCTTTATAAAACATAAACCAGACGATGTCACTCAATTGCTTAAAACCTTTCAAACACTTTCCATCACACTAAGAATAAAATTCCAAAATCCTACCACATGGCCTATAAATGCCACGCAGTGTTGGCCTAGCATAGTGTCTGATACAAAATAGGTGCTCATTAAATACTACCAAATGTTGACAAGGTAATGATGAGCTTGAAAAGGATTATCCCCAGATCTAATATGTGAGACTTTACTTTTTTCCTTTCCTTTTTCTTTTCCCTTTCCTTCCCTTCTTCCTTTCCCTTCCCTTCCTTTCTTCCCTTCTTCCCTTCCTCCCTTCCCTTCCCTTCCCTTCCCTTCCCTTCCCTTCCTTCCTTCTTCTCCACTCTCAGTTTGTGTTTATGTATGGAGGAGAACATAATTTGATGGAAAGGATGTTCCCTTCCCCTTCCCTATCCATCCGTCCTTCCTTCCTTCCTTCTTTCCTTCCTTCCTTCCTTTCTTCCTTCCTTCCTTCTCCACTCTCAGTTTGTGTTTGTGTATGAAGGAGAATATAATTTGATGGAAGAGGACGTCTTTAGGCTGAGCCACTCACTTCTTAGCTGGTGGTAGTGGTAGTAGCAAGATTTTGAACCATGGGGTCAGTGATATAGATTCTACTCTTCATGTCTGAGTGCTCCTGGGCTGGACGTTACATTCATGAGTCTTGCTCTCCTCATTTCTTAAATGGGTATGGCAATGTCTACTTCACAAGGTTAGTGGAGTAGTTAAGAAGCTCTTGTATATGTGGCACTGAGCATAGTTTCTAGCAAGAGTGGGCCCCTAACATACATCCTTCTGTGCCTCTTCTGGCTCCAGTTTCTATTCTTTTTTTTTTTTTTAAATGTTGGCAACTAAATTTTATTTTATTTTTTTATTATACCTTAAGTTTTAGGGTACATGTGCACTACGTGCAGGTTTGTTACATATGTATACATGTGCCATGTTGGTGTGCTGCACCCATTAACTCGTCATTTAGCATTAGGTATATCTCCTCATGCTATCCCTCCCCCCTCCCCCCCACCCCACAACAGGCCTCGGTGTGTGATGTTCCAGTTTCTATTCTTTATCTGCCCTTCAAGGCCGAGATGCAGCTACTTAAGCTCTCTCCAGGATGTAGCTGCTGAACAAGCTCCTCTCTGGCTTACCAAATCAATGGAGTAGGATGACTTGGAAAGACCTCCCCCTTCCCATGGAGTATACCATGAGTACCAGATCAGCCTGAGGGAGAATGGGGTATGGGAAGTAGCACTTCAATGACAGGGCTGCAAAAACCCCAGGAATCAAAACAGGTGGTTCACCTCTTTGAGTTCCTTGGGGCAGGAACTGTTAGTTACCCATCTTTGTACCCCTGTTACCTGGCACAGTGTTGAGGTTGATGCCAGTATTCCCAGGCAAGGTCACATAGGTTGAAGGCTATGCAAGTCGACAATTGCCACTCATTATTACAGACCATGGGAAAGGTGCCCTCCCAGCTGTGCAAGCCACAACCTCTGTGGCTGTCTGCTGCATCCTAGAATCAATGGTAGCAATTGTTGTTATTCCAAAGTGCTGACATTGCCTTGGGCATGGGGGATGGGGGAGCTGAACTAGAACTTGGGTTTTGCTGAGATGTTAATGCTGATGGCATGACTCACTGTGGCCCTGGCCAGGTCCATCAACTGCTCCCAATTTAATCAGATCTCAGCTCAGGGGGGGCCTTTTCCTGGCATCATCTAATGGAAAATCTCTCTTAGATCTTAATGACTTTCAGCCATGGTAACTGGAGTGCATGAGCCCATGCATTCATCTCCTATTGCTGCTGTAGCATGCTACCATGATCTTAGTGGCTTAACACAAATTTATTCTCTAACAGTTCTGGAAGTCAGAAGTTCAAAATGGGTCAGAGGGTCTGGGTTCCTTTTGGAGGCTGTCGGGAAATGTCTGTTTCTTGCCTTTTCCAGCTTCTAAAGGTCACTTGCATTTTTGATTCATGATCTTGCATTAATCCATCCTCTGCTTCTATCCTAACATCTGCTCTGATTCTCACTGTCTGACCACCCCTAGTAAGGACCTTTGTGATTACATGGAGCCCAGATATTCAGAATAATCTCCCCATCTCAAGATCATTTCACTGAATTACACTGGCAATGCTTCTTTAGCCATGCAAGGTCACATAAACAGGTTCTGAGAATTCATATGTGGATATCTTTGGGGTGGGGCATTGTACATAGCCCAACTGCCCCTCACCCTCTAACTCAAGTCAGAGGGCTCCACTTTGTTTCCCATATCCAATTTCCAGTTTAGCTTTTGTTCAAATAAATAGTTATGCAAGAGGAACAGCAAGTTGGTTTGAAATGTCAGGTGTCCGGGTGACCTACAGCTCTGAGATTACAAATCTCTTTGATTCAGAGCCTCACAATTGTCTCTCTCATGAAGTCTTCAGCAGACTGAGCATGCTGTCTTTGCCAGGCCTCTCCTCCAGAAAATAAGAGTCTAGTTCAGTGTGTCTGGGATGGGGCATGGGGCATGGGGCATGCTCATTACAATTGTAAGAACTCTAAAGGTGATCTTAGCACAAAAGGAGTTTAGAAGACAACTCTCCTTATACTGAGCATCCATATGGTTCATCTCTGAACCCCACCCTCTTGCACACCACCTCCTGGAAGAGGAAGAGGAAGAGGAAGGGGCAGGGGCGTGGGGACGCATTTACTAGAACCCACTGGATGCAGAGCACCTTGTCATACATACATAAACAATTTCACCCCCTTCTTACGACAATCTGAAGTGTTAGCATTGTCACCTCCATTCGAAAGAAAAAAGATAGGAGGTACTCAGATCTGCCTCCGAGTCACACCAAGTAAAGGGTGAAGCTGCAACGAGACCGGTATCTGTGCAAGTTAAATCATACTCTCTTTCATTCTACAGAAAACAGCAAAAATTTCAGTGGAATCTATTCCCGGGCAAGCAGACATTAAACTGAGATTCATATGTCATGTACAATAAAGTCTCTGACCAGATAACCCACTAGAGAAAATCTATGGAATAAATCATTGGGAAAATGAATTTGACTGATACAGACAGCCCATTTGTATAATGTCTGCTGAAACATGCATTATTTTCCACTCGATTATCGTCTCTTTAGCCAAAATTTTCTGAATAATTGTGTCAATTTTCCACTTTACTCATTGTGTTTAAACATAGCATGGCTTGCTGTTGCTCTCAAAAGAAAATTGGACCACAAACAACCAAGCAGAGATTAGACCCGTCATTATCTAGAAAAATGGACAGGCTGGTAAATGATGTAATTTCAGCCAAACCTGAGACCTTGATTTCATTCAGAGAATGAAGCAGCTTAATTGAAAAGCACTACTTGCAAATGAACAAAGAGGGAGTAAGAGGTAGGAGCCTGGTTGGAAATAATGGCAGGGAGCTGAGTTTCTTAACCAGGTACTTTAAATTTATTTGTAATTTCTTTAAAAATTAAGGGAACAAATGGCAGAATAATGTACCTTTAAAGTGAATGGTTAAAACCATCTGCATGGATTTCAGAAGAAGCACTGGCATAATGAAACTGTCAATTCAAGCTCATCCTAACCAGCAGTACGTATAGAAAACAATTTTTCAATACTTACACATAAGCAAAGAATGACTGCATGTCCTTGCAATGCCAGGCTGGAACATTGCCTAACAGGCATGTCCAAGGAATATCTCATTCTCTAGAGGATGTTTTCTCTGGCTTACTATTCACTTTGATTAGGCCCAGACTCTGGAGTTGCATGTTAATTTGTAGGTTTCTGCCAAGTTATGTAAGTGATTTCTTTCTGGTAAGGAAGATAACTACAAAGCTTAAGGTTTTATTGACCTATAGCATATTAACAAAACATTAAGTTTTGTCTTTAACTTAACAAATTTGCTTCATGTGAAATAAGTTTTTTCCTACAAAAACACACACACAGAGGAGGTAATATTGTTAGATGCTATTACCTCCTCTGTGTGATATACATATATATATAATTATATGTATTATTATATATGTAAACAATCTCTCTATATATAGTTTCTCTCTATATATATTTCTATATATATTCTCTATAGAAACTATATATAGTTTCTCTCTATATATTTTTCTCTATATTTTATTTATATTTATATATAAAAATAAAAATAATAAATATATAAATATATATTTACATATTTCTCTATATATATATTTTTCTCTATATATATTTTGTATATATAGAAAAACAAATATATATATTTGTTTATATAATTTATATTATTATATAATATATATTAATTATATAATATATAATATATAAATCATATATTATCATATATATTTCATATGTTATATATAATATATTTATATATTCATATATTATAGGTATATTATATGTAATAACTATATTCATATATTATATATATCATATTATATATATCATATATATATTTCAATATTATATTGAAAATAATATTTTGACAGATGGGAAACCAGTAAATTTATAGGGCTAGGTAGGTGAATCCATGCAGGAAGTAGGGTAATACAATAAAGGGTGCATTGGCCTTGGGAGGATGATGATGCAGAGTGTTTTTCTAGTGTAAAAGTCAGCCACTTATCAACTCCAGCAAATAGTTGCCAAAGAAAATTGTCATTCAAATATTAACAAATCTGATTTTTCCCAGTTAATACAAAAATTGAAATTTTTTACATAAAATTTCTTTTGCAGTACAAAACAGCCTGTCTGTTGGTGGAATTCTTCCTGTAATTCATGTATTTATAACCTGTCATCTAGTTCTGCTATGTCAGCTAAATGCTTTTCCTTGCCTCTTCTCTATGTTAATTCTCAGTTTCATAAGTCGGCCCATTTACTTCTGTGTCCACGACCATTGAATTTGTCTGCCCCATTGTCCAGAGTGACTTCATTTGCTTCCTAATGGGTATAGCTAGGGCCAGAGTTGGCATTGGACATAGTAGCCAAACTGTTGTCTTCAAAAAACACATCTAATCCTGGTCTTCCTTCTGAACTCAGTATTAAAACCCACAATGCCATCCTATTGATTTTAGGATAATGTACAAAGCCCTTGACCTGGAAGGGCAAGTCTGTTTCCAGTATTATTTCTGGCCAAGCCCATGGATGGCTGTGCTCTAGAGATGCACTCACCTTCATTGTGTTCCTCAAGCTTGGCAAGATCCAACCTACCAGGAAGCATTGACTCTTATTCCTCCCATTGTCTGGAATTCCCTATCCTACCTGCCAGCACTGGCTGACTTAGCTCCTGCTCATTTTTTAAAAACCTGAATTTAATAATCACTTCCTTTACTACGTCAATTTTACTTGCTAAATGTAGCTATAAATATATGAGACTCCCATACTTATGAGTTAGCCTTGATTAACATTTTATTATAAATCAGAAACCACAGTTTTCATTGGAAGTGTATAAGACCATTTAAAAAGATGAAAATGCAAAGCACTTAGCCATTATTCTTTGTTCAGGAAGATAAGAGAGATAGTCACAGAATTTTAGTCTGTATCTTGTCATCTTAAAGTTTAATTTCTGTCTCTTTTCTAATAGGACAAAGAACTTTCTGTTATATTCAAAGATTTATTTTTAAAAATATCTTCAGACCTATTTGCTTATAACTTTTAGATTATAAAAATTTATTTGTTGTTATGAATTATTATTGTTTATTTAATGTGGCTGTATTTGTCAAAAGAGGTTAAATTTGTTATCCATCCTTGCAATAATTAACCTGCTTACCCTGAACTCACTGTACTTATCATAAATTACTAATCATATATGAATTGCTAACTCTATTTTATTTTGTTTTTGGAGATGGAGTCTCACTCTGTTGTCCAGGCTGGAGTGTGATGGCACGATCTCAGCTTACTACAGCCTCCGCCTCTCCGGTTCAAGCGATTCCCCTGT
Organism: Homo sapiens; assembly: GCF_000001405.40. Classification (NCBI taxonomy): domain Eukaryota; kingdom Metazoa; phylum Chordata; class Mammalia; order Primates; family Hominidae; genus Homo; species Homo sapiens. The sequence continues at coordinate 138,532,748 of NC_000008.11, read as the reverse complement.
CTTGACCTCCCAAATAGCTGGAATTAAGGCACGCGCCACCATGCCCAGCTAGTTTTTGTATTTCTCGTAGAGACAGGTTTTAACATGTTGGCTAGGCTGGTCTCAAACTCCTGACCTCAAGGGATCCGCCCACCTCGGCCTCCCAAAGTGTTAGGATTACAGGTGTGGGCCACCAAGCCCAGCCTTGAATTGCTAACTTTAAATTAACATATGAACATTATTTGAAAGCTTTCTTTCTAGCATAAGTACTAGCTAGTAAAAAGTAAAGAAAGGTCACTAACAGGTTAGTAACCAAATCTTATTATTCTACATTGAATGATTATTTCTGTCATAACCTTTCATTGTGCTTCGAGTTCCCTGTGGTAACCTTACAACTGATAGAAGAAACTTATCCAAAACTTGGAAAGCTGGCTGAGAGCGAGCAGCAAATCCTTACAGTGTCAGAATGGGGCATTTTTTTTTTTATCAAGTCCACTCAGTCATTATTTAATTATCTGGGGGAATTGACCTCTGCTTCATTTTGAAATTTGGTATTTAAGGTATCGAACTCTGTGTGGCATTTCCTTTCAACTTGTCCACCTTTGCTAGTAATGATGCAAATGACATTTGTCCTGTAGAAAAGATGACTCCAAAGGTTATGGTTTTATTACATTGTAGAACACTAACCCATTTTTTTGCTAATGCAGACAATTTATTTTCAGCAGGACTTCCTGGGGGCCATTTTGCCTACTACATGAGAAAAGTCTCTTTGATGAACGTGGCCAGATAGAGACAAACAGAACCAAATTAGGATTAAGTCCTCTCCAGGCTTCACCATGGGACTTCCTATTTACAGGAGGCAACACATTTCTATTGATTTGTGTTGTTACTTTGAAAAATATTGTTTTAAGTACTTTAAGTTGGGTACATGCAACGATGACTTTTGACTTTCACAGTGCATAGCAAATATGGTAGGAAATCTTATTGTTTGGCTTTTTAAGCAAGAGAAGTCATCAGCTACTTCTTGGCAATCATGAGAAAAATAACCTTGAATCACATCTTCATCGTTCTGCAAAGATGCACTTGACTATTCTCTTTCATGCAAGTGGAGTAAATGTCTTCTGTTGCAGGAGAAATAATATGCAAAGCTGATCACTACAGAAGGGGTGTAATGATCCGTGGAAGCAGTCCAGGTAAACTGGAGGTGATCAATAGGAATGCACGGAAGGGCCATGAAACTTCTGAAGTCAAGTGAATCTTGAAGAAATGAATAAAGCAGTCTTACTCCTTGGTCTTAAGTCAAGGTCTCACTAAGGAGGGCTGTGATGGATCGATTGTATCTTGGCCCTGATTTGTACATACCTCCCTGTTGCCCTTCCATTTGTAGTGCCCTTCCACATTGAATCTGAACTTGGGGCCACATTTTTGCTTTAGCCAAAAGAACTGTAGCAAATGTGACATTAGCAGAGATTGAAAAGCCCCTGCATATTGGGGCTTACTTCTTATTGCTCCTGGAATTCTACTGTCATGTAAACAAGCTCAGGGTAACTTGCAAGAGGACAGAACCCCTGTTGCTCCCATTACCCCCATACCCCTATAATCATAGTTAAAATTAATATCAGAGCCCCCAGAAACAGAGCTTTGTAGCTGATCTGCAGCTGTTCACAGATACGTAAGTGAACCCAGCTGAGACAAGCAAAAGAACCACTCAATTGAATCCAACTTCCCAATGCATAGACTTATAGTGGCTTTAAAGCCCTGAGTTTGAGGATGTTTTGTTATGCAGCACAAGCTAACTAATACAAGACCTACTTGTGGCATGTGGGTGGCTGAGGCTAGAATATCCCCAAGTCAGAGTCACCCTGCCACAATACTGTGCCTTGAGGAACAGAATTGTGAGCAGTAACCATGGAATCTGGAGCAGGCAGGGTTCTGGTTCAGAAAGTATACCACAACAACAACAGGCAATATTTGTCTGCTGCATGATACGGGCACCGTCTTCATCTGCTGCATTCCCTAACAACATGCAATAGTTATAGGCTGATCAGATCCAAGTTTCTTCTCCAGTTGACAGTTAAATGCAGGTTTTTAAATCCTTTGAGACCAAGTAAATACATGGATATCTAGAACATTCAACTTTGGATGAGGCAGGTTCTAATTGTACATGCAAGTATCTGAACAATAACTGAAAAAATAGAAGAGATATAACCATATCTATTCCCTGAGCATTTGGAACATGTCATACTAGCACCAAGAACTGTTATTTTATTGCATACTCTGGAAATGGAATCTTAAGTGAGACAAAAGGGGGCTTTTAAAGATTAGAGGAGGCTTTTAACTACAAATAAAAAACAGTGAGGGATGAGGAATGAGACATTCAACTTCAGGCGTATATTTAGAGGAGGAAGAAGGCTACTTTACAAATAGCTTGAACCTGTAAAAACACAGAAAGAGACATGTATTAAGAAGGTGGTGGGGGTGCAATGGAAAGAATAGGGGGATTTAGATTCAAATCCAAGTTCTGCCATTGCCAATGTGTTAATATGTATTTAGAAGAAAGATAATGAATTGATCTGAGTTTCCAGTTAGTCATTTGTAAAATAGGTTTTATGTATCTCAGCAGTGGGAATGTGACAGATTTGGAGAAAACACATATGAACATGTCACCTGTGGGGCATGGGGCAGAGCAGCTGCCCAGTTGATTTTGCTTGGAGCTGCTGCTGATGGAAGGCAACTGCATCAGGTATTTTTGCAGCAGAGAAGGGGATGTTGGTCCACAGGGTTAGAGAAGGTTTGCCTATACATAAGACAGAAGTGAGTTTAGGTTCATGGTCAGAGCCAGATAACAAAAACTCAGAGGTCAACGTATACTCAAGAGATTTTAAAGGTACAAGCCAATGACACAGGGAAAAGCAAGCGTAAAGAAGTCTTGAAGCTCAGAGATGGGTGGTGGATAAGTTCTAGAGTGGTCTCCATAATCCCTGCCTTCTGGCCCTCTTGAGTGTTGTGGGCAAGACCTGGGACTTTCTTCTAACCCAAAGAATATAGCAAAAGTGATGGGGGCGTATGTGATTCGTGCACGCGATTACATTACAGAATGTTGAAATGCCTGCTCATCTTGCAAGGAGACCGGCTCTCCCTTGTGAACTTTGAAGAACAAGTTCCCATGTTGTGAGCTGCCTCAGCAGAGGACCATGTAGCAAAGACCTAAGATAGATGGAACTCAAGTTTTTCCCCAGGGCAGCCTCAGATGAGTTGTAACTTGATTACAACCTTGTGAGATCTTGGAGCAGAGGGCCCTGCTAAACCATACTGGAGTTCCTGTCCCCACAGAAACTGTGTGATAAACATACGTTGTTTTACTCCTTTGAATTTTTGGTAATATTATTATGCAACAATAGGTTAAAAATAAATGTTTTTATGTCTAAAAGTGGGGTCCTGCCACAACAAATGCCTAAAAGTGGGAGTATTATTCAAATCAAGTAGTGAGTGGAAGATGGAAGAATTTTGCAGATCATGATATAGAAAGCCATGGACAACCTATTTTTAATCACAAACAAAATGTAATTCAGAAGCGCTTTGCCAGAAAAGGAATCAGGGTGCACAGGTGGTGGCCTTTCCTCTAGACAGTAACAATTATCATGATGTATTTGCATATTTTTTCATAATTTTAACTTGCATTTTGGATTCAGGGGATACATATGCATTTTTGTTACATGGGTATTTTGCACGATACTGAGGTTTGGGGTATAAATGATCCCATCACCCAGACAGTGAGCATAACACTTGCGTTTTTGATAGACCAGTTCTTCTTACTGAAATACATGTACATAGGTTTCATTATCATTTTAAAATGAAGAAATAGAAATGTACATAAATATAACAGACGCCAAGGCACTCGCCACTCAAGTCTAACAAAGGCGAATATTTTATTGTATTTGCTTCAGTTATTTTTTTTAAAGAAACAGTCATTACAGCTAAATTAGCAAAAGCCTTAGCTCTCATACTTTCACTTCATCTACTTCCCTAAATGCAACCATTATTCTGAAATTGTTGTGTACCATTCTCATCTATAGTTTGGACTTTTGCTACATATATATTTAGCTATAAGCCGTATCTTGTATTAGTTGGTGAGTCTGAAACTTTTCCAAAAGTGGCATTCTATTTTATAAATCTCTGATAATTTCTTCTTTTCCAACCAATAATGGATAATGTAGGCCAGTCATTTTAGCTACTTTAAAAATAATTTATATTTAAACCACAGTTTATTTCTCCATTCCTTGATTTTTTTCCCTGCATTAATGTCATTCAAATCAATTTCCTTGTGTTCTTTTGCAAGGCTGGTAGGAGTGTTAAAAAGCACAGCTGTAGTGGATAGCCTTTGCCAATACTCAGTAAAGACACATAGTCCCAAACAACTGGCAGTCTACTTGTAGGTGTCTAAACATGTCACCAAGGAGTTTTAATTTCACAAGTGATTGTTGCTTGATAGCATGTGTTGGCTAATTCCCAGAGAGATAACAACCCCAGGATTGTCTTTCTTCCTTCATTTTCTCAGTCCCCCTTTCCTCAGATTCCACCCTCCTCTCCTCCCTGTTCTTTATCCAATCTTCAGGGCTCAGTGGAAAATAAAGCACAGACACATGTGAAAGCACATAAGCTTCCGAGCACCATGTTCACAGTTTACAGTGGAGCCAACTGAGAGTCAGAGGCAAAACTTGCCCCAAATCACAAAGGCTGCAATGCACGTAAATGTTACACATAGATTTCACATCCGCAAGTGCCTAACGGGAAACCAAAACTTAGTCCATCGTCACTTCTCTAACTTTCAAAGGCTGGCTACTGAAAAGCTGGCTCACAGGAAATGCTCAACAAATGCTATTGGTATGTCGTGCCTATATGTTGTCATGACACATTATCTTCTGTTTTGTATATTTTTCAATATATATACACACATATCTACATTTATACATATGTATGTATATCTATTTATATACATACATATCTTCTTATGAACATGTTTTTAATCAGTTTTAGATATAATTCTTTGTAGTAGGAGCTTGGCCCTTGTGAGTTTCAAATCTTGTTTAAGAAAAAAAGACTGTAGCATTTTGTTGAGGAGAAAACGAATAGTAAATGCTTTTCTCTTACAGATAAAGTGTTTTTGGTTTTCCAATACTTCACCTGATCTCAAGGAATTTAGCACTTTAATGTCAGACTCTCATGAAATTGTTTATTATGTCCTTGTGGTGGGAAACTGTTAAATTGTTAGGACGAGGTGCCATCTCCAGTCTGTTGCTTTGAGACAGGTGCTACATGCCCCTCCTTTCCACCACATATCCACAGCCACACTTCCCACATTCTTGTAGACACCTACACACAATTCAGCTTTACCTTCTGAATCACTGGCACCGTAAAATTAGTGTGCGGTAAAATGACTCACTACACATGGAATGCACGAACACACTTTCACATTCCACATTTAGGAAAGACATCACTAATGAGTTTCTATTTTTCAATGAACTTTCTGAGTACTCTCAAAGTTAGTAGCCTATTGTATACTATAGGTATAGAACCTATAGTAGCCTATTGCTGGTTTTGTCATTATTTATAAATTAAATACAATCTGTGACTTATAAAAGCCATGATTTTATCTTTTCAAAGATAATATCATTTTTATAGTTTGGGAAGTCATCCATTGAGATGCCCCTGGATTCACCTGACAGAGCCAGGTAAACCGTGTTGCCAGCAATGGACACCTTAAGCCCAGGTGCATCTTTTCTTGGCTTACAGAGGTGAATTCCAAGCATAGTGAAATTTTGCTGACCCTTTGTTTTGTGACATTATTTTCTACTAATTTTGTGTTTTGTTTTTGGTTCATTGACAGCTGATAAATTTGCTTCCTATTGGTGGCAGCAATGATTGGGAATTTGGTTTTATAATCTGACCATTAGGTGGTTTCTGTAAATAGATTAGTGAAGTATAGAGGTCTATTCTCTGTTGGATGGGAAATGACAGATAATACAGTTTTTAGGCTCTTTGTGTGTCTGTTTATCTGTTTAGGCTCAAATTTAATTAAGTATTTTGTGCCCATTGGGAAGAACTGCTGTTTGATATTTGGATCTGTGAACTGTGTTTCAGTGTCTCTTGTGTCTCTTCATCTACGGCTAAAATGGAAGCTGAAAACCCAGCTCTCTCTATATACCTGTAATTCAAAAAGGACTTTACTCCTCATTATGTGCCTGGGTGATACTTTCCTAGTACTAATAAATTAGATTATGAATTTTCTTAAATTAAAGGTACTGTGTTCTGATTGGTTTATAGAGATGAAAATTTTCTCAAATAAAATGAGTATTCTTAAAATTCCTGGAAAGCATGAACATTGAAATTCAAAAACTTTAAATGTGCAAGATTTTTTTTTTTTAATCTTACTGGAACTGACTCCAGTTAACTGAAATGTTTCAAAATACAAGGAAACAATACAATTCACCATGAATTGCCATTTACATTATGAGCTCAGTTTGAGTCTCAAATATTTGTCCAGGCAAGGGCACCTCCTTGTGATTTTGCCATAGTCCAGAACCCATCAATTACCTCAAGGAATACCAACAATTCCTTAAAGTAAATTAAGGAAATTTTATTTGTATTTTAAGTAACAGTAGTATTGGTTGTTTTATTATTATCCAATATCTGAATAAGGTGCCACCTTCAAAATCTAACTCAAATAGAAATATCTTACCATATATACATATGAGATGAAGACCCCAATAGTCAACTAAAAACTTCTTGATGACAAGATTACTTAATTTTTTTTTTTTTTTGAGACGGAATCTCGCCCTGTCACCCAGGCTATGGTGCAATGGTGCGATCTTGGCTCACTGCAACTTCTGCCTCCTGAGTGAAAACAATTCTCCTAACTCAGCCTCCTGAGTAGCTGGGACTGCTATCTTCTAAATTTTATCTTTTCCTTATTCATCAAGCAGTATAGGAAACACTCAGTATTTGCAAAATTAATGGAAGATGTCCCCTAGTATGGGAGCTGTTTAATTGGTAGTAACAAAGCTCTGTACCAAACTGGTTTAAGTGAAAAGGAACCTCTATTGGGTCCTGTAATGGATAAGTCCAGGAGAGAGATATGACTTCAAACATAGTCCAATTCAGGGTCTCAGTGATGTCACTGGGTCTCTGTCTTCATTCTCAGGTATAACTTCTCTGAGTGGCTGCACAATGCCCCCAGCCCTGAGAACAAGGCAAGTCCCAAGCAAACCTCAGGGACTAAATGGGGTTATTAAGGATGGAGGAGGGATGGCTTTCCATAGCAAAGAATCCTGAGTAGGTTTAATTAAAAGCCTGTATGGAGCACACCTTATTTTTTTCTCCAAGTTGTAGTTAAATGCCTTTCTTCTGTTAAAAACTTGCTCCATCCTCTGGTGTTCTATAAAATTGTATCCTTTTCTCGCTGCTTGGGGATTATGAGATCATCTTTCTTTCTCCATGAATAGAAAATGAGAATGGCGTCAGAAGTGGGCAGCTAGCTTTTGGTGAGTATTATTTTTGCTTAAATGCTCACTTCATTTAAATTAATCCTGAAACAACCTGGTGGGAATGTACTCTTATGCCCATTTTCCAGATGAGGAAACAGGGTCAGTGAAAGATCAGACAGCTTGGAGATGGCAAAGACAGCGTTTGAAACCCGGTATATAAGGCTGCCTTTTGGGGTCCCACTCATCTTTATAGCTACAGGTCATAGTGCCTGGCACATCCCAGGAAGTCAACAAATGTTGAATGAATGGGAGGAAGGGAGGACAAGGAATCGGGATAAAAGTTAATTTTACCTTTCCAGAGTCTTTGTGCTTGTTTCCTTCTGTGTATCGAAGTCAAATGATCGCACGGTGCTTGTGTCCATTTCTTGGGTCCCGCTGTTCTTCCCAGATGCTCTCTCATAGGTACTCCTTGTGGCCCCGTAGCAGACACCCAGGTTCTGGGGCAACCCCATATCGATGGTACAAACTAGCTGTGATGTGTTCTGCTTTTGGATCTGTGTGGTGCACCCATATCCTCAGAGACAGAGCCTGCTGCAGGTGGTATGGGGGCCAACGCAATGCCGTGCTTGGGGGCCCATTCTGTAGGGAGATAGAGTTTTGTGTCCTTTTGGTGTAGATTACCAGATAAAATAGAGAACGCCCAATTAAATTGGAATTTCAGGTAACTTTTCAGTGTATTTCCCATTCATGATTTGGAGCATATTTCTATTAAAAATTATCCTTTACCTGAAATTCAAATGTGATTGGCCATCTTTATTTTTATTTTCTGTAATTGGAAATACAGAAAATATTTGCTGAGAAGGATGGATGGTGGGCTTCTTTGGGGACCCTCGGAGTCCTATCCCCAGAGATCATTTGACTCCTTCCATTCCTTTAACTGCAATCCCCTACAGGGAGCCAATTTCAGAGCCTTTCAGAGCCTTGTAGGAATTACTCCTGAGATAGCTGAGGCCTTTCCCTGAGCCCTAGGTCAGGCTGCACCTCTTATGTCACAAAGTGAAACCACTGGCTAAGACCTCGTGCCTCCGTTGTCTCTACTGCAATCCTTCTCCCACAAGGATAGAGCTTGCACAAATCTCAGAGTGTCTTGCACTCATTTCTACTCAGACATCCTGAAGGGCTCAGGGTTCTTTGCCAATAGAGGTGCAGGTTGTTCTAGGTCCTCTAGAACCTGCTTGCAACCCACCTTTATGCATACACATGTGTACTAAGCAGCCCACCTGGACAGCGCAGAGATCTTGCTCCATGCTCGCCACCTCCGTCTTGAAAATTGTCTACCCCACTGCCTTCAGCCCAAGCCTGTCCCATCCTCCCACTCCTTTTAAATACCACATGCCCTATGGAGCTTTTCAGTACTTGTTGCTCTGACGCTGCTCCCACCCAGAGCCGTGTATTTCTTCTTCGTAATTCACGTGAGAGGAAGCAATAGAGGTGCAGGTTGTCCACCTCAATGGCCTAGAACGACCTGCACCTCCCCTGGGCATCTGCAAATTTCCAACCTGCTCTCTGTCTCAGTGATATCCCAAGGGCTGCAATGGACAGGGCTAATAGCATGAGATATGTAAGTGACAGAAGGTGGGCATTTGAATCCAGATGATTCTTTTCTTGCTTCTGTTACCTGTTTTTGAGTATGGTGATTCATCTGGCTGTGACTCAGTTTTTTGTTTCATGTGTAAAATGGAGCTAATGATACCTATTACATACTATTGTGCTGAAAATTAAGTGAGACTATGTTTAAAGTGCTTGTTCATAGCTGATCCTTAAAACTCTTTTCCTTTACTCATTTCTGCCTTTTCCCCAAAGGATTTAAAGCTAGACTGTATGAGGACAATCTGTGCACTGGTCTCATGAACTTTCTGCTTCATAGTGGTGGAGATATCCCCTTGAAGATTATAAACTCTGTAACAATCTCTCCTTGCACATGACAGGTGCTTAATAAATAAAAATGGCCTTGGATGGGATATTTTCTTATACTTTTAGCTGAATAGCAGACCTCTTTTTTTTTTTTAAAAAAAAAAAGAAGCATTGGAACAATCAGTCACATGGTTTCAAATCTGTTCCACACACTCCATGGGAGATGTGATGATGTGTCAATTAAATCGTTGATTATGCAGCGAATATATAATTTTCATATTCATAAAGTAATCATCTATTATTAAGATTTCTTCTCTATTTAAATGAAAAGAATCCTTTATGTAGGAAGTTAGTAAATTGCTTTTACATTAGAAGAGATGGTATGCATTTTCTTTTAGACATCAAAATCCTAATTGGAGCCTTCACTGCTTCCAAAAATGCATTTATATGAAAGCTATTGTTTGTGGGATGGTTTGGGTTTCTGCAAAATGAAGTTGGTGAGCATGAAACCTGCTTGGAGAATGAAAAGTGCAGGTCACACACTTGAGGAGTAGAAGCTTTGAATGGGTTTCCCATCCATAAGTCTTTTTGTTCCTCAAAAGAACCCTTAAAGGTACGCAAGGCTGAGGCTACTGTCCCCATTGCCAGATGTTTTAACTGAGGACAGAGGTTGAGCTATTCTTTGGCAGTCAGGATGCCAATGAGTAGTATTCAGTATCAGTGGGGTCCTGGGGAGGGAGGTGGGGATGGGGGTTCTCATCAGCACTTGCCCTCCCAGGCCTTGCGGTGCATGGTCTCTCTGAGTTTCATTTCCCTCCTCTGTATAAATGAGAGGCTTGCACATGGCTAGTGAAGCTCAGGGTCTTGAACCTTGTAAAGGGCATGGCACTGTCAGTTATCATTGGCACAGCCAGCTCCTACTTCTGACACTCCCATCTAGTGATCTTTCCACTGGCATTCATGGTTTCCTAAAAGTCAGCCCAGGGTCTGCCGCAGAAATCATTTAGGACTTTCCCATCGTGCCTGTGCCAAGATTCCCACATCCTGCTGCTCCTGGTCTGCTCTTGGCAGCTGCTGTCCAACCTTCGTGGATGGAGCAGAAGGCCCCTGTTTATTTTGTGTAGGGCCCTCAGGTCTCAATGCTAAGCAGAGCCAGCTGTAGAGGAAGGGTCCCTCCACAGGCCCAGCACCTCCCCTGCATATCTGCAGATCTCCAACCTGCTCTCTGCTTCAGTGATATCCCAAAGGCTGCAAGGGACAGAGCCAACTTCGTGAGATACATCAGTTTTCTTAGGATGGATGAATGGATGGATGATTATTAAAATAAATGAAAGTCTAGAATACAAAAATTTGAGTCATTTGAATCAAGGTGATGTATAAAAACACATTTATTTTTGCCTGGTGATTTCTTATAGGATATTTAGAAACTGTAGAAAAAACATCATGGAGAGAATTAAAATCACCTATACTCACTGTGCCCAGAGTTTATCTTGGCTTTGTGTACTTCCACGGTGTTATGGTTTCTTTGATTAGGTTTGTACAAAAATGAGATCCCACCATAAAGTATTTCATAAATCTATTTTTTCTACTTAATAGAACATTTCCCTTTATTCTTAAATACATTTAAAGCATCACTTTAATTGTTGACTCATAGTTTATTATCTATTATTCAAACAATCTCCTCTAATATTATACATTAAAATGTTCTTCCCTGTTTGTGTTACTGCAAAGAACATAGAAATGGACATCCTTGTACTGCACAAAAGGGTTATCCATGAATTCACTGCCCTGCGTTTCACTCTGATTGAGAATTTGCAGGTAGAATCAGGAACATGAGACCTAACCAAGACTCTTTCAGAGCCTCTGGGTTATCAGAACCAGGGGGCTTCTTGAAAAAATGACTTAAAGGTTGTTTAGTGAATTTAGTCTTTCCTGACTTAACCTTGAGGTCAGACAATTTGTCTAGAAGACACAGCTAATGGTGCCTAATTTGGGTCTGTGCGGATGCATATACATGTGGGATGATAGGAAATGTCAGTTCTGACAAGTAAGCATGTATTTGCCAAACAGCAAGGGGGCAGGCATCTAGGGTGCAGGGAGCAGGTGTAGAGTGTGGCCAGGTATGGATGGCTTGAAAAATGGTGCCTTGCCCTATGTATGTGGAGAACAGACTGCATGGCACAGTGACGTAACCTGAGTCAGACGTTTAGCTGCTTTGGTTGTCATGCTAAGGAGTGTGAACTGTATCATGCCCCAGAGCAATCACCTTCTTAATAATAACTAGCATTTATAATGCAATTGCAACATACAGAGTGCTTCTGTAACTCTCATGATTCTCCCAACTGTGCTGTGTGGAAGGACTTGTCAAGGGTTACACAAACAATAAATGACCCAAATCCCCGCCTTCTGAAATCTCTTTGGTGGGCAGGGGCTGAGTGAGACACCCTCTGGTGAGCTTCCCTGCAGCACACGTGTCTGTGTCCTGGTGCCATTCCTGTTGGCTGTGACGTTCCTGTGGGTTCACGGTCAGTGCCCCCACCCAGACAATGGGCTCTTCTGTGTTCTCAGAGCCTCCCACTGTGCAGGGGACATGGCACATCCTCTGTCTAACACAGGAATAAACAAGTACATGGACATGGTATTTCCTCCTGCATTCTTTAAGTTGAAACACACCCACACACACACAGTCACTGAAATCGGCCTGTCAAATCGCTCTCCATCTATCATTCCCAGCCTCCCTCCCTGCAGCAGCAGAGACATGAGTTGCCTTCTGAGGTGCAGGCTCTGCTGTAGTGTGAGGGCAGAAGGGACTGGCAGGGGGTGTGTGTGCACTAGATACAGGGGCCACACATTGCATCATAGATGGTCAGAACTGAGACACACTTTAACACATTTTTTGCCATCCTCTTGTTCGCTGGCATGCCAAGTGTTACAAAGTCCCTGGTCCTAAAAGAAAACCACAATAATGGACAGGAACTCCACCTCCTCATGCTGACCCCATTCTCTGAGAATTGAAAGGGAGGCATGTTACTCTGTCTTGGCCATTTACCTATAGATAAGAAGGGCAGGCACTCCATGAAAAGGAAATATGGTTGGCCTTAGGATAAAGGGAGTGGGAAAAGGCCCTGGAGAATAGCAGAGGAGATCAAATGCATCCAAGCATTGTACATTATAGATACACAGAAATAAAAGTGTTTTCGAGTGTTTTGGGGTTTTCTGTACATGGAGGTGGGGCATAGATTGGGTCAAACTCAAGTCTGATCTCTTTGCCCCCAAAGAGAGGGGCTCTAACACCCAAATTATATGATGCTTTCCACTGAGCACTGCTCCATACCACAGACAGATGGGGTTGATACCTAGGTTACCATCCCCGGCTGCATTGTGGTCAGACATTAATGTCTGAGCAAAATCACATGCTGGGGTAGTATAGCAGGGATTCTTCCACTCAGTGCTCATGGGTCTGACCAATTTTGCAACAACATGAATGAACCTAAAGACATTAAACTAAGTGAAATAAGCCAGTCACAGAAAGACAAATACTACATGATGCTACTTATAGGAGGTGTTTAAAATAGTCAAACTCATGGAAGCAGAGAGTAGAATTCTATTTCCCAGAGACTAGAGGAAGGCGGCAATGAGGAGTTGTTTTTCAATGGGTATAGAGTTTCTGTTATACAAGACAAGTAAGTCCTAGAGACCTGCAGGACCACATAGTGCCTGTAGTTAACCACACGGTATTCTGGCCTTTAGAATATGTTAAAAGATAGACATCAGGTTAAGTGTTCTTACCACCCCCCCGTCAAGAAAAGTAGAGCACAGAAGAACACAAGGAAATCTTTGCAGGGGATGGATATGTTTAATATTTTGGTTGTGTTGATGGTATCAGGGTATATGCATGTGTTTAACCTCATCAAAATGGATATATTACATGTGCGCAATTTTTTGTGTGTCAAGTAGACCTTGCATGATGGTTAATTTTAGGTGTCACTTGACTGGATTAAGGAAAACCTAAATAGCCGGTAAAGCATTATTTCTGGGTGTGTCTGTGAGGGTGTTTCTGGAAGAGATTGGTATTTGAATCAGTGGTTTTGAGTAAGGAAGATCCATCCTGACCAATGTGGAAAGGCACCATCCTGTTGCCTGAGGGCCTGGATAGAACAAAAAGGCAGAGGAAAGGCTAATTTGTTCTCACCCCCTCTCTAGAGCTGGAGCACCTATCTTCTCCTCCCTTTGGCCTTCAGAACTCCACGTTTTTAGGCCTTTGAACCTGAACTGAGCCTTATTACCAGCTCCCCTGGCTCTCTGGCTTGCAGATGGCATTTCATGGAACTTCTCAGCCTCCATAATTGAATGAGCAAATTCCCTAATAAATTCTCTCCTATCTATGTATCTTTCTATCTATGTACCTATCTGTCTATCTATCATCTATCTATATATCTGTCATCTCCTATTGATTCTGTTTCTCTGGAGAATGCTAATACATCTTGATACAGCTTTTTCAAAAACCAGCTCTATGAAAAAAAATGTTACAGGGTTTGTCATTTTGCAAAAGGAGCCTGACGGTACAGCAGGCTTGTGGAACTGTGTGATGTTCCCTGCAGAATATGTGGAAAAGGTTTAAGGGGCTTCTGCTATGTATGTTACACAAACAATGGATGTTGACACGAGGATTTCATTAAACTCTAGTGACAAGGCACTGTAGTAACCATGCTGTGTCAATAGCAGCTGATATGTTTTAGCATCTGTTCTCTGCCAGAATCAGTGACAAATTCTTCTTATGGGCTTAATTAAGAGCCCCTAAAATTCATATGTAGAGGTTCTAACCTCAGAATGTGGCTGTCTTTGGAGACAAGGTCCTGTTTTTTTAGGTAGATTCTTGCTCTGTCACCCAGGCTGGAGTGCAGTGATGCAATCTCCACTCACTGCAACCACTGCCTCCCAGGTTCAAGCAATTCTCCTGCCTCAGCCTCACAAGTAACTGGGGTTACAGGTGTGTGTCACCATGCCCAGCTAATTTTTGCATTTTTAGTAGAGATGAAGTTTCACCATGTTGTCAGCTCCTGACCTCAAGTGATCCACTCGCCTCAGCCTCCCAAAGAGCTGGGATTATAGGCGTGTGATGGTTAATACTGAATGTCGAATTGATTGGATTGAAGGATGCAAAGTATTGATCTTGGGTGTGTCTGTGAGGGTGTTGCTGAAAGAGATTAACATTTGAGTCAGTGTGCTGGGGAAGGCAGACCCACCCTTAATCTGGTGGGCACTATCTAATCAGCTTCCAGTGAATAGAAAGCAGGTAGAAAAATGTGAAAAGGCGAGACTGTCCTAGCCTCCCAGCCTAGACCTTTCTCCCATGCTGGATGCTTCCTGCCCCTAAACATCAGACTCCAAGTTCCTCAGTTTTGGGACTCGGATTGGCTTTCCTTGCTCCTCAGCTTGCAGACGGCCTATTTTGGGACCTTGTGATCATGTAAGTTAATACTTAATAAACTCCCCTATATATATATATGTGTGTGTGTGTGTGTGTGTGTGTGTGTGTGTGTGTGTTATATGTTTTATATATATATAGCTGTTGTCCCTCTAGAGAACCCTGACTAATACAAGGCATGAGCCACTGGGCCCAACCAAAACTAAAAGTCGGTTTTTTGTTTGTTTGTTTGTTTGTTTTTGAGATGGAGTCTTGCTCTGTAGCCCAGGCTGGAGTGCAGTGGCACGATCTTGGCCCACTACAACCTCCTCCTTCTAGCTTCAAGCAATTATTCTGCCTCAGCCTTCCGAGAAGCTGGGACTACAGGCACCACACCCAGCTAATTTTTTGTATTTTTAGTAGGGTTGGGGTTTCACTATATTGGCCAGGCTTGTCTCAAACTCTTGACCAACAGGATCCACCTGCCTCAGCCTCCCAAAATGCTGAGATTACAGGTGTGAGCCACCACACCTGGCTTAGGAGATAAGGTCTTTAAAGAGGGAACTGAGTAAAATGAGGTCATTAGGGCAGGCCCTGCTATGGCTTGAATGTTTGTGTCCCCTACAAAATTAATGTTGAAACTTAGTCTCCATTGTGGTGGTATTAAGAGGTAAGGCCTTTTGGGTAGTGATTAAGCCATGAGGACCCAGCCTTATGAGTAGATTAGTGTCTGATTAAAGACCTGGAGGGAACTAACTTAGGCCATTTTGCCTGTCAGCTTTCTGCCATGTGAAGATGCAGCAAGATGCCGTCTTGAATCAGTGAGCCCTCTCTAGCCCTTAAACCTGCTGGAGACTTGATCTTGGACTTCCCAGCCCCCAGAACTGTGAGGAAATATGTTTCTATTCTTTATAAATTACTTGCCCTGTGGAATTTTGTTGTAGTAACACAAATGAACTAAGACAGGCTCTAAGCTAATGGGGCTGGTGTTCTCATGAGAGGAGGGAATTTAAAATACAGACCTGCACATGCAGAGGAAAGACCAGGTATGTGAGGGTCCTCATCAGGAGTCAACCTTGCTGACACCTTGATCTCAGACTTTCAGCCTCCAGACCAATGAGAAAGTAAATTTCTGTTGTTTAAGCTGCTCAGTCTGTGGTATTTGGTTATGGCAGCCCTAGCAAACTATTACAGTACTTTACCCATATTTACCCCAATTTGTCCTCCTAAGAGTACGTTACCCATATTTACCCCAATTTGTCCTCATAAGAGGAGGAAGTTTGCTGGGATGAAAAACACAGAGTTTTAGATTCTGGCTTGGTGTGAGAACTTGGAAATTCTATTGACTTCTCTCGTCTCAGTTTTCACATCTGTTTAAATAACAATAGTAACTATGATTATTATAAATGATGATTACCAAATGCTTATGTTTAAGGAGCATTTGTCATCATAACCCTGCACAGTAGGAATATTGCTGTAAATATTTAAAAACAAGGAAACTAAGGAATAGAAAGGTTCAGATCCCACTTAAGAGCATGTGGCTAGTAAATGACTTCACCTGGTGATTTACTGCAAGGGACTGGGCTAGCTGGTCAGTAAGATGCCCTCCTGCTGTCAAGTTTCTGAGTTCCAAAGCTGATGGGTACCCAACTCTGCCTCTGCTCACACTATTTTTTTCCAGTTCTCCCACTCTCGTGCCACTGTTTTTGTCTTGCAGATCCTTCCAGATTTATGCACAAAGGCTTCTCTGTTTTCTGAGTGCCAATGCCTGGCAGCCTCAACTGGATTCTGAGAGCCTTTTACAGGCTTTCCCTTAAAGCCCTACTGAGAGTCTGATTCCTATCTAATCCCTGTTTATTTCCTCTGTGTGTCTGATGTCCCCCTCCTGAGGACCCCTCAGAGACAGGGACCAGAGCCCAGGCATGTGTTACAGAGTCCCATTCAGAGGCAGTGCTCAGAAAATATTTGGTTGGATAAAGGGTAATGTAAATGGAAGGGTGCTCTTTTTACAAGGATTAACTCAGCTATGGAACTCTTGAAGTATCTTCCTCTGTAGCAGAATGAACATGAATTCTAGAACCTGGAAGGCCCAGGCTGGCATGTGAGCTGCATTTTCTTGGCCAAATTATTTCCCCTCTGAGCTTCTCTCAGTATTCATATTATTGATAATAACAACAGCAGACACATATTGAGTGCTTTCTATGGGTCAGTTATTCTTCTCAATACCTTGTGTGTAATAATTTATATAATCCTCACAGTAGCCTTATTATTATTAGTCTTTCTAGTTTATAAGTGCATGTGTTTTATGAATTATTTTATAAAATAAAAGTTCAGGGATATAAACCTTTTACAAACACTTATATGTTTTATAGTAGTTTTAAGTTTAAGGTAAAATTGAGCAGAAGATCCAGAGACATCTCATATAGTCCCCCCCTCCCTCTTGCATAGCCTTCCCCCATTATCAATGTCCTGTACCAGAGTGTTATTGCTACAGTAGATTAGTGATATGGTTTGGCTTTGTGTCCCCACCCAAATCTCATCTTGAATTGTAATCCCCAGGTGTTGAGGGAGGAACCTGTGGGAGTTGACTGGATCATGGGGACAGTTTCCCCCATACTGTTCTTGTGACAGTAAGTGCATTCTCTTGAGATCTGATGGTTTTATAAGTGTTTGGCAAGCTCCTCCTTCACTTGCTTCTCTCTCCTGCCACCATATAAGATGTTCCTGTTTTGCCTTCCACCATGATTGTAAGTTTCCTGAGACCTTTCCAGCCATGTGGAACGGTGAGTCAATTAAATCTCCTTTGTTTATAAATCACCCAATCTTGGGTAGTATCCTTATAGCAGTGTGAGAATGGGCTAATACAATGAGCCTAAATTGACACATTGTTATCATAGCATACATTACTGTTCACTCTTGGTGTTGGGCATTCCATAAGTTTGGACAAATGAATGATGATTTAACACCATTATAGTACCATACAGAGTACTTTCACTGTCCTAAAATTCCTCTGTGCTCTGCCTATTCATCCCTTCATTCTCCCTAACCCCCACCCCCAACATGCACTTTTAAGCCACAGTTGACCAGCTAGGAACTGGCAGGTTCAGAAATTACTTCTGGGTACTCAGACTCCAAATCTGTTCTCTTCGCTGTGTTCTAGTCCAAAAAAGTTGATAATCATGATGCAAGTTTAGTGAGAGAAGTAAATGAAAAAACAAAGCACTCTGAAAGAGCTCAATAGATGGCTGGCTTCCTTTCTTAGCATGCAACACAGACCCACCCTGAGGTGAACATCTGCATGCTGAAAACCTCAGTTTCTCGGTGCCTTTGAACTGAATCCACTAGACTAATGCCCCTACCTTATCCTTATTCCTTTATCAGTCGCTGGATAAATCTGCCATTTGCCTAAAGAGGAGGGAGTCTTTAGGGTTCGGAGTCTTTAGGGTTCGGGGCCTTGGCATTCTCTCCTCTGATCTGTGCCTGACTTCTGCAGGACCCACTGGTGGTCCCTGAACTGCCTCTTGAAGTAAAGGTGAACCAGGACATAGGGAGGGAGCCCCACTGAGTGCCAAATTTTCTGGAAGCCCTGAGCCAAAGTGATAAAATTCACCAGGTTTAGCCAACATTCCTGCATGAAAATATACCCTTTGCTTCTGGTTGTGGAAGTACTACAGTGATCCTTGTGAAAATATCACAGGATAGCAAGCCAAAAGTCCAGCATTTATTGGTGACATGTCTTGGAGCAAGGGGCACTACTTCTCTGCCAGTGGAGATAACAGGAACAAAATCACAGACTATGGATACAAAAGCATGCAGTAAATATTCCCTTTAAAAAAAGGTCTACAATTGCAAGGGATGTTTGTACGTAGCCAAATCTCTTGATCTCTGTGTGCTTAAGTTTTGTGGCTTGTAAAATGAGGATAACAATATCTAACTCATGGGGTAGAAGTAGGGATCAAGAAAGATGCTAAATGTGGAATGCCTCATTCAGTTCTCTCATCAATATTGGGAACTAATAAATGGATTTGTCGGAAATAGGGTAGAGGAGGAGAGACTCTCATATCATTTATATACAAATGTGCATGGGACCTGGGTCTAAACCCACAGGACGTGGGTCTAATGGCCCTATCCTCAGCACCTTAGTGGAAGCAATGTGGTGTCATGCAGGACAGGCTCACTTTGCCGATGGCTTAGGAAGGAAATACACACAAGGATCTATTGTGTTGCTGCTGGGCCCACCTAAGCCAGGAAAGAGGATGCTGCCTTAGCCAGCAGGTGTGTGTTTTCACCTCTCAGTGATGCTTCCTGGGAACTGGAAGGTCCCCTTCCCAGCCATATTTCAGTGCTCTAGCATCCTGTCATGGGGAATGTTTTCCTCACCTCCTCTTATCTGCTTGGCACTCATTCATCTAGCATCTTTTTAGATTCTGTGGAAATATCGCCTTCTCTATAGAGCCTTGCAGGCAAAGCCACCTCCTCACAAATGTCCGCAGTGTTCCTGCTACAGTGGACTGCTCGTAGTTTCTCCACAATCCACACTGCTCTACACCTCTAGGTTTCCTCTGTCTGTAATCCCACTATGCTTCCTGGAAGTGCTGATGCTTCAAGTCCAAGTTCAGATGTCACCTCCTCTGGGAATCCTCCCTTGACCTCTCAATGCAGAGTCCCAACCCAAGATCCCAGGCCAGCTTGTCTTGGCTGCCATTGCACATTTTCTGTTGCATGATGACTGCTTGTTAGCCCATGCAAGGAGTGCTCATACAGGAGCTTGAGTTGTTTTGAGTGATGAGATGTCCCTCGAGAGCTCCACAGGACAGGGCCCCCACCTTAACTGAAACCTGACTCTCCCTTGGGGATTTCTTTTCTCCTCTGCCACCTCAAGTGAATGTAGTGCTCTCTTCTGTCCCCATACTCCTGTTCTCCATGGAGCTCCAGGTCCCTGTCCCCGGCCTTCAGCAGAGGCTCTTGGAGTCTGTGCCATCTGCTCCTCCGCCCTTCACCTGCTCTCGCTCTGGCATTTGCTGGCTCAGGGGCTTGCTCTCCACCCAAAGTCCTGCTGTTTCTCTGGGAGATTTTAATGTCTCCGGAATGAGTGGCTAAACTTCCTGGCCTCTCTAGCATGTGGAATACTGGTTAAATGTCATGACTTTGGGATCAGAAAGATGTGGAATTAAATCCCATCTCAGAAATGTCCTAGCTGAGCCTGGCATACCAACTTTCTAAGCATCAGCTCTCCATCTGGAAATTAGAGATAATATTAAAGCCTACCTCATTATCCTGTTGTGAGGATTAAATTACATAACATATGTAAATTTCTTAACACTCTTTGGGGCAGACAGTAATGGCAAAATCAACCACTCACTGCAGATGCTTCTCTACAGCCCTGGCTTCACTCTATCTTGCCACAGAGTCTCCTTTCATTTCCCCTCCCATGATGTCCCTGGGTATTTACCCTAACCTTAACCCAATCCCAAACTCAGAGCACTCCACCCTGACAAGCATGTACATTCAGACCTGTTCTTTCTGATCATAGTAGCTGCATTTTTTAAAAAATTTAATTGAATTTAATTTTAAGTTCCGGCATTTTAGCGTCCTCTTTCCCTTCCACACCACCTCTTTTTACTTTAATATCACAGACACCTCCAGCCCCCACTTCCCTCATCCTCCTCCAGCTTATCACGATTCAGCTCTTCAGCCAGCATCCGATAATTACCCTAATTCATACAGTGAGCTCTCTCCACTCCAGTCCTGCTGTAGATCCTCTGGAATCCAAGCCACAGCCCAGCGACCTGCCCGTATCTGTCATATCAAGCCATCAGCCTGTGCCTGATCACCTATTCTTCTACACCAGTCCAGGTTTCCCATTTTCCTCAATCTCTGATTCCAAATCTTCCTCTCTAGCAGTAAAGCCTTCCTCAGGACCTCGCTGTTCTTTCTTCCCTCCCTCTCTTTTTCTGTACTCTCACTCTTTCTGGTTCCTTCAGTTTATAAATAGGCTCAATTTGCTTCAATCCTGGAACGTCCGTCTTCCACCTCTGGAGCTTCGCCTAATAACTATATTATAAAATTTATTATAAATTTTTAAAGAAAATTTATTAAATTTTAAAAAATAAAAATTTATTATAAATTTATTTATTATAAATTTTTCCATAAAAGCTGCGACTTTGTGACAACTTCAGGAGGAGAAAACAGAGTTAGAGAGAAGACTGAGTCGTGTCACTGCTCAGACCTACAGCAAGTATAAAATGAAGAAAGGAGCTTACATAACATGATAGAACTCAATAGGTTTTATAAATGAAGACAATGATCCAGGGAGAACCAGTGATTTATCCACTTTTACACAGCAGGTTCCTCTGTGAGGAAACTAAATCAACAATTAAATCTCTTCCTGTAAAGAAAATTTTAGAACCCCCCCCCCTAATTATTTTATAGTTAAGTACTCGAGAAGCAGATATTATTCATATTATATAAAATATTTCAAAAAAGTGAAAAAGAGAGTGTTGGTATAACTTTGATTCTACAACCAAGCAAGATTAGTAGAGTCAAGGAAAATTGTATTTGAATCTCATTCATAAACATAATATAACATTTCTAAATAAAACTGGCAGTCTAAATGGAAGTGTTTGCAAAAAGAAGGTGAATAATGACCAATTGAGGTTTATTCCAGGAATACAAATTTACATCAATATAATAAAACATATTAATGTAATCTACTCTATTCACAGAAGTGAAAAAGAAAAATCACCTACTTATCTTAATAGATGTAGAAAAGAATGGTAAAATTTCAATAATCATTTGGTACTAAAAAGTTTAGTAATATAAGAATAAAAGAAAACTTTCTTCAATCATTTATGGGTATCTACAGGTAAAATAATGGAATGATATATACAACATTGAATTGTTTAAAAGCATTCTCTTTAAAATAAAGATCAATGGGAGACTGCTCACTGTCGTCTCCTGCATTCTATGTTCAGCCAGGGACCTATGACATGAAAGACAAATCATTTGTATAAAATATGAAAAGAAGCAATCAAAACTACCATTATTCCCAGCTAACACAACTGTCTGCATAAGAAATCAAATGAATCTATAGACAAATTATTGGAATTAGTAACAGATCATAAGAATATGGCTGTCATGGTCTGAATGCCTTTGTCCTCCCTAAATTCATATGTTGAAACCTAATCCCCAAGGGTGCTGTTAAGAGAAGGGCCTTTGGGAGGTGATTAGGATATAAATGAAATTAGTGCCCTTACAAAAGAGGCTCAAGGGAGCTTGTTTTCCCTTCCGCTATGATAGGATGCAGTAAGAAGAGGTTTCTTTATAAAGAAGCCAGGCCCCCAGCCCCCACCAGACACCACATCTTCCAGCACCTTGATCTTGAACTTCCAAGCCTCCAGATATAAATTTCTGTTGTTTATAAGCTGCCAATTTCTGTTGATTATAAGCTACCAATTTTATGATATTTTGTTATATCAGTCCAAATGGACTAAGCAATAAATTTTTTTTTTTTAGAAAACTAGTGTAAGTTCTTAAGATATGTCTCTCTGGAAGATTTATAGGGTAAAGATGACAGGTGTGGGGGCCAGGTGGGAGGTGGCTGTGCAGGTGGTGAAGTGAGCTATTTGGGGAAGGTTTTTGAGGTGCCACTGAAGGGCGTAACTGTTGCAAGTTGTGAGGCAGGAGAGGGGTGCTCCTATATTTTGGCCTGAGCACTGGGTTTGGTGTTGAGACATTTGCTGAATCATAGAAGCTGTGAGTGAGGGGGATGTTGGGAAGTGGTCTGGTCGGGGACCAATAGATATGCTTTAGAACGGTTACTTTGGGACACCTGACGATTCCTAACAGGACCTCCAGGGAGTTGGTTATACATATCTAGATATCAGGGAGAAGACCCAGCTAACCATGTAAATTTCCGTTTTTAGCATAGACATGGTGCAATGGTCTGGATTGGGGACCCCTCATCAAATTCTTATGTTGAATCCTAGTCATCAGTGGGAGGACATTTGGAGGTGAGGTCCCTGGAAAGTGATTTGTTCATGAGGATGGAGGCCTCATGAATGGCATTTAGTGCCCTGGTGAAAGAGGCCCCAGAGAGCAGCCTTGCCTCCCTCCTCCGTATGAGGTTACAGTGAGAAGATGGCTCTCACCAGACATCAAATCTGCTCACCTCTTGATCGTGAATTTCTCAGACTCTGGAACTAAAAGACATACATTTCTATTGTTTATAAGCCACCCAGTTTATGACATTTTTGTATAGCAGCCTAAACAAACTGAGTAGACAGTAAAAGCCAATGCTATAGTCAGTTGCATTTCTACCTACTGATGGATAAAAAATACCTTTAAAATAGCCAGGCCAGGGCCGGATCCAGTGGCTTACTCCTGTAATCCCAGCACTTTGGGAGGCTGAGGCGGGTGGATCACGAGGTCAGGAGATCAAGGCCATCCTGGCCAACATGGTGAAACCCTGTCTCTACTAAAAATACAAAAATTAGCTGGGCGTGGTGGTGCGTGCCTGTAATCCCAGCTACTTGGGAGGCTGAGGCAGGAGAATTGCTTGAACCAGGGAGTGGGAGGTTGCAGTGAGCCAAGATGATGCTACTGCACTCCGGCCTGGTGACAGAGTGAGACTCCATCTCAAAAATAAATAAATAAATAAACAAATAAACAAATAAATAAATAAATAACTAGGCTGGTCAAGGTGACTCATGCCTTTAATCTCAGTACTTTGGGAGGCCGAGGCAGGCGGACTGCTTGAGTACAGGAGTTGGAGACCAGCCTACGCAACATGGCGGAACCCCATCTCTACTAAAAACACAAAAAATTAGCTGGGTGTGGTGGCACATGCCCGTAGTCCCAGCTACTTGGGAGGCTGAAGTGGGAGAATCATCTGATTTCAGGAAATGGAGGCTGCAGTGAGCTGTGATCACATCACTGCCCTCCAGCCTGTGCAGAGTGAGACCTTGTCTCATAAAATAAAATAGCCACAAAAAACATGGCACCTAGGTCTAAATGGAATACAATGTTTTCAAGTGGCTTAAGAAGAAAATTACAAACTTTTATTGCATTAGAAGATTGAAATAAATGTATACTCATTTTTGTAAATATGTTAGTAACCCCCAAATTGCTCTCTGTAATTATTAGAAATCTCAAAAAAGAACCCTAAATAGTGTTGTTATGAAACTTAGCAAAGCTTATTCTAAAGTTTAAAGGAAAAACACATTTTTGTCCTATTCCTTCCAGAATCCTGCAGTGGTGTGTTGTCAGGAATCACTGACATACCTGAATAAATTCTTCCTGAAGAAGAACCAGATGAGTGACAATACAGTAGGAAATAACAAGATTCATTGCAAAACTATAGTATTATGAACAGTAACATATTGTTTATAAGAGGGGAAACAAATTACACTAATGGAGCGAAATCAAGAGCCCAGAGCCAGACCCACTACACTAATGGAACAAAACAGAGAGCCCAGAGCCAGACCCTCCTTGTATGCAAACCTCGTCTGTCATAGAGTTGGTGTGGCCGATTACTCAGGGGAGCATGGCCTGGACAATGAATGGTGCTGAGTCATTGGATAGAAAAAGTAAAAATCAAAGTCCTATAATTAAAAAATAACATAGGGGAGGATCTTAATGGCTTTCATGATGAGGAAGTGTTCTTAAAAAGCAACACAAAAGCAAAGATAATGAAAAATATAAAGATCAACATATTAACACAAAGTTCTATTCATCTGAAGACATCACGGAAATGTGGATAAACAAGAACCACACATCGTGAGAAGGTATTTGAACACATAAAACCTAAAAAATACTATGACTACATAAAACACTCCTACAAACTCATAAGAAAAAGATAAATGACCCAGTAATAAACATCAGCAAAACAGCAAGCATTTCAGAGTACAGGAAACATGAATGGCCAGTAAGCACAAAAGGAGACCTGAATATCACTTACAATCAGAAACATGCAAAGAAAAACCATTTCTGCACAAAAGGCCATTTCCAATTCATTAGACTGGCAAAATCAGAGTCTGACCTTATCAGGTATTAGGAAGACACGTAGCCATGGGAACTTGTGCCCCCTGCTGATGCGAGTTTAAAATGATACAATCCTTTCAGAAAATAATGTGGGACTACCCGTACATTGGAACATGTATGTACTCTATAATTCAGCAATTGTCCTCTTAAATGCATAGAGAAAACAGGCATAAGTGTACCAAGAGGTGAATACATTAATAGTCTTAGCACCCTTATTGGAAATGTGCATGCTCAGACACATACACACACTCTCACACACACACTCACACACACACTCTCACACACACACACTCACACTCTCTCACACACTCACACTCACACGCACACTCACACACACACACACACACACACCCTCCATACTCAGAAGAAACTGAATATAGCTGTGGAATCTCATAAATTCTGGTTTATTCTTATAATGGAATATTATTCAGCAATAGCAATGAGTGAATTTAGAGTTACTACATCAACATGTCTAGCACCAAAAGAAAACATGTTCAGAAAAAAAAATTAACAGGCCTCAGAAGAATACAAATAACTTACTTCCTTTGACTAAAATAACTAAACAACCATTTTATGTGATATATACATATGGAAAAACGTAAAACATGGAACTTAATAACACAAAATTGAGAAATGTCAGAAATGTCACCTGAAGGGGGAGAGAGATGGGAATGGGATCAGGAAAGGGCACAGAGGACACTGCATAGGTACAGACTATGATCTCGTCCTGAGACTAGATTGGGTGTACTAAGTTTTAATATTGTTATAATGAAGATGTATGTGCCATCTCTGTTTATCTATCTCTCTCTCTCTCATATATATATATATATATATATATATATAGTTACATATATATGTAACTATTTTATCTGTCTGATTCATTTCATTAAAAATTTTTAATTTTGAAATTAAGTTTAAAATGTTTATTTAAGAATACCTTAAAACAATAGGAGATGTGTTTAATTACATTCAATTAGGGGAGACAGCACTGATATTGAATAAGAGTAACATATTTGAGCTGAGTTTCTTATTGAACTTGTACTTTTTTCATCTAAGGCAACAAATGTTTGCATGGAATGGAACGCATGTCTGATGACACATTAAATGTCAAAATTAGAAGGGAACTTAGTGCTTCTCTTATGAATACTGTCCCTTATATGGATGAGAAACTGAGAGAATCCACACGATTTTTCCAAGGTCACTGAGCTGATTACTAGCAGTTCTCAGTAATAGAGCCAGGCTAAGGGTTTCCTGTCTACAGTATTCTCAGGAGGTTGTTGCCTGGTCACTGAGTCTTTTATAGGTGAGCCACAAGGTGCTAGTGGCCGAGGAAGCAACACGAGACTGTAGGAGCCTGAAAGGAATGGGCCGAAGATGTACTGGATGCCCATTAGCTGCCAGACCCCATGCTGAGCCCCAGCTTGCACACTGTGGTGCCACTGAATCCCCCAGTGCACCCAGCAAGGGCAGTGCACCTACTCTATTACACAGAGGGGGAAAAAGTCTCAGAGCAAACACACATAGCAACTTTGTGCTGAAGACAAATTGCTCCCCCTTTATAATTCACCAAGGGCAGGCCTTGGAACAGGGCCTGGAGTTTCTGCAGACAGGAATGATATTGAAGACTTAAACACTTTGATCAAGAGAAGAGAGAATGCCCTGGACAACTCCCAAGGCTGTGTCCTTTATAAAAGGAAGAATTTGTTCCCAAAGTACTGTAGCCATTTAATAATTCACCAACTTAAAAGGATGAATATGTACATATATATTCATCATTTCAACTCAATAAAGAAGACATATATATTTGTAACTTTAATATATACACATCTTCTTTATTGACTTGAAAAATAATATCATTGTTTGACCATTTACTAAGGACATTTGCTTTTAATGTCATTAGGCTATCAACTCAATAGACATCCTCACCCCCTTTTCTTCAAAGTTGCTGATGTTCTCAAAGACACAAATGATTTATTTGTTACCAACTGACCTTTTTTCTTCAGTAATGAATCAAGCTCTTAGCAGTAAAGAAATGGGCATGATTAAGTGTGATAAGTAAACACAACATAATGTGCCCCCAATTCTATCAATCATTCATTACTCAAACCTTTACTGGGGCTTCCCAGAGGAGAAAATCCTGGAACTAGACTGCTAGGGTCAAATTCCATCTCTGCCACTTTCTAGCTTGGAGAAGTGCTATTAGCCAGCTATGCCGGTTTCCTTATCTGTGAAAACTCTGGATAATAACAGCACCAATCTTGTGGTATGGACATGCGAAGTCTTGGTGTCATTTTCAAGGTGATTGTCTACTGGTTTGGAAATCTGTGACTCTACCTAGATTACTCAGAATTGGCAAGTGTATGCTACATAAGCAGATAAGCCCTGACATCTCAGGGATGTGAAATTGAAATGAGAGTTAACTTCTTGCCCCGATGTGGGTCAGGCGATTGTCACTAGGAGCCTCAGAGGTAACTTCAGGGGCCCGACCTATCTCTATTTTGAAATTTGCTGTTTTATTTTGTTGCTGTTGTTGTATATTTCTTTTTTCGTTCTCATTTGCAGAGATAGAAGAGAGGGTGTGTGTGTGTGTGTGTGTCTCATGCCCACTATTTCCTCACACAAACATGTCTGCTCATTTGACCACTGACTATTGGGGAGTCATGCAGTTCCCATCTGGCTGCAAGGAGGGCTGGCAAATGCAGGTGGTTGTTCAGCTGAATTAGAGTATCTGCCATTACTGAGAACATGCCAGAGGTTAGACCTTTTTCATATAACGATTAATTCTCATGTAAAGCAGCAGAGGAGGAAGCTGAAGTTCAGGGAGATTTTATATCATGCACAAGGTCAAACAGGTAGAGAGGCTAAAGTTGGGGTCCCACTGGGTCCCTTTGATTCTACTGCCCATGTGCTTTCTTTAATTTAATTAATTAGGCATGAGCAACTCCATATCCCCATTGCACTGAAGGAGGTAAACCACTGCCAAGTTCTGCTCATGTGTGATTCTCAAAAGTAGGCATCCCTCAAGAGTGGGCAAGGCAGGTGCCCACCAAAATGCAGACAGAGTTATGGTGCTGCTGTCTGAAATATGGGAAATCTTGTGCACAGCCAGAATATGTTAAGATGTTCATTTATATTGAACTTTGTCTTAAAAAGGAAAATGATTTAGTTTCACGGATGTTTAACATAAACATTGACAGCAGCACCATAACTCTGTCTGCATTTTGGCGGGCACCTGCCTTGCCCACTCTTGAGGGATGCCTACTTTTGAGAATCACACATGAGCAGAACTTGGCAGTGGTTTACCTCCTTCAGTGCAATGGGGATATGGAGTTAGTCATGCCTAATTAATTAAATTAAATATCATAAAAATGCTGTAATTAAGCTAATCCCTGCAAAGTGGACAAATGTTTTAAAAAGACCCCTGCAAACAAATGAAATAAAACACACACACACACACACACACACACACACACACACACACACACACAGATTTAAAAAGAATGCAGGCTGGGCGCGGTGGCTCACGCCTGTAATCCCAGCACTTTGGGAGGCCGAGGCGGGCGGATCACGAGGTCAGGAGATCGAGACCATCCTGGCTAAAGCGGTGAAACCCCGTCTCTACTAAAAATACAAAAAAATTAGCCGGGCGTGGTGGTGGGCGCCTGTAGTCCCAGCTACTTGGGAGGCTGAGGCAGGAGAATGGCGTGAACCCGGGAGGCGGAGCTTGCAGTGAGCCGAGATCCCGCCACTGCACTCCAGCCTGGGCGACAGAGCGAGACTCCGTCTCAAAAAAAAAAAAAAAAAAAAAAAAAAAAAAAAGAATGCACAATGCACATGGGCCGGGTGCAGTGGCTCACGCCTGTAATCCCAGCACTTTGGGAGGCCCAGGCGGGCGGATCACGAGGTCAGGAGTTCAAGACCAGCCTGGCCAACATGGTGAAATGCTGTCTTTACTAAAAATGCAAAAATTAGCCAGGAATGGTGGCAGGCACCTGTAATCCCAGCTACTTGGGAAGCTGAAGTAAGAGAATCGCTTGAACCCAGAAGGCGGAGGTTGCAGTGAGCCGAGATCGTGCCATTGCACTCCAGCCTGGCTGACAAGAGCAAGACTGTCTAAAAAAAAAAACAAAAAAAGAAAAAAAGAATGTACATGTAATGGAAACACAAGTGAACAGAAAGAAAAAGTCAAGCAAACACATCTGCCAGGAAAGCCTTTGCCAGCCCAAACTACAATTGAAAACAGTGTTGATTCAATTATATCTACGAATATTGGCCCCTTTTCTGGTTGCGGGGAGGTCTTGCTGTATCACCCAGGCTGAAGTGCGGTGGTTCTATCACAGCTCATTGCAGTCTCAAGCTCCTGTGCTCAAGAGATCCTCTCTCCTAAGACTTCCAAGTCGTTGGTACTATAGGTAGCCACCATCATACCTAGCTAATTTGTTTTTGTTTTTGTTTTTTGTAGAAACTAGGGTCTTGCTATATTGCCCAGGCTGGTCTCAAACTCCTAACTTCAAGTGATCCTCGCTTCTCAGCCTCTTAAATTGCTTAGATAACAGGTGTGACCCATGGCACCCAGCTGATACTGGCCTATTTGAAAATATCAGTAAATTTATTTAAGTTGGTTTTATATTCATTATCTTTTACAGTAAATGATAATGCCCTTAATCTATTTTTCAGATTAGTGGTTCTCAATTTTGCTCCCCAGAGACATTGCCAATGTCTAGATACCATTTTGTTCATTGCAATTTAGGGTGAGGGAAGGTGCTACTGTTGGGCAGAGGTCAGGGAGTTTTTCAACATCCTGCAATGCATGGGGAAGCCCCCTCTGGAAGAGAATCACTGGGTCTCAACTGTCAGTAATGCTGAGGTTGAGAAACACTGTGTTAGATAATGATAGTAAGACACCTGTATAACTTATAAATGTAAACCACACAGGAAATGGAAGCCAAGCTCGAACAGAGGATGTAGGTGGTGATGCTTAGTGGGAGTAAACAGGGACTGGCTGTTCAAATCCTGGCTTGGTAAATTTTGTCAAGTTCCACACCTTCACCTGTGTTTCCTCATAACAGGCTTGTTGACCCTATGAAAGATGAAATGAGTTCCACACAAACTGTTTAGAATAGTGTCTGGTTCCTGGTAAGAACACTGCTGCCTGAGAGTTTGGCTGTAGTCACTGTTATATGTGCCCCCAAATAAAGCACTGATGGAAAGAAGTGATAAACATGGGGATACCTCTGGGCTGAACTGCTGACGAAGTATTTTCATTGAAGACCTGCCCCGAAGCATAACGAAGTCAGCCTTCTCTTAATTTCCCTTCTCACCCTCCTGTGCCAATCAAGCTGGTTCTTAGGTGAACCAATCCCTCATTTCATCAGTTAATAAAATTAAACGCAATAATCGAATGGCTGTCATAACTACATTGATGTTTAAAACAAACTTTTGATTTTTGGTTGGCTGCCACAAGTCAAATACATGATGTATTAGGCCATTTCACATTGCTGATAAAGACATATGCAAGACTGGGTAATTTATAAAGAAAAAGGTTTAATGGACTCACAGTTCCACATAGCTGGGGAGGCCTCACATTCATGGTGGAAGATGAAAGGCATGTCTTACATGGCAGCAGGCCAGAGAGAATGAGACTCAAGTGAAAGGGGTAACCCCTTATAAATCCGTTAGATCTCGTGAGACTTATTCACTATCATGAGAACGATATGGGGGAAAACCACCCCCATGATTTAATTATCTCCCACTGGGTCTCTCCCACAACATGTGGGAATTATAGGAGCTACAATTCAAGATAAGATTTGGGGACATAGCCAAACCATCTCACATGAGAAGAAAATCAACCTCAAATCTATTCAAATACTTTTTTTTTTTTTTTTTTTTTTGAGACAGAGTATCACCTTGTTGTCCAGGCTGGAGTGCAATGGTGCAATCTCTGCTCACTGCAACCTCCACCTCCTGGGTTCAAGTGATTCTCCTGCCTCAGCCCCCCGAGAAGCTGGGATTATAGGCGTGCACTGCCATGCCCAGATATATATATATTTTTTTTTTGCATTTTTAGTTGAGACAGGGTTTCACCATGTTGGCCAGGCTGGTCCCGAACTCCTGACCTCAGATGATCCACCCACCTCAGCCTTCCAAAGTGTTGGGATTACAGGCGTGAGACACCACGCCCGGCCTCAAATAACACTTTTGACATGTACTGAGAACATCCTCTGTATATTCCAAACACTGTGCTATAGTTTGAGTAAAGAAAGATAAAAAGACACAGGCCCCTTTTAAAATAACTTAATTCAAAAACTTCTCTGTCTAGTGTGGGAAATCTATTTTTATATTAAATAATTATATTACAGGCTCTGACTACGTGTGAGGTTCAGAGGCAGCTCCATGGAAGAAGGGATTAACTCTAAGGTAGGTCTGAGAAGCTTTCAGGAAGGAAGTAATAAGGAGACAGAGGTTTGAAGGATGAGTAAGAATTCATGGATGTTCTAGACATCGTGAGGCTTTCTGTGAAGTACAAACACTTGCGTGTTGCTGGACCAAATAGAGCAGGAGTCAGACCTTAGCTACCCATGAAGGCCAGACTCTGGGGCATGGAACTTATTCTGGAAGTCCAGAGTCACTCCTGAAGGATCTTAAGAGGAAGAGGATGGGATCAAAGTTGCATTTGTAAAAGGTCCACAGGAGGTATACAGAAGAGTATGAAAGGGGACAACACAAGATTTGGAGAGATCAGATAAGAAATTATTTCAGATAAGAAGCAGGATGGTCCTGGGTCAAGGTGTGGCTAGATAAGAAAGTATAACTAATAAACATGGCACCCAGACACCTCTTCTATTTCTTCAACTAATCTCAGTATTGAAAAAGATCATAATAACAGCTCACGCCTATATAGCCCTTCCTTGGTCTGAGGCAGGGTTCTAAGTTTCAATCCATTTGCATCCACATGTGTTCATTCATTTAATCTTCACAAAAAAGCTCTGAGGTCCATTTTATTATTATCCTTGTTTTAGAGAAATGGGAACCGAGATGCAATTAGGTCACACTGCATCTTTAAGGACAACAGGAAGACAGCAGCGAAGCCAGGGTTCCAGGCCTGGCAAATTGTTTCCTCTGTGTCCTTCTATTAGCGGGAAGTGAAGTTGCTCCCTCTTGGCGTCTGTTCTTCCTGAATTGTCCTCAATCTGCCGGGGTTTGCACACAGTCCAGTCCCCAGGGAAGCTGCTCGGACTTTCTCTCCGATATGTAGAGCTGTGGAGTCCGATTAGCATTTTAGGACAGTTGCTTCTTGCTGCCACAGGATGTCACCATTGAAAACCTGCCTTCTGCAGG
The DNA here is from genome assembly GCF_000001405.40 of Homo sapiens. NCBI lineage: Eukaryota > Metazoa > Chordata > Mammalia > Primates > Hominidae > Homo > Homo sapiens. Next base: position 138,500,585 of record NC_000008.11, on the reverse strand, counting down.
AAGAAATGCTGGCCCACTTGGCTGTGATCCCTTGCTCACCCTGAAGGGGCTCAAGCCCCTGTGGTCCCTATGACGGAGGACAACCTCACACCACATCCTTGAAACCCACTCAGCCAAAGCATCTCAGGGGAGCTCCCCAGACTGTACCTCTCAGCACTCAATTCTTTCAAGTGGGCTCACCTTCCACCTGCAGCAGAACCAGGGCCTGGATTTGGCTTGTATCCATCTCAGAACCAGTGTCCATCTGTCCTATCTGTAACTGCTCATGCCAAAACACCATTTCTCTTGAAAGACACGTCATCACTCATGACCCCTTTTTGAAGAAGATTTTTAAAAATCTCTCAGGGATCCCCTGTCATAGATGACTCTGAGAGCTATTTACATGGTGGAATTGGCAGACGTTGGCAATTAATTCGGTTGAGGGAGATGAGAAGAGTCGAGAGAACGGGAGAGAGGGAGAGGTTAGGAAGCCTAGGATGATGGTAGGTTTCTGGCTTCTGTGATTTGATGGGCAGTGGGACATTTTCTTGGTGGGAGATAACAGTGGAGGGCTATTGCTGCTTTTGAGTCAGTTCCACCAAGGCCCAACCTGGGCAGTGGCAGAGGCTTTCCCTTCCAGACCTCCCCCAGGCCCCAGCTGTTCAGGGCCTTACCTTGCACAAGGCCCATTCATTAAGAGGACAATGGGTAAGGGGATCTCGGGGCCAACAGTGCATCACTGCAGCTGATTGATTAATGTCATGCCGGGCAGTCCATGAGCACAGTTTGAAGAAGACTTTGCAGTCATAATTCATAATACTATTTTACCACATGGGGAACAAGGATTGGGGGCATCTCTGGGGACATAGGGTCTCACTGGCACACGTTGCATGTTGCCTTTGAGGTTATTTCAAGATTCACTGAGATTCTAGTCATGGATTATATATACAGATTATGTGTATATGTATATATACACACACACATACACACACATATACACACATACGTATGTGTGTGTTTATATATATGCACATACACACTTACATATATGTGCAATTTCTTTTTGGCTTAAACATCAAAATGTTTTATAAAAGTGTATGTTGAGGTCAAGTGCAGTGGCTCCCACCTATAATCCCAGCAAGGCTGAGGCAGGAGGATCATTTGAGCCCAGGAGTTTGAGACTAGCCTGGGCAACATAGCCAGACCCCATCTCTACAAAAAATAAAAACCTTACCCAGGCATGGTGGTAGGTCTACAAAAGATAAAAAACTTTACCCAGGCATGGTGGTAGGTCTATAAAAAATAAAAACATTACCCAGGCATGGTAGTCCTACCTACTTGGAGGGGCTGAGGTGGGAAGATTGCTTGTGCCCAGGAGTTAAAGGCTGCAGTGAGTTAAGATTGTGCCACTGCACTCTAGCCTGGGTAACAAAGTAAGACCCTGTCTCAAGAAACAAAAAAATAGTGTATGTCAAAATTCTCACTCTCACTCTAACCTCGTCAACCTAGTTCTTCCACCCATCTTCACCCTCATAGCTAATAGCTACTTCTCCAAGTTTCTTACATAGCCTTCTAGCGTATTTTTATGCCAATGCAAGCAATACAAATATGTGTATCTGTCTCCTTGTTTCACAACAGTTGTCTTATTTTAATATTATCTTATTTTATCTATTCTGCACTTTGCTTTTTCACTTAATAAATCATGGAGCTGTTTTATCCAGACAATACATCCAATACAAGTAAATCCTATGCTCCTGGCATATCTCTACTGCTGGGGACTAGAAAATGCAGAGGAAAATAATGAGTGCTTGCACTGACTTTCAAAAATAAGGTTGCATAAAAATGCAATGTCAATAGCAAAATAAATGCCATATGGTTATGAACACATTTAAGAGACAAATATTGTAAAAGAAAAGCACCCATTTTCTCTATTGAGAAATTCATATTTATTTGCCATTCACCAAACATTTACTGAGGGTATGCATTGCCCTGGGCTTGCTGGGTGCTGTGGGGAGGACAAGCAGGGTAGATAGCTCAGAGCCTCCATCTGCCCAGGCCCACTATGTCAACAGCCTCCTTAGGACACCTCTTTCTGCAGCCTTAATCCCCACCCTAGCCAGCACCACACACACTTCAACTAAGGTGATCTTCCCTTCATTCCCACCCAGCCTTTCTCCTGCTTAAACTGCTTCACTGCCCTCCTCCCCACCACCTTCCCCATTCCCTTCCCATCCTAAGGGTCACATTGTCAAATTCCAACCCCTTCACTTGGATCGCAAGGCCTTTGGTGTGCAGTGCCTGCCCTGTAAACCTCACCACTCGCCTGCCTCACCTCTCCTTGCCTGCTGCTGCTAGGTTCCTGCTGTTCTGTCCTGCCTCCAGGCCTCTGTACCCTGCTCCTCTTGTCCTGGAAAGAGCAGTCTTCTCTACCCTTCACCGCCCCACTCATTTGTTCTTATACCTTTTTTTCAGGTATCTTTCCCCAATTACTTGCCCCTGCCCCCAGCCTGACAGGGTTAGAGACTCCTCCTGCCAACTGCAATTGCCTGGTTCCATTCCCTGCTTCCTCCTGGGGTGTGAGTTAGTGCAGCCCAGTCTAATGGGGGACATAGTCATCCTCTAATGCCTGGTTCCATTCCCTGCCTCCTCCTGGGTGGAGTTAGTGCAGCCGAGTCTAGTGGACGGGTCACTGGGCTTCCGAGTCCCAGTCTTGGCTCCTTCTCTAAGGCTGTTTTGTCATCTGTCACAGGCATGCCACGAGAACTTGCCAGCACAGTGGTGGTGATAATTAGAGTTCCCAATGCCCCTTAAGAATGCTCAGTAGACGGGAGCTGGCTTAACCCTCCCCAATCTTCCTCTCCCTCCTCCGTGGACAGAATCTCACACGTCTGTGAACCCCCACGTTCAGCATGAAGTGAGGAGCCCATCGGATGACGGGCCGGCTGGCTGGTTGAAGGCCACTGCTGACTTCGCATTGGAGGTATGGGTTGCTCAGCGCTTTTACCCTTTCTCAGGCATCTACTTGTTGCCTGGGCTTCTCTTCCAAGTTCAACAGTCCCCTCCCAGCCAGTTCTCCGCCGCGCCCCGCCCCCGGATATCTGCAGGGACCCTTTTCCTGCCCGAGGCCTGGGGTCTTGGCTCGAGAGGGGAGCCCCGCCGCGGGGACTGAGCATGCTCGCGCCGGTCAGTCTGGGAGGGCCGCACGCGGGGCCGCAGCCTGCGCCCTGGGCACCCGGGCGGCCGAGCGGGCGGGGTTTGGCCGCCGGGCGGCCCGCCCCGGGCTCCCATCAGGGCCTCGCGGCGGAGAGGGACCGAGGTGGGAGCGCGTGAGCCGCGCCGCCAGCCAGTCGCGCAGCGTCTACCCACGCGGTGCGCAGCGGCTGCGGAGCGGAGCCAGCGGGAGCAGCAGGGCGGGCTCTCCCGGCCGCGAGGGCGCGCGGCGCGGCGCGGAGGGTCTGGCCGCGTCCCGGCGGAGGAAGGAGAGGAGTGAGGGCGCCAGAGGTGAGCGCAGCCCGGGAGGCGCCAGCCCAGCGGCGCGGGCGCAGCCGGTCGGTCCTTGCTTTCTTGCGGCGCTGGCGGCTGCGTTCCCCCGACCGCGCTGACAGCCTCGCGTCCTGGCGCCTGCTCGCTGGGGCTGCCCGGAGGCCGCGGCCGGGCAGCTGTTGCACGGAGAGGGGGGCAGTTGCGGGGTTCCATAACCATAGCAACCGCATCAGCACCGGCGGCGGCGGGCGAGGGCAGCATCCGCTCGCTCCTCCTCCAGGCAGCCTCGCCGCGGGGACCCAACACCAGCTCGCAGGTGCTGCGGACTCCCCAGTCCGCCCGCCGCCGCCGCCGCCGCAACTGTTGGCGGCCAGAGACGGCGAAAGAGGAGAGAGAGGGACCCAGGAGCGCGGCCCCCGGGGGAGAGAGAGGGGAGCCCTGCAGTGGAGACAGGTAGGTGAGAGCGCTTCGGGGTCGGCAGCTGCAAAACTCTCTCGTCGGTGGTAGTGACGCTTCTGCAAGCGTGGTTGCCAGTTGGATGGCTTTCTGTCACGGAACAGCGATTCCGCCGCAAAATGTGGTTTATCTCCCTCGATTTTCCCCAGTCTCTCTGCCCTCCAGGTTTGCTGCACATCTGGACAGGTCTTGAGGGGATAAGAAGGGCCAGGGCTGTGAAAGGAGCGGAGAGGCTGGGTTAATGAGGGGTTCCCCCCAGGAGTCCCAGATGGAGGCTGAGGGGGCGCATGCAGACCTTGGCCATTGGGGTCCTTGGAGCCAGGGAACCCGGGGGCCAGGCTCAGGAGAAGACCGCACTGGGGTGGAGGGGACAGTGGCAGCGATTCCCTGTGATCCAGGCGAATGCACAGACCCGTTCTTCCTGTGGCTTGGCTGGGGACAGGGGTGTGCGGGGACACTGCAGCTCAGCTGTGACATGGAAAGGGACCAGCTCTTGATCTGTAGAGCCAGCTTCAAGCCCAGTCACTGGAGGGGATGTTTAGACGAGGCAAGTAGTAACTGTTATTATTTTGGGACACAGGAGTATCATGTTATTGCCGTTGACTATTAGGGATAGGATGGGAATAGAAATAAAATTTTGAGCTAGCAGTCAAGACTATGCCCTCCCCTTCTCCCCACCTCATTTCTAGCTCCCCACCCCACTTTGCCAGCAAAACAAGAATCACATCGCTCATAGTGACAATCCTTGCTCCTTGGCCACTGGCAAACTATCTCGCTTTCAGACAGCTGGAGACACCGCTTCAGTTGTCCATTTGAACCAGGGGGCATTGTTTTCCATCAGGTTATGATGCTCTTGATGTTAAGTGATGTGTCAAAGCCGAGAGGCACCTGGGCTGTCCATACAGTGTGATGGACTGTTAACTACATCTGCAGGCTGGAGAGAGGGCCAGAGCTTGGGGAGTGATTACAAACTCAGATCAGCTGGGACCAGGGCCCCGGAAGAAGGAAGATAGCATGTGAATAATTAGGGTCTGAAAGTTCGTGCATGTAGGTAAGTAGGCCTCTGAATAATATCCAGGATAGGCAGCCATTGACTTTGAAAGGGCTCTTCCTTTATATCGTGGCCTCGGGGGACAGTCTAAGTCCCAGTTAAAAGGCTATGTTCTTTAATTGGGCTTTTAATTTATGGTGTGGTTATGTTACCCAAGGGGATGTGATTTGGCCAACCTCTCATCTGGAGATTTATGTCATAATATGGATGATGTTATCAGAGCTTAGACAGATGGTTAGGTGTAGAGGAAAGTGGACCAGATTGGAGGGTCAGAAAACATGGATTTGAACTCTGATTTCCTCATGCACCTGCTGTGTGACCTTGAGTTGTTCCACCTCACTGAGGCTTCTTTCTCTCATCTGGAGAATGGGGATACTAACTAACAAGTCTTGCAGTTTACCAGGCTCAATCACAATCCAATGGGATGTGGAGAGGATGTTTGGGAAGGGCTTTTTAAAACCTGATGTCTTGTGCAAGTAAAAGGGATTATTGTTTTCTAAAGAATCTCTCTTCCTCAGATTGGCAAATCATTAAACATCCATCAACTACGAAAAGAGAGTGGAAATATTAGTCAGTGACTCACAGTGGAAACACTGTAGTCTGGTCCAAGATTCACTCAGGGCAACATAAAGAGGGCTTCTCAGGGGAAAATGCTGCATGCCATCCACCTTGCCTACAAGTGCTGAAGGTCAAGTGCTTTGCCATCAAATGCAGCACTCGTCTAGTTTGAAACAGTGAGGCCTGCTCACAATGGGTGGATTAAGTTTTTTTTTTTTTTTTACAGTATAAACAGAGATTTAGACAGAGTAGGGACTCATTTAACTGTTCACCTCGGGTTGTGGGTTTCTCGTGGGCAGGATTACTTTCATCCAACTCTGCTCTGTAATGTCAGGTGTTTACCAAATATTTGCTCAATTTGACTGAAATAGACTGAATGCTGACAGGTTGATTTTATTGCTGAAGGAATTATAATTTCTGGAAGGAACCAAGACTGTCTTATACTATTCTCTGCTCTTTTATGCCCCTGATTTTGCTCATGGTGGTGTCCCTGCCTAGAATAACAATTTCTCACTTCTTTCTTCCTTTAACAACCCAACTCAAATGCCCCTTCCTATAGGAAGCTTTCCCATATTCTCTCATGTGCTCCCACAACACTCTGGACCTCCTTTGTGATGGACTGTGCTGTGTCATCGCTTGCACACATACCTGTCCTTTCTGTTGATTTGATGCTTCCCAATGATAGGTGCCTCTCCCTATCTGACTTTGGTTGTGGCTGCAGCACCTGGTGCAGCCATGGCCATGATGAATGGTTGTTGAATGAGTGAATGAGCCTTACTTCTAACATGACCACCTGTGCAGACGTAGGCTGCAGAAAGGCCATTCCTGGCTGCTTTTGCCATCTCGGTCTGTGTGGCAAGCCTGGAGGATGCTCCATGGCTTGTTGTGCATTATTTAGGGTCAACCCACTGAGGCAAAGTGAAGGAGAACAGAAGCACATATTTTGCTTTAAAATGCTCATTTTTTTTCAAGTGGGCACTTTAGGATAACTGAAATCTGGTGTTGAATGGCCTTCATGTAACATTTGCTGAAAACATCTGATGGAATATTTTAAACTTGAAATATCTTTTTCTCGCTTCAATTTCTTTCCTTGATTTCAGCTCCAGTATAGTAAAAAAGCACAAGCATTGGATTAAGATAGCCTAGATTTAATCTCAGTTTTCAGGGTACCTGGAACTAGTGCACTTGATTGTCTTGTGCCTCAGTTTCCTCATTCATAAAGTGTGGATGTGAATACCCATCTCACAGGGATGTCGAGTTTTGGAGCGAATTAATAGCTGTGCCATAAAAGTAGTTCATTAACTGTAAAATATTAATACTCTAAGTAAATTTGTTCTTTTCCTTAATTTTCGTCCTAGAAAATGAGCAAAATCCTTGTCTAATTTCACAGCATCACATGGGCTTCAAATGCTGGCTCCTTCACTTACTAGCTCTGTGTGACCTTCAGTAAATCATTTTGCTCCCCCAGCCATCTGCCTTATCTGCATAGCATTGTAATGATAGCCACCTTTCAAGATAGATAGGCAAATGCACAGAAAGAAAAATGCCATGCCAGGCACTCAATACGTAATATCTGTAATTTGCAAATGATAGATGTAATTGCCAATAATAGAGGGTTCCAGAATTTTTTGAAATGCCCCAAATGAGTCTCCTCCCTGTATTTCACCTACAGTTCTACAAGAGAAGAAGAACTAAGAAGATGGTCATGGTCCCAACCACCAAGAACCTCCTTTGGTTACACATGGGAGACACCAGGAGGGAGCAGAATGACCTAAAGATTTAGATTCAGATTCAAGTCTGATCTTACCTGAGAGAGCTGGCAGAGATTCACGGACATCGCTAATATCTGCTGAGCTATCCAGACACTGGGTGCTCAGAAACGTCAAATGTTTCTGCTCAAACATGAATAATTTCTAGGTGGCTGCACACCCATCTCAGGAGTGACTCGTGAGGGAGATTTTAGCATCACAAAGGAAAGTGGCACTGTGAGCCTGGGATCTGTGGCCCTCCCTCCACCTCCGGTGTGGATGGAGTGGTGCTGTGATGTGCCTGGTACAGGGCATTTGCATAAGTAGCCTGCCCTGCGTCACTCATCATGCCAGACTCTGAGAATCAACTGTAGACAACACAAGGTCCTTGCCTTTCAAGAGCTTAATATGTAGTTGGGGGATCAGGCATGGAAATCGGCAAGAACAAACCAGGCAATGCCGGGGGTCTGCGGGAACAAAGAGGAGCCTCCGACATATTTCCTAGGTGGTGGCTGTCAAGGATGCCTTCTTAAAGGAGAGAGAGTCTAAGCTGAGTCTGAAGGAATCTCCACATGCAGACCTGAGGGAAGGGCAATCAGAAAGGGAGAGCAACATGCAGAGACTTGGAGACAAGAAGTAGCAAGGAAGAGAAAGGAACCGCAGGGCTGGAACAAGAGGCCAAGGGGTGAGGTGGTGTCCGTTGAGGCTTGGGAGATGGTAGGGTTACACGTTTGAGAGTTTTGCAAGCCAGTCTTTTCCTCTAACAGAAGGCCATAGGAAGTCACAGAAAGGTCTAGACCTGGGCAGGATGCTCTCCCCAGCTGTGATAGAGGCCAGGTTAGCGAGATCCAACAAAGATTTTATGGCCTCTTAGGAGGCTCTGCAGAGATGCTTGACTTCAGGTAATGAGAGGTGGGAAAAAGAGAAGGACAGAGAAGAAATAGTGTGAGAAGGAATAGTAGAGAGGAACAGAAGGAAGGTATCAGAGAAATGAACAGATTGCTTCCTATCTCACAAAAATATCAGTGAGACATTCTAGGGACCTTTGACCATTGATAGGTCAAGAGGAAGGAGGGGTCATGGTTGATACTCAGGCTTTCTTTCCATCCTCCCACCGTGAGAGAAGAAGGCAAGGACTAATAAACCAGGCTCTGAATTGATGTCCCTGCCTCTATTCTGCTTCCCAGTGTCTACTGTGCACAAGGCAGCCAGAGAGATCTTTATAAAACTAAAATCAGATTAAACTCTTTGCTCAAAGCCCTTTTGTGGTTTTCTAACTCAGAGTAAAATCTGAAGCATTTCCCATGACCTGCAACCTACACGACATTCAGCCCCTGTTCCAACCCGGCTCACCACCTTGTGACCTGGTCTCCTCCACAGCCACTCACCTCTACCCACCCTGGCCTCCTGGCTGATCTTCAGCAGCACATGCTACTCCCTCCTCCTGGGACATTCTTCTCCCTGGTAATCACTGGGTGTCCCTACTTTATTCTGGCTGCAACTCAAATGTCACCTTAGCATATCATTAGCCCACCCTTACCACCTACTTCTACAATGACAGTCTCTTATTTTGATGTTTCTTTCTTTATAGTACTTATCAATATATTACGTAGTTCACTGTTGAACTCCCACTGGTAGAACAAATCCTCTCATATAATATGCACTCAGTAAATGTTTGCTGAATGAATGAATGAATGAATGAATGAGTGAACGTAGGATTGCCTCCGTGCCAGAGTAGATGCTGGTCCCAGCATTGACTGGGAATTAGAAAATGAGGAAACGATTGAGGGAGAAACAATGACATGTTCCAAATTGTGGGTTAGAATTAAGTGACTATTTCCTACATAGCTGCAATATTCCAGGCATTACTAGGCAATTGGATAGCAAGACTACCAAGATCAAATTTCTTATGAAACATTTCTTGGGACACGGAAAACTATAGATTTATTGTTAGAGGGGTCTCCAGCTAGACACTGGAGGGTGTGGGCCTGGTTGAGTTCTGCTGTTCACTTTCTTTGTCACTTTAGACATATTCTTTCCACCCCATTCTTTAAAGTCTTGCCCTATGTTTTAATTGATGATATAGCTTTTGTTGTTGGGCTTTGTGATATAGGAAATATTTTTCTTTTCTTGTCTTTCTTTCTTTCTTTCTTTTTTTTTTTTTTTTTGAGAGAGAGTTTCGCTCTTGTTGCCTAGGCTGGGAGTGCAATGGCACGATCTCGGCTCACTGCAACCTCCACTTCCTGGGTTGAAGCGATTCTCCTGCCTCAGCCTCCCAAGTATCCGGGATTACAGGCATGTGCCACCATGCCCAGCTAATTTTGATTTTTAGTAGAGACAGAGTTTCACCACGTTGGTCAGGCTGGTCTCGAACTCTTGACCTCAAGTGATCCACCCGCCTCGGCCCCCCAAATTTCTGGGATTACAGGCATGATCCACCGCGCCTGGCCTATTTTTCTTTCTCTTCTAGAGTTTTTTCTTTAATTTCATTATATTTAGCAGACGTTGAAGTGACGTCATATTCTCTAAGTCATATTCTCAGTTACTTAGAATAACTGCAACTTACAGTCTTTAGTTTTCAGTTATTATGGGGAAGATGGGCAAGGAGAGTGAAGAGAAGAGGTGAGTGTCATCCCAGGTAGCTGGAGGGAGGTAGTGGTGGGATGAACTCTTTGCATATGGATAATCTAGAGGCAGAGTGGTGTAGGCTTCCTTTGTGGGAGTGTCTTCCTGGTGCAGCTGTTTCGACAGGAAGTTCCTGTGGTGGAAGTTCTCTTGCTAGGATGGCAGATAAGGCCCTTATCCACCCGTCTGTCTGTCTGAGCATGGCTCACTCTGTTCTCCCAACCAGGCATGCCCTCTTCCATGTCTCCAGGGCTAGGCTCACTTTCCTGATGGGCCCTGCAGGTCCCTGTGTTCCTCTCCAACACTCAGTGCAACCCTGTGGCTTGACCTTCGCAGTCTGTAGCTTTCTTGTCTAGATCTTGAGTCCCTCCTAGACTCTGTACTTATGAGATTAAGAACTAGGTTTTATCTTTTATGTGGAGTCTGGTATCTGAAAGAAAATTGGATCAAAACTTGAATACAGGTACTCTAGGGTTAACTCTGATATGAATTAGCTGTGTTCTTTAAGCAGGAACTTAACCTCCCTGGACTTCTTTTCCCAATTGTGAAATGAAGGCAGTCAACAAAAATTTTATTTCCAAAGTGCCTATTATGCCCCATCCTCTGTTATAGAAGCTTGAAGGGGGCCAAGATAAAGAAGATAATGTTTATATGCTTAAGAAGTTTATAACTTCTAAAAAAGACAAACAAGTAGAGAAGCAGTTATAATATACAGTGGCAAAGCTATGATAGAGATAAGACCTGAGAGCAGAGAAGGACACCTAACCCCACTTGGGAATGCCACGAGGGGCTTCCTGGAGGAAGAGGTATCGAATATGAGACATGAATGGAAAGTAGGAGTTACATAGATAAACGTGGGATAAGGAGTCGGGGGAGCTGTTTCACATGGAAGAAAGCCAGGGTGGAGAGCAGGGGTTGAGAGAGTATTGCAGGCAGTAGGATGTGTGGGCTCAGAGAGAGTGTGGGTGAAGAACTTGAGACAGGGGTGGGAAGCTAAAAGGCTGGAGAGGTGAGTAGAGGCTGGGTGTGCAGGCCCTTGGACACTTTGTGAATGGATTTATTCTTTATCTGGAAGCTAATGGGAGGGGTGGAAAGATCTTAAACTGGGAGATGACAGATACAAACATGCATTTTGGAATGGTCCATTCTGGTTGCAATATAAAGAATGCATTGGAGAAAAGTAAATTATACAGGAGGCATGGAGACTGGGTGGGAGTCTATTTCAGGAAATTTAGGGTACCTAGACATAAAGATGGCCCAAACCTAGGTTAAGGTAATAGAGACGGAGACAGGAGGACCAACTTGAGAAATATTCAGTCAGTAGAATCTTGACATACAGGGTCCAAGAGTGAAGAATACCTCTGCTCCAGGATGATGCTCCATTTTCTGACCTAGTCTGATGGATTGGCTTTGCTGCTGTTCACTGGCCTGGGGACACAGGGGAAAGAACAGGTTTTCAGGAGGAAATGATGAGTTCTGTTTTGAATGCGTGGAGTTTCAGGTCTCTGATGACATCCACATACATTTTAGGCAATATCAATCAAACTCAGAAAAGAGTTTGGCGGAATACACAGACTTAGGGAATCCTCAGCACGTAGATGATAACTGAGAACCTGGGAGTAGCAGTGATTGGCTAGGAGAAGTATAGAGGTAGAGGAAGCAAAGGTGTTCCTTTAGACCCACAAGGGCTACACTACTGCTCATTCAAAAAATCAAACAAACGCCGGGCGTGATGGCTCACGCCTGTAATCCCAGTACTTTGGGAGGCTGAGGCGGGCGGATCACCAGGTCAGGACCTCGAGACCATACTGGCCAACATGGTGAAACCCCATCTCTACAAAAAATACGAAAATTAGCTGGGTGTGGTGGTGCGTGCCTGTAGTCCCAGCTACTTGGGAAGCTGAGGCAGGAAAATTGCTTGAACCTGGGAGGCGAAGGTTGCAGTGAGCCGAGATTGCACCACTGCACTCCAGCCTGGCGACAGAGTGAGACTCCCTCTCACAAACAACAAACAAAAATCAAACAAAAACACTCACACACAAAAAAACAAACAAAAACGCACACTATCTGGCTTCCTCTGGCCTTAGGGATTTTTCCTTTTGTGTCTACACTGCTGGTTGGGACAGATCATCCCCTGATGTTCCTGTGGCTCACTCCCTTTCCTCACCTAAGTCCCCTCTTTGTAGTGATGTCTCTGGACAACCTAGTTAAATAACCCTGTGTAGTCTCTAGCCACCAAGCTTGCTTTTTTTTTTTTCCTCAAAAGAATTCATTATCATATCATTATCTGAAATAGTAGAGATGCATCGGTTTATTTGTTTTCTATTATCTCCTCTGCAAGATGTGACCTCCCCGGTGCAAGGACTTTGCTGTACTCATAGCTGCACAAAACCCTTAGAATAGTTCCTGACACCCATTTAGCGTGCAATAAATGTTTGTCAAAAAATAGAAGGATACATGCAGAAATCATCAATAATAAAATAATACTTTTACGTTTAAAAAGTAATAACTGCAGCCCTATTTAAGCACCATTTACAGTTCCTGGGTCAGAAGGTGGCCTTCCAGTTCAGGGGCACCTTGTAGGCTGGTTGCTTGCTGCTGGACACCTGCCCCCTAGGGATGACCTCCCCTGTCCATCTCCTCAGATGACACTGACAGGCGTCTTTTTTTTTTGTTTTTTTTGAGAGAGAGTCTCACTCTGTCTCCAAGGCTGGAGTGCAGTGGTGCGATCTCAGCTCACTGCAACCTCTGCCTCCCGGGTTCAAGCGATTCTCCTGCCTCGGCCTCCCCAGTAGCTGGGATTCCAGGTGCCCACCACCACGCCTGGCTAATTTTTTTGTATTTTTAGTAGATAAGGGATTTCCCCTTGTTGGCGAGGCTGGTCTTGAACTCCTGACCTCAAGTGATCCTCCCACCTTGGCCTCCCAAAGTGCTGGGATTATGGACATGAGCCCCTGTGCCTGGCTGACAAGTGACAAGTGTGTTTTAAACTTCAGTTGAAACAGAAAAGAAGTACCACCCCTGCCCAGCCCCTGCCCCGCCCCCACCCCCACACACACCTAGGGCTTGGATGAGAGTAGTTTGAGGAATGCAGTGGACAGCTCCCACCCACCATGCTGCTGTGAATGCACGGGTGGGTGCTGGGCCATTTACTGGGAAACAGCTCTGCTTGAGACATTAAGCATCAGATGTAAGTACAGCACCCCACTGTTCTGCTTAATCCAGAGATAAAAGCAATGTTTTCTTAGACAATTGTTCTTAACCTTAATTAAGTCCCGGATCACTTTGAGCATCTGATAAAATCTGTAGCCACTCTTCTCAGAAAAAAAAAAAGTAGTCCCATGGGGGCTGGCGGGAAGGTATGGATCTCCTAAGTCCTCCGTGACCAGCTAAGAATGCCTTTTCTGCAAGTGGGATGGGGCTGCTTTGGAGCCTGCAGATGTCCCTGCATGGACTTCACAAAGTGATTGTATTCTCTGGTGAAAACTAAAACAGCAGGTCTTCTGAGTATTAGTGAGACAGGGTCATGTAAATGAAAATCGCAACCTTTAGAGTGAGGCAGACTTTGGTTTGAATCCAAGTTCTGATTAGAGTAATCAACTTGTACCATTTTGAGAGGGACTGTTCCAGTTTGAAAACTGGCACATGTATACATATGTAACAAACCGGCACGTTGTGCACATGTACCCTAGAACTTAAAGTATAATTAAAAAAAAAAAGAAAAGAAAACTGAAAGTCCTTCATCCCAGGAACCTTCTTGGTCCTAGACAACACAGATGAGTTGGTCACCCTATTTCTGATATTTGTTAGCCAAGGGACCCTGGGCAGTTACTAGGTCTTCGTGGAGAGGTCCTGCTTACTCCACCTTAGGTCTGGTTCCTCAGATGCAGAAACTGAAATGGAGATTCTTGTGCAAGTGATTGGCTGAGCAGGTACCTTCAGTTGAAACCTCAGAGAGAGAGGGAAGCAGTATTAGACAAGGGAGAGGACAGCCATGGATATCTAGTCTCAGCCTGATGGCACAGGATGCCCTGGGACACACATGGCCCACACAGTCTTCCTCCTTGAGGCCAGGGCCCAGGCTGTTGTCACTGTAGACTCAGCTCTGGCAGCGTATCCTCCCAAGTATTTCTGGGAAAAGCAGCTCCCGTCAGCTGTGGGCAATTCTCGGAAGAACAAAGCAACTGCAGGCTGCTAGCAGCCAAAAAATCAACTGGGTGATAGAGTGCCAGCTCAGTAGAGGGGACCAGGTGGGTCAGCAGTAGCATCCACTACATTAATTAGTATTTCAATTACAGCCCTCCAGGTCTTCCTTTAAGACACACACATTCCCCAGGGCTCATTCTTTGGGACTCATATCATTCAGCCCTACTACCCTCTGATCCTCTGAAAATGCCTGTGCCCTGAGGGAATGAGTCATGAAATACTGCAAAAATGTCTCCTGAAACTTTGCCATGCTTGGAACCTGAGGAACCCTACGTGGATTTTCATCCCGACTTAGCCACTCCTTCTGCTTGTCTCTTAAAAGCATCTACTGACCAGCAAAAGTGCAACGGGATGCCAGCTACACCAGTACCTTCCAGCCTGGTGGGGTTGCATTAGCTGTTCACACATTACTCTCCACTCACTGATCATTTTGGTACCTGAAGCTTGGTTTTGTTTACCAGCCACTTCTGCAATTACCTAGGAGGCTTTCCAAGTCTAAGTAGGTGACCCCTAAACCATCCTGGATCCCACCTTCTACTCAGATAGCTTTTCTTCTACTCCCCTTAGCCACACACTCACTCACATATCATACTTGTTTTGCATTCCAGATGATCTGTCGAACATGGCCTCGTCTCTTAGCTTGCTTTTTGAGTTTTCCTACTATTGCTGTTCTTTGATTGCCTGGATTCCTCTGGCCCAGTGATCTCCCCTATTTCCCTCAGTTCTTTAGCCCTCTTTTTTATAACTCCCCTCCTTACCCACATGGGTTTCATGGTGTGGAATTTCAGCAGTACTTTTCCCAATAACCTGATTGTAACCTCAGTTTCTCCCTAGGAGATTGAAAGACTTCAATCGTGTTGCTTTAACTGTATTAACCTTAGTTCCTTTATCTCTAAAATAATGATAATACACAACCTATGAGGAATTTTTAATAAAATTTGCATAAAAATAAAATTAAACAGCTTCTATTGTAATACTTGGCACATAGTAGGAGATTAATCAATGTTTATTCTGACTAAAGGCTGATCTGTGTATGTACTTAATATCAACCAAGAGGATGGCGGATTGTCATTCCACTCTGAAAACTGAGGAACCTCGATGCGACTCTTCCTTGAATGGAAACTCTGGATGGGATGGACGAAGGGAATATCATTAGGGAAGACTCTGGGACCTTGTGTGGCTTTGGAAATGGTTATGCCTTAGGGATCTTTGAGGCCATCAACCCATGACAACACTGAGCAGTAGCTTATGTTCAGAAGTGTGACAATGAGTCATAAAAGAAAATCGAAATTACAGTCTGTAAACTCTGCTGAAATAAGAGTATAATTTCTAAAATAGATTACATCAGAAATTACTAAAATTAAATATAAAACTATTTGGTGTTTAAAGGACTTGATATTAGTTATCTGGAAAATTAATTTCTGGAGCACACATCATCTTAGCTGAGGTGTTGTTGCAAGGGGAGAGAAGGCAACTGAATTGGTGGCTTTGGTGAAACCTCGTTGATTTTAACTCAGAATATAAAATGCACTGAATAATAAATTGCATTTTTAGTTTGTTTAAAGGAAATGTATAAAGATAAGATTATCCATGGACTCTTGTGCCCAAGGTAGAATTCATCAAGCTTGGTATTTTAACAGGCCAGCTTGTGTTGGCCTTTTGGGAGAATAAAATGAATATTAATATAATTGCTTCTGAATAACAGAATGAGATTCTCCCAGGTTTCTTTTTTTTTCTTCCTTTCCCCTCTTCTTTTCAAAAGCATGTGGATGTTGGAGAAAAAGAATGATAATAAAACCATTTTTCAGCGACAGATTAACATTGAATTAGGAAGTGGTGTGCGTGAGAGGAAAAGGAAGCTCTTTCTAAGCCCCTACTATGAGCTGTAGACTGTAGAAAGTACTTCCCCAGGTGAAACTTTTATGTCATCTTCATGCAGGGCCATCATTAGCCCTAAAAAAATAAAAGCCAAGAGGGCAAAATACTGTTCACAGTCACACAGTCGCCAGAAGCTGATCCCCAAATTTGTTTGATCTCAAAACTTATTCCTTCCCGGCTGCACTGTAGATATCCCCTGTGAAGGGTATTCAAAATTCAGCTATAAATCATGAAAGTAAAACAAACCATTTCCCTCTCAGCCAATAAAGAAACCCAAATAAAACCTCAAAATACCCTATTTACTCAAGATTGCTTGCCTTTAGCCACCCAGCTGTGTGAACTTGAGAAAGGACTAGAGCTCCTGTTTAACTTGGAGGAGGGGATTTATTTGAGGATCCCTCATATCAGGTCTGCGTGAAGGGTTGCAGGCACATTTACTTGAAAAAAACTCATAGAATTAGAATCCTGCTTAGGCTAAAAAAAGAAAAAGACATCCAGAGAAATCTATGTCCTCCCTGCTTGCTCAGATGAGCAGTCAAAATATTAGGTGTTCATCCTTTCACTTTATACTTTATTGACTTTCTTGAAACAAACTGGAAAAAAGGAGCATTTACTAAAATTGCAGATCTGCTCTTTCTTATTTGTATGGCTTCATTCAGTGTCCCCCTAGATATTTTTATTCAAAATTCAGTGATTAATGTATGTGTCAAAACTCCTGGGATGCAAATGTAACGTATAGTGTATACCTAGACTGAAAATCAATATACTGCTTTAAGAGGCATCTCATTCTAAGTTAAAACTGAGACTGGATTGACACCCAGTGGAATGCAATTGAGGCTTGCATAGGGTCACTGCAGGAATGAGCAGTGTGCCCTGAGCTGGAAGTTGTCCTTGCAAGTATTTTTGGGGTCCTGATTATGGCTTCCAGGGGTACAGAGGGTGAGGTACCCCCAAAGAGGGAGCTGGTACATCTATTTATAATTTTAGCACAATATGATATTATTGCCTCTCCTGTCTCTCTCCCTCTCTCTCTGTTACACAGGCACCTGTAAACACATGTACAAACCCCACCTTCATCTGGGCAGCCTCCTCATGGATTCAGATTCACCTCAGTTGCCATCTTTTCTGAAAAGGCATTTCCCACCCCTCTGATGGTTGAATTCATTGTCTTTCTGCTCCCACAGCAGCTTGGCTAAGACCCCAGCTTGGAGGCCTGACAGCCTGTGGGTTGTGTGGTAACACGTCGCTCAAAGCCTCGCTCCTCTCCTGGTTAGCTGTGTTACCCAGGACAGGTTGCTCAGCCTCTCTGTACTTCCATTTCTTCATGTGTAAAGTTGGGATAAAAAATAAAATGGTGCCTCCTTCAAATTTTTGTTAGGATTAAAGAACAAACACAAGAAGAAATGTGGTTAGAAATGTGACCCATAGCAAGACTCAAGAAATGTTAACTTTTGCACTTTAAGCATTGATTTAAGTCCATCTCTGTTTCTTAGAGACAGTGAGATTTTTTTTTTTCAAATTTTAAATTGATTGTTCCTGAAATATAGTCTCTTCCATTTATTAAAGCAAAATTCATTGAGGCACCTAAGTCTAGGTACTATATTGGCACAGGTTTTGTAGAAAAATGTGGCTTATGGAGTCATTAAATGAATTCTTGGGTAGATGGATGGATGGGTGCATGGGTGGGTGGATGGAAGCTAAAATAGTTTAACAACATTTTTTTCTAAAAATGTGGGTATCTCAGAGTACTACTCCATGGTGAAAATGTAAAATGAAGAGACCCAATGTGAGTGGATAGGAACACTGGCTCTGAAGCCAGAAAACTGGGTTTAATCCTAACTTTGCTACTGGCATTGGTCAAGTTTGTTAACTAATCTGAGCATAAATCCTTTCATCAAACAATGCAAGAACAATATGTCTACCTAATGGAGTATTTTGAGGATTAAATGAGTTAACATATGAAAAACATTTAAACAGTGACTGGCATACTATATATAAACACTAGGAAGTGTAAGCTACTGTTACTAGGTAGGACCTGGGATTGGCTACAAAACTTGCAGGGCCAGCTGCAAAATGAAGAGGTGGAGCCCCTTGTTAAAAATTATTATTAATATCAAGATGGTAACAACAGAGCAATTAACCGAAGGGAGGGCTCTTCTAAGCATGGTATGGGATCCTCTGTGACTACATAGGGCATGCACTCATAAAGTCAACCCTGGTAGGATGCTCATTTCCCTAAATTACAGAGTCTGACAAAGATTACAGGCATCTTCTGAGCAGGCTCTTGATGGCCCTCGTGGCCACGTACTTCAACACGCTCTTCCCTATTTCCCTCTTCCCTACACTTCCTCACCCCATGCAGATACCCTATGGACCTTGTTGTTTCCCACATCTTTGGAAACCAGCAAGGTGTCACTCCTGCACGGCCTACACTCATGCCGCCTCTGCTGAAGTGGCACTTCCTTTCCATCCTCCCTCTATAGTCTGGGAATCTCTTTTGCATCTTTCAGCTGAAGCTTGGGCATGATGTGGTATGGACTCCTCTGCCCTATGTGCTGACAATGTAGCCCATACACTAATGTCCATCTCTGAACTGAACAATTCCACACCCTCCTTCTCCAGATGGTGAACTCCTCCAGGGGAGGCCATTGACTTATTTATCTTGTACTCCCATCTAATGCCTGACTATTCCAATCATTTCTTCTAAAGTTAGGTCTGGCCTTGGCACTGTTAGATGCACAAACTCATGGTAAAATGTTGGTTTCTGGAGCTGGTCTTATAGGACAATTCCCTGAAGAGGCTGGGAGAGACCAGTTGCTGGGAGAGACCAGTTGAACAGACACTGGATTTGATGGGACAGAGGCAGGAGCAAGTGGAAAGTGAAAATGATAGAGTGGAGGAGCTGTCATTCAAGCGAGAATAAAGCAATAAAGCATGACCAAAGGCTGGCTGTGTTACAGCCGCATAACTGGGGCAGGCAGTGTGGAAGCCAGCCTTGAAGGGCTAGACTCCCAGGACTATGCTAAAACATACCCAGTTCAATCACTGTCCACCTAAGGGAATGGTGCAGCCATCGGTGCTTTCACAAAAGCCTGCTCCACTGGCGTTAGCTCAGACCCACTCTCTGCCCTGCTATGCTCAGCTGTAATATGCAAGCTAATTGACCTGAAGGATGCAAACAGAGCATTTGAATTCAAAAAATCCTGTTCCAGTTTCAACTGTGCCACTCACTAGCTCTGATTTGCAAAACCTTTAACTTTTCTGAATCTGTTTTCTTGTCTGTAAAATGGAGATAACAAGACTATTTTTGTCCTAGGTGGCCTGGATGATTGACTGATGTAACCACTGCATACACAGACTTAACAAAGTGCCTGATACCATGTGACATAATTGAGAAAGAATATTTATTTTATTAGTAAATGAAATTTAATCAAGTCTATAGCATGTGCCAAGTATCATCCTGTGTGCTGCGGATGCTGTTGAGAGCAAGGCAGGCATGGTCTCTATCTCCTCAAACTTAAATTCTTTTAACAGGGAGAGTAGGGAGAAGTCAGAGGTAACAGACAGTAGTTTCTTTTTCTTTTCCCTTCTAAACAATGTGTTCAAACACATGTTCATTCAACAGACAAGGGTTTTCTCCTGTAATCTTAACAACAGTTTTATCAGATGAAAGCATTCTTACTGGTCTCTTTTCACAAATGAAGATTCTGAAGCTCAGAGAGTTGAGTGCCCTGCCAAGAGTCACAAAGATGATCAGTCTCAGAACCCAAATTCCAACTTAGAGGCATCTGATTCCAAAGCTGTTTCAGAAGGCTAACTTGTTAAATAGAGACGGACTCACAGTCCTGCAGAGCAATCAGTGCAAACTAGGACAAGTTGACTTGCTTCTCAAAATGACGAGAGATGCAGAGATCATCCTAGTGTTGTTTCATGTTGGCTTTCTTCCATTAGGAAATATTTTCTCTTTCCTTTGAATTTGTTTCTTCCACTGAACCTCTCTCATTTTTTCCTATTTCTCTCATATATTCTTTATTTCTCTTTTAGTAGAGATACTTATTTAGATTAAAAAAATCCTATTTGAGTGTGGACAACTTGAATATTGAGCCTATTTCACAGTCTGTCTTTCTCCACAGGGCTTCCACACCATAGCTGTACAATAAATGTTTATATAATTCTGCCATTAGGATTTTATTATACAACCTGATGACAACAGCCTACAGAAACAGAGCGATCCCATCATGTCAAGGTAATGATGTTTTGGAACCAGATAGATCAAAATAACTAACTTTGAGGTTTCCCCTGAGCTACTAGCACAGGCTGAGAGCTAGTCTCCAAGTTAGGCTCTCCTGAGCTGAGCACTAGTTATAAATGGCTGCTCACTTCTCTCCAGCCCTCTCTTGTCCCAGGGAGTCCCCATGGAATTCACATGAGGAAATTAAATTGTTAAGAATGGTGGAGCCAGTGCTCAACTCCCAGAGGCTCATGGACATCCAGATCCAATGAATGACCGTGTTGTTTAGCTGTGTTTGTTACTGACCCAGTCCTGCCAGCACAGTTGGCACCACTGAGAACCTCCCTGCAAAGTGGCAGCCCCAGGGCCTCACTGTGCTCAGAAACAGACTGTCTCAATGAGGAATTGAGCCTCCCTGATGGGGTAAGCCTTGGGGGATAAACATCAGGAGGTAGTTTTGTGGGAAAATTAGGTGCACAGGGATATCATTTGGTTTTTGTGTTCTTTTGTATTGAGATGTTAGAGCTCTATGTAATTTTGAAGCAAGAACAAAAGACCTAAATTTTGTTTCATTTATTTATCCAAAAAATATTAATAAGCACCTACTATAGTCCAAGTCCAGTGCTGAGGATACAAAGATACAATCATCATCATCATCCCCAAAACTAATATTTGTTGAATTTATTTTAGCAGGCATTATGTTAAGCACTTTGCATGCATTATCTATTGAATCCCTAGGGTGCCCAACTCCAGGGTTGTATGATATTGTGATATAAGAAATATAAATTTTTATTTTAGTCCTCAGTTATGGACGCAGAGCTCCTAAAACGTTTATAATTTCCTAAGTGGTAAGAGCAATAAAGATGAAAGTAGCAACTTTTGTGATTCATAACAAGCCTCTATCAACATTGTCTGAATTGATATCAATGGCGTGACTTTTGGAAAGCCCCTAGACGAGGGGAGTGGGGGCTGGTTGCCAGGGGGATCAACCATGTGATTAGAGGGTTGGAACTGCCAGACCCCCGGCCTCCCAACCTCCAGGATGGGGTGAGGAGAGGGGCTGGAAACTTAATTTATTACCAATGTCAATGATTTATTCAGTCATATCTATGTAGTGAAACTGCCATAAAAACCCACATGGACAGGGTTCAGAGGGCTCACTGGTTGGTGAACACGTGGAAGTGCTGAGAGGGTGGCTGCCTGGAGAGGGCATGGAAGTTCCACACCGCTTTCCATACCTGGCCTGATGTATCTCTTCTTTTCAGTGCTTTTTGAGTTGCATCCTTTGTTATAAAGTGATACATGTAAGTAGATGTTTTCCTGAGTTTTGCCAGCTGTTCTAAGAAATCATTAAACTTGATGAGGAGGTTGTGGGAACCTGTGACATAGAGCTGGTCAGTCAGAGGCACAGATGACAACTGGACTTCCCATTGGCATCTGAAGTTAAGGGTCTGAGCCCTTAACCTGCAGGGTCTGCACTGACCCCAGGCGGTTAGTGTCAGAATTGCTCAGTGTGCAAAACCAACACATCTGCCGGCAGAGATGTTTTATCTGTGAGTGTATTGAAAAATGGTTTGTTTTTCCCCTCCTTATGGGAAATGTCTTTTCATGTCTTCCTCAACACTCACCCAAGGGCAAGGCCCTTATTATTTGTAGCATTATATCCCTAGGGTTGTCTTATGTGGCTAACCTAGTGCCATCCCAATTTTATCCGTAGAGTTAGAGATCAGGGTCACCACTTTGGTAGGTAGAGCCAGTGTATTTAGAAGCACCCTTCAACACTATGTTGAATGTCTGATAAGGCAGGATCACTGCTCTCTGTGGTTTCAAGTTCTGGTGGAGAAGGGAGATGATAAAACAAATAATTTGGAAGTTATTTATTAATTGCTGCGACAAAAGCAACCATAGGGTGCTCTCTGGAAGTTCAGGGGAATGAGGGACTATGGAATCAAGGAAGGCTTTAAAGAGGAGGTAATATGCACCCCCATGTTGATAGGCCAGTTGGATACTTTTGGGTGAAGCTCATGGGGAAAAAGGCATTCCAAGGACAGAGAAGAACCTTTGCAAAGACAAGGACCTATAGCAAAAGACAGGGTTTTCAGGGGCGCTTGTTAACACATTTAGAATGACTAGGGCTCAGAGAGCATGTGTGACTAGTGGCAGGAGGTGGGACTGATAAGGTACACAGACCCTGAGATGCAGGGAGTGTCAGGGGGATGGGTTGGGATTTCATCTTGTTTTGGGGGAAGAAATTATGTGTAGTTTTCTTCCAGTTAACATGGGGTTCCGCTGGAATAACAAAAACCTCACGACATGGCTTATCCAAATAGGGTTTTATTTCTCTCGTGCAACAACAGATCTGGCTCATGCTGCTACTTGTGGGAAGTCGTCAAGAACCCAGGCTTCCCAGGATCTCTTCTCTGACATCTTTACTGTATGTCTGTCTTTTTCTGGTTCATGACCATGAGATCTCTGCTCTATAATCAGACATGATGTCCATATTTCTGATATATAGGAAGCAGGAAGGGTGAAGGGCAAAAGCATATGGCAGCAAAGTTTATTTCTTTGAATCAGGACAAAGTATCTTTCTCCTAATTCCATTCACTAGACTTTCACTAACATCTTCTCAGACTGAACTGGCCCTCATGGCCACCACTGACCAAAAGGGCATCTGAGGAAGTGCCTGTCTGGGTATAGGTGTCAGTTAATATCACCATTCTGTTTAGTGAGAAAAGGAGGATAGATTTTGGCTAAGAAACTAGTAGTGCCTGCTAGTGTGAGTGACAGGATCAGCTTACATTTACAAAAAATGGGATTGTCAGCCATCTAAGGTTACCATGACCTTGTAGCCATGACGATCAAGCAGCTCATAATGAGGCAACAGATAAACAAACAGATGATGAAAACATAGGGTAAGAGGGATCTGTGGTGATTTGGGAGCCAAAGGAAGGAGCTCTTCACCCAGTGTAGGGTATGGTTTGTGAAGGTATCCCTAGAGAAGGTGACTCTGCGGCTGAGCTTGAAGGAAGAGAATTGGTAGGTGACAAAGAAGAGGTAAGGACATGCAAGAAAGCTCAGGGAAAAGAGATTACATGATCCTGGCTGGCAAATGTGAATAGTTTGTTCTATTGGAGAAGGGTAAAAGGGGAGTGGGTTCTTCTTAGTCTCAACTAGACACATAGGACAACCATTGGTGACACTTGACATCTGCCAACTCAGGAATCACGGGTGTTCCTCATTAGCAAGAGCCTTTGCAGCAGCTACATGGCAAATAGCTCAGATGCAAGGAAGGACGATGTATATTGGATGGTTCAGGTTCCACATGGCTTAAAAGTCTCATGCCTTTCAGGAACCATTTCTCTCTCACAAGAACTCCATAGGCATTGCTTCTTGGTTCTTGGCTTCTTCTCTCATGCTAACTATAGGAGTCTCCATAATCGGGAAAACCCAAAGTAAGGAATCTTCATCAGGTATCTATAGTTATCCCAGTCCAGCTCCAGTCCTCTTAACAACAGGGGTCATTTTACAAGAAGCAGTACTGTTTTGTTTAAGTGATATATCTGTTTCCAGGAAAACAGCTTAGAAAATTTATCCAGTGGTCAGATTCTTAATGCACAAGGGGAAAAAAATGCTAACTGTTTGCCCAGAGCCCTTTAATTTATAGGCTAGGCTATGAAAAGCATGAAAGGAGTTTCTGAAAGTGGGTTATACTGATTATATTTTTTATTTAAAAATTATTCCTGAGTTCTGCAGGAGATTGATTCAATAGGTTCATGATGGGTTCATATGGCTAGATGAAAGGCTATTTTGTGTTTATTTCCTTTTCTGTTTTTAATAGACTTAATTTTTTAGAGTAGTTTTCAGTTCACAGTAAAATTGAAAAAAAAAAAATAGAGAGATACCCCACATCCCCCATCCCCATACATGCACAGCCCCTCATCAGCATCCACCTCACCGTGGTCCATTTCTTATAATTAATGAACCTACACTGACAAATCATTATCACCCCAAATCCATGGTTTACATCAGGGTTCACTTTGGTGTTGCACATTCTGTTGGTTTTGATAAATGTTTAATGATATGTTTCCACAATTGTAGTATCATGCAGGATAGTTTCACTGCTCTAAAAATCTTGTCCTCTGCCTTTTCATTTTTCAATCCCCCCAGACCCTTGGCAACCACTGATCATTTTACTGTCTTCATGGTTTTGCTTTTTCCAAAATATTATATAGTTAGAATCATACAGTATGTATCCTTTTCCTGTTGGCTTATTTCACTTAGTAATATACATGTAAGTTTCTTCCATGTCTTTCCATGGCTCCATAGCTTATTTCTTTTCAGTGCTGAATAACATTTCATCATCTAGACGTACCATAGTTTATTTATCCACTCTCCCACTGAAGGACATATTGGTTGCTTCCAAGTTTTGACAGTTATGAATAAAGCTACTATAAACATTCATATGCAGATTTTTGTGTGGACATAAATTCTTAACTAATTGGGTAAATGCAAAGGGCATGATTGCTGGATTGTAAGGTAGGAGTATGTTTAGTTTTGTAAGAAACAACCAATTATGTACCACTTTGCATTTCCACCAGCAATAAAAACATGTCTGTTGTTCCACATCCTCACCAGCATTTTGTGTTGCCAGTGTTTTGTTTTCAAGGTAAGAAAATACCTATACCATCAATGAGGTAAGAATTAGTGAGGTCCTGAACTAAGGCAGAGGCAGCGGATATTGAGTAACTAAATTCTAGAAATATTGCTGATTTAGAATTGACAGATCGTGGTGATAGATTGACCTTGGGTGTTGAATCTTGGCTGACTCTGAGGTTTTGGGTTGGATGACAAGATGGTAGATGGTAGTGATGCTACTTGCAGACATGGGAGAATGGAGGACAAAAACTGAAGTTTTGAGAGCTGGCAATATAGTGCCTCATTAAGAGCTCTCTATAGTCTGTGGCTTTGGGCGACGTCTGGGTTGGAAGTAGAAATTCAGGGGTTATTGATGTGAAGATTGTAGCTGAATTCATGAGATCTGATGTGACTCCCCAGTTAGAGCATTTCCTGTAGAAAGATAAAAGAAAGGGCAGGAGACAGAATTGTGGGTGGTGTGAAAACCAACTTGCAAGGGGTCAGGGAGAAAGAAGAGCCTGCAGAAACCAACAGAGTCTTGCACAAAGTTTGGTGCCTCAGTTAATAGATGCTGACTTGAACTACCCAGCTATTTCTGTCTCCCTGTTATCCTTAGCAAATATAAGCTAAGGATATACTTTCAAACTGTATATTTTTCACTAACCTAGAAGCAAAAAACAGCAAATGTTACAAAACTTGGTAACAGCACAAGGTTTTGTCCCAAAGTGAGTGATACTGAGAATGCGTGTCACAGACAGGTCTGGAAAAGCATCCTGCAAGAGGCTGACAATGAACCGGGTGGTTAAGGATTAGTAGTATGTGAATTACTTTATTCATTTACTGCTGGCAGATACTTCCTGGTGCTTACTCTGGGATGGTTGCTGTTCAGCACACTGGGAATAGAGAGGGAAGAGTCCAGACCGAACCTTCATTCCCCCAGATTCTCAGCCCTAGTGGAAGGAGTCAAACAGTACATAAATATTTACAAAATATAACAGAAAGTAAAATGCATAATGCAGTAAAGTACAAAAAGGGAAGAGGAGGCAGAGAATTGCTGCTTTAGTTAGAGTCGTTGGTTGAGCAAAGACCCAAATAAAGTTAGGATTTGAGCTGTGTGACTGTGTGTAGGAAAGGCATTCAATTCAAAGGAAAGGAGACCAGGGGATTCTCAGGATGACAACTTCAGTTCTTCACAGTAAAATCATACCTATGTCCCCAACAAGCTTGCATCTTTTATACCTGGAATAACACAGAAATAAAACTGGCATGAGGGAGGAAGTTATGATTGATCTCTACTATGTGCTGGTGTCTATACTGAACTCTTGACCTTTTCTCACTTGTTCCTTACAAACATGTATCATAAGTCATGCTGTTACTCTCATTTTGCAGGAGAGAAACTGAGGCTCAGAGAGTACATAATTTGCCCTAGGTTCCACCGTTAATGGCCGGTAGAACTGGAATGTTCGTGGGGGTCTGTCTGGCCTCAACGTCCTTACTTTTTGTTCATCCATCTATGGCATCCTCCGCAAATGACTCAGGCGACACTCCCGACTGTGTATTCCACAGGACAAATTTAAACTCGCTGCACTGCAAGGAAGGAACTAGGGCTATAATTGTTTTCTGTTGACTAGCTGACTCTACAATGGTTTTGCAAACCTCAGATAGAATCACTGAATCTATTTAAAGTTCTGCCTGAGACACGTTGATATAGTCAAATGAAAGATGGAATGCTGATCTTTATGTGGTGTGCATAACAAACAAATGTATCCCAAGGCACTCACTTGTAGTGCCAAGGTCCCCAAGGATGGCTTCTGTTTATAGTTTTATGCACACTTATACAATGCTTGGACTGAATTAAAACAATAAAATTATGATTGAAAAGTCTCTCTCTCTCTCTCTCTCTCTGTCTCTCATATGAGTGGATAAAAAATTTAACATGACTATCAATAAGTCACGAACAATTCTGTTCTTATTTGTTTTCACTATTGTATCTTAAAGCTGCTGGTGACTGGGCTGATCTCCTGATTGTTTAGCGAATTACCAGTGCATTATTCTCATTGGCAATCAATAGCTGTCTTTAGCATCTAGAGAGCCTTTAGGAAATTGCTTTTCAGGATGAGGATATTAGGCTGAATCTGGTTGGAGCAATGGCTTTTACTGCTTGGGATATTGTTTCCATTACAAAAACTACCATCTTTTAGAAGTTAGGAAGGAAATGGCTGTATGAGTTTAGAATTCTCTGAGGTATATATTTCCGTGTTACAGGAAGATGGGATCTATGTGGGAAGGAGTAGGATGAGAGATTGGAGAAGCAGCAGGGACTTTATCCCCTTATACAGGAGGGTTGTGTAAAGCATTCTAAGGATGCTGGGCTTGATTCTGTAGGCACCACGGACTCTTGAAGGATTTTTAAGTAAGGGAATGCTATGAGAAGACTTTAGATTTTTGTGAATTATTCTGGGGCAACGAGGGTGTGGCTGTCTGTTGGGTCAGGCTAGACATTAGGTCAGCATGTTTTATTCTTAGTGCTCACTTTGAGGTTCTCCTACTAGATCCTGCTTTCTCTCATTATTAATGCAAGGCCTTAAGTCGTCACGAGAAAAGCAGATCACATGATCACAGTCTAATGTGGAACAAAAGGTGGAAATGGTTTGAGTTGAGAAGAAATAATTCATCTCAGTTTATTCCTATTTTTCCAGAATGTAATAATTCATATTAATGACTGTGCTTCTGACTAGAATTCCCAATATCCACGTGCCCTATCATGGATGTGCAGGACTTATATGTGACCTCCAGATAAAATGTGCTCCATTTGTGATAAAACATGCATTCTTGGTCTTGAGGGGAGACATCAGGCGGTGTCAATCAATGCATCTGCATTAACAGACCAATCAGCAGGGACAAATCATGATACCTGCATCTACTAGCGCTCAGTCTTGAGTCCTTCTAAACGTGGGACTCCCCTCGCTGAGGCTGTCAGGCTGCCAGTGGAAACAATATGCACGTTGTGGAATGGTGCCAATTGAAATCCATAGTCTCTAAAACTTAGCTCAGTTCTTAACATT
The DNA here is from genome assembly GCF_000001405.40 of Homo sapiens. Classification (NCBI taxonomy): domain Eukaryota; kingdom Metazoa; phylum Chordata; class Mammalia; order Primates; family Hominidae; genus Homo; species Homo sapiens. The sequence goes on along the minus strand of NC_000008.11, from coordinate 138,472,670 downwards.
GCTGGACAACCCTTTAACACCTCCTTCCTCTACTCTTTATCTTCCACTTTTTCTCCTTCTGCTCTTTCTCTACTGGAATTTGAATTGTTCAAAATCTTCCAAATTATACCCTCCTTCCGTTGTCTACCTCCCACCACGTGTGCTCAGACCTGACAGGAGACCCACTTCACTTCCTGCACTAGGGAAACAAAATGAAACCAGAACAGCGCAGGGACTGTCCCTACATAATCTCCCTGTACTCCTGCATACCACTTCATTTGTATGTGGCTCTTCCTGGAAAGAATGGACCTCTTTCTAAGGCCAGATCCTCCCTACTCCCTCCTGTTTTGGATCTCAGCCTCCTTCTCTTCTTCAAGGAACTTGTTCCCTGTGATATTCCTTCTTACTTCAGAATGGTCAACCTCTTCCTCTATTGTAGCCCCAGTTCATTAGCTCATTAACGTATACATATTGTAGAAATTTCTCTCTCTTATCAAACCAAATGGCCATCCCTACATTCCCCCTCAACACACACTTTGTCCCCTCCTGTCTCTGTCCTCTCTCTCGGTCCTGCACACCCAGTCTTGACAAGGTTGTCTCAACTTATTGTCCTCATTTTCTCATTTATTCTTTTCCCACTGAACATGCCCTTTTGCAAATCACCAGTCTTCTAATTGCCAGTTTCACTGGAAACATTTCACTCTTTAGATCTTTGGAAGGATGCCCCTTTGCATGGTGACCAAGTTGACCATGTCTTCCTTCTGTGAATCACTTCTCTTCACTATTTTTTTCCTTGATTTCATTCTTTCCTCAATTTCCTCCTATCTGTCATATAATACTTGTTTTCATTGTGGTGTACGTTATCTCTAATTCTTTGCTTACTCCTTAAATGCTAAGTTCCTCTCTGGTATATACTTTGATCCTTTGATGTTTTTATGGTAAATGCAAATCCCAGGTGTTCTTATCTACTTCAAAGGTTTAAATTACCATAGGTTTCTCACTTTTAAATTGTGCTTGCATTTCTATAATTCCATGCATCCTGCTGGATTTCTTTAGGAGTGCATTTCAAAGCACCTTAAACTCAACAAGTTCCAAACTTACTTCTACAATCTGTCCTTCTTTGAGGTTCCTGTCTCAGTGGGTAAATGGTACTTTTGTCCATCTGTTTCCCTAAGCCAGAAGCAAAAGTCATCGTTTCCATATATGCCTGTGTCACCTTACTATCACCTGTCCATCTCTGTCCTTCTAATCTTCCTCCATCTTCATCCTTCCCTCGTGAGGCCACCATCATCTCTCAGCTCTATTGCAGTCATATTCTCTTAATGATTTCCTCATGTATGCCAGCCACACTCTGCCCCAAATCTGTGGTGCATTTGATATTCTCAGAATGGAGATGAGATCCTGCTCCTCTCACCTTTCCCTAGGAACCCCACAAGGCTTTGCAGTTTCATAAAGACTAAGAAGCATACATTTCAGCATTGTCTGTGTGCATGATAATGTGTTGCCAGCCACACTCTGCCCCAAATCTCTGGTGCATTTGATATTCTCAGAATGGAGACGATATCCTGCCCCTCTCACCTTTCTCTAGGAATCCCACAAGGCTTTGCAATTTCATGATGACTAAGAGCATACATTTCAGCATTGTCTGTGTGTATGATAATGTATTTACCTCTCAGCCCCACACAGTGCTTTCCCAAAACAGTGGCTTCCAGAGTGAGAGGCATGTATTTCAGGGAATGTTTAAGAGAGTTCATTGGAGCACAGAGAGAAAATGCTAGAACTTTCCTTTATATTGGTTTTGTATAAAATAAGTGAGAAATTGGGCTCTTTAATATTTATATTCTGCATGATTTCAGTACCCTTGCCTGTCTACTTGTCAGACGTCACATGTAGTGTGACCAGTGTCTTGAGGGAAGGGGGACTCCTAACAAAGCAAGTTGGAGTGATGTCCTCACTTGTCCTTTCAAATCCAGCTTTATTGTGACAATGCATTGTCTCTAGTACCCAGTTGTGTAGATTTGTGGATTATAATATTTAGTTTTAATTAAACAGCCTTCACAAAATGAACAAGTGACTCTGAAAGATTCCCGCAAGGAAACTGCAGATTGAAGACAATACTGATAATTACACAACGAATAGAAATCAAGTAAAAGCTTTTTTCCAGACACATCACAAGTTAAAAAACAAATTCAATCTAATTATATTTGATAATACGTTATAAAAATATCATCCGCAAGACCATCTGAACCAGGGCTTTACACTGATTCATAGCCACAGTGAGCTCCTGCCTTTAAATATACTGAGACTTAAGATATTATTTAATGTATAAATATAAAATGTACAGAGAATATAATATCTATGTCTGTGTATATGGGTGTATATGGTTTTTATACCCACCTGGTCTCATTGCCTTTCCTGGTGCATTTGTTCCTGCTCTTGTTCCTGGGCTTGTGATGTGTGTTCTAAAATGTTTAGGAGACATTTCTCTAAAGTTTTGTGTTTTCTCCTGTCTTAGGGCTCCTGCCTGAGAGTCAATGCTTCTTTCCACTCATGTCTTTTATATTTCAGTTCAGATATTATACCTTTCAAAGCAGTTTTCCTTAAGTCTTGCATTTATTTCTATAATTATTTTATTACCTCATTCACTAGCCTGCATACTCCATGTCGAGGAGAATGTGTCTGCTTTTGCTAATCTCTGGAATCCAGCCCCTAGCCCACTGGCCACCACATCCAAGGTGTTGAGTTAATAACGAATGAATGAATGGATCAGTGCATACATGTCAGCCGATGTGCTAGTTGCCTTGCATTTATTATTATATTTTCCCAATTAATGCTGCTAGCTTGAGAATGTACTGAGAGCTCTGTGTTGGGGACTGTAAATGTAAGCCTGTTAAAAAGCCAAAAATAAAATCCCCAGCCCTTCTTCTCCCCAAAATATTAATCCTTAGTTAGGTAGCATTAGCATGACAATTCAGAGAAGTTGTATCTTCTTTCTAATCTTGTATTTGTCCTGCTATGCCACCTGCCTCAAGACATATACAGTTACATAATTAATTGAGGAATCTCTAATATTTCTTGGCAGCAATCTCTGTAACCATCTCTTGGTATCAGTATAAGCCCATTGTCCAGTTGTAATAGGTGAGCTTAATGCTTTCTGTTTCCCTGATTTTTTTCTTCCTACTTTGCTTCCCTAGTTCCTAAGATGTCACACACACACCCTGCTCCTTTCTCAGGGTCCTCAATCAGCATTGGCTTTATATTAAGTTAGTTGTCACCTAAGGCACCTAGGTCTGATCAGAGATGTGCCTAGTCACTAGTTGCCTTGTAAAAAATTGTCTTCTGTTTCCTAGGTCTAATCAATCATGCTAGTTCCTTTTTAACCCTTCATCATCGAGTTCCTTAATCCCAGGAACTTGATTACCTTTCATGTTTTCTTCTTCTTTTCCAGTAACTTTCTTTCTCTCTCTCTTTCTTTCTTTCCTTTCTTTCTGAAACTTTAAAAACTGAAAATTTCAAAATTTTAAGCATTTTTTCCATTACTTTCAAAGGGAAAAACCACAATCCATCCTTCCTTCCTTCTTTCCCTCCTTCCTTCCTTCCTTTTTCTTTCTTTCTTTTTCTCTCTCTTTCTGTCTCTCTTTCTCTTTCTTGACAGAATCTTGTTCTGTCGCCCAGGCTGGAGCGCACTGGCTGTATCTTGGCTCACTGCAACCTCCGCCTCCTGGTTCAAGCAATTCTCCTGCCTCAGCCTTCCGAGTAGCTGGAATTACAGGCATGCGCCACCATGCCTGGCTAATTTTTATATTTCTAGTAGAGGCGGGGTTTCACTTTGTTGGCCAGGCTGGTCTCGAACTCTTGACCTCAGGTGATCTGCCCGCCTTGGCCTCCCAATGTGCTGGGATTACAGGCATAAGCCACCGTATCCGGCCTCCAATTTTCAATTAATATATTTATTAGGTTGGTGCAAAAGTAATTGTGGTTTTTCCCTTTGAAAGTAATGGAAAAAATACTAAAATTTTTAAATTTTCAGTTGTGATGTTTAAGAGGAGGCTCTCTGGTTAGAGCTGGCTGAATCAAAAGCAAGTTGTGACAGATACAGGAGAAATGAGGTGCCGGGTATTTAATGGGGAAATGTAAATATTGCATGTAAATTGCAACACCCTATTCAAAAAGAAAAAGGAAGAGTGATGGGTGGCAAATAAAGAAAGTTTATCAAGTGATAAACTCATAATGAAATTGATTGTCTTGGGATTGGGAGACACAAGTTGAAAGTTTCGTATTAGTGAAATATGCAGGCTTTCTTCTGTCCATAGATAGAGAGTCATGAAGAGCTAACAGCAGACTCAGAAAACGCAATAAAATTATTCCTCTCATTTGATCTCCTGACACCCATGTAAATAAAACAGGGTTAGAGGAATGGAAATGTTCCATTACTAGGTAAGGATAGCAAAAAGGGCTTTCAAATACAAATTGCCTTGGAGTTTTGACACATGTCAGGCTCTGTAAATTCCATAGAGATGTTGTTTCACAAAAATTTATTATGAAAGTTTCAGTCATCCAGAAATGTTGAAGAAAGGCATGATGAATACCCATAGTTCCTAGTCCCAGGTTTAACAATTGTTAACATTTTGTCATATTTTCTTTATCAGCGCATGAATGCCTATTTTGCATAAAATATGCATATGCATATTTTTCTAGATCATTTGAAAATAAGTTGCAGACTTTAAGACAGTATACTCTAAATACTTCGCCAGGCTTCTCCTAGGAATAAGGCATTTTTCAGTGGAACTCCAATGACATTATACTGAAGTAAATAAATGATATTTCATAATACTATTTAATGTATACTCTACATTCATAATTTCCCAATTTTTCAAGAAATTTGCTTATAGATATTTTTGAAGCAGAATCCAATCTAAGTACATGAATTTCTTTTGATGTTATATCTTTATTCTCTTTAAATCTACAACAGTCCTCCAAATTTCCCTTCTCAACACTGCACCCATAACATTGACTATTTGAGAGTGTGAGCCAGTTTGCTTATACAAATTTCCACATGTTGGAGTTGTCTGATTGTTTTCTCAAAGTGTCACTTACCATGGTTCTCTGTACCCTGTATTTCAGAAGCACTAGAAGTGAGGTCTAAGGCAATACTGTCCAATGGAACTTTCTGTGGTGATAAAACATATCCTATACACCTTGTCTGTTATGGTAACCAGTTGCCACATGTGGTTACCGAACACTTGAAATGTAGCTAGTAAAATAAAGGAAATGAATTTTTAACATTTCATTTAATTAATTTTAATGTAAGTAACCACATGTGGCTAGTGACTACCATATTTGACAACACAGGCCGAGGGCCTTCAATAAGTTAAATAGTCCAGCAACTATGCCTCCGAGATGTTTGAAATTTGGTTCCCAATTTTAAAGGTTCTTGTTCTGTTCATCCCCTGGTGAACCCTGTGGTTAGACTGAGCAGCAATTGGTATAAGATAGCATGCAGTGAATCACAGACTATGTTCTCCAATTTCTTCACATTTATAGCACAGGCCAGATGGGATCTTCCAATCGTATTTCTGGAAGACAATGATTACCTAGAACTTTTAGTGACTGATGACTGATTCGGAGTTTGTTTTTTTGAGTGAGGGGATGAATTATGGGAAAACAATCAGATAGGATGTTTTATCACCATCTTTAGTTCTGGGATCTGCTTGGGATCCCACCTTGTCACACCTCCTTAATCCATATTTCTATGTGTTCATAGTCAGCATTTCACTGATGACACAACTGCCTGATCCTGAATCATCAAAGTAAAGTTTGTATAAATTTGCTGCACTATACTTATTCAGGAAAGGAAATAAAAAACCTTTTAACCGCTGAGGTTGACGTAAAACTTTTAGCTCATCTCCTGAACTAGACGTGAAGTAAATTAAACAGAACATCCCAGCCCTCCATACAGTTAACAAAGAGCGTTAAAAATAGAGTGGGTTTTGATACATCACTCATTGCATTGGCATAGATTATTAATTTGTCCTTACTGCTCATCTTGTAAGACACAACGTCATTCTTATTTAAATTCGGTTGTTCAGTCATGAATTTCTCCAGCTAACATTAGTGAACACATTCTAGTGCCAGGCCCCCACTCTTCCACGAAAGCATCATCAGGGGACATGAGGGTGGCATCCTCCACTCTGAATCTCAGGTTCTGGATGCAGCTGCCCACCTGGTCACATTGCCTTTCCTGGTGCATTTGTTCCTGCTCTCGTCTCCTCACAGGCATCATCTCTTGGGTTTTCCAGTTTCATCTTCAGGTTTGCTTTGCTCTCAGCCTGCCACTGACCTACTTCTCTCTCCTGACCGAGATTCTGACCCACTCTCTTTAACTGGGTCACAGTGCAGCTCTCTTGCTTGCTTTGATTTGTCTTAGTTTCAGTGCCAGACAAGAGGAGTCAAGAGCAGGGTCCAGTCTGTCTTCTTGATTCAGAGGGCCTTTACCCTCCACCGCAGGCCCCTTCCAGGTCCTCTGCATATGAGCAAGACCTGGAGCTCTTGTTGGAAGAGGGAAGAACATACTGTCCAGGCTAAAGCCATAGATCAGATTTAAAAGATCAGGTGAGACCAGGCGCAGTGGCTCATGCCTGTAATCCCAGCACGTTGGGAGGCCGAGGCAGGCAGATCACCTGAGTTCAGGAGTTCGAGACCAGCCTGGCCAACACAGTGAAACCCTGTCTCTACTAAAAAAAAGTTATCTGGGTGTGAAGGCACATGCCTGTAATCCCAGCTACCTGGGAGGCTGAGGCAGTATATTCGCTTGAACCTGGGAGGCGGAGGTTGCAGTCAGCCAAGATTGTACCACTGCATACTCCAGCCTGGGCAACGGAGAGAGACTCCATCTAAAAAAAAAAAAAATCAGGTGAAACTTGCACCAAGATGTACAGCAACAAGTCAGCAGCCAGGTGAACATGAGATGAGGGCTGAGCAGGAGGCTGGGTACAAGTCACACTCAGCTGAGAGGGGAGAGGCTTTTTGCTGTTGTAGGGCTGGGCTCCTGGAGTTCTGCTGGCTGCATGCAGTTGCATTAAGCAAAGAGTGGGTTGGGCAAAGGCACAAGCCTCAAACACTTAGAGAGGCCAAAGAATGGGCATTGCATTTCTGGGTGGTGAGAAAGCATGCATGGGCACGAGAGAGGATTTTAGAGAGGCAGCTCCATCAGTGAAAAGGACAAAGCATTTGGATTTGATCAGCCCTGAGTTTCTCTTGTGGTACCACCCCTTACTTACCATATGATCTTAGGACAAAGTGACCTTGAAGCCTGAGATGCTCCATCTGTAAATTGGGGATATGATGGACTCCTTGCAGCACCTGTGAGATCTGAGTGTAGGGCCAGGTGTAGAGTGGGCACTTCATAAGCATCTACTAGGAAAGGACCATGATGGGCAATTGGCAGATGACCTTTGGGTCTAAACACCTGATACGTGCAACTTCAATGAATGTCACTCCCTTCCTTTCCCCCTACTTTGGAACTACCTAAATCAGGTCCCAGCATTGACTTGGATACCACAAGAGCCCGGCTTGGTTTGTGTATCCCTTTCTCTTCCCGCTTTTGGCTTGACAGTTTGTCTCCTGAAACAGCAGCCTCCAATTTTCTTAATTGCAAAATTGCCCTCAAGTCTGTGATTCCAGCTTGTGGCTGTTTCTTCACTAATTGTTCTTTAAATAATGAGTAACGCTGATAGTTCTTCCCAACTTCTGAATGTATTCTTCTGCATTCGCAAAAGTCTTAAAATATGGCCAGGTAAATTCAAAGTGCCAAGGTACAGAAAGACACTGTCTGTTGTGCAGAGGGCCACACTCCAGGGCCAGCGTAGGGGGCAGTGCAGCTGGGGCAGTTACTGCGGCAGTACAGAATGATTGGATGCCTTTCCTGTGAGGATATGTGCTGACTTGTTTTTCTCTTCTGATGTTCTGGGCAGTGGGCCCACTGTCATCCAGCCGCAAGGATCTCTGTTGGGATGATGGAAGAATATCCTGAAATCCTTCCATTCTGGTTTTTTCCATTTCGGAATTTCACTGTCACTTTGGCAAACCTCCTGTCTTCCTCCCTCCTTTCTTAGAATATACACTTTGTCCAGAATTCTATGGCTAATGTTTCATGTGTTCAGAAGACACCCAAGAGGACTCTGTCTATGGAGATCACTGAGGCCAGAGGGCTCAGAAATGCAAATTAAACCTCTGTTCTAAGGGGTGGGTATTGTTTTTCTCTCTTGGCATCCTGTGCCATGTGTTGGGGGGGAGGTTTTTGAGAGGTCTGGAGGTCTGAAGTTCTGGATCTGAAAGGAGGTTATTTGGTAAGCCCCACCCTAGGAACAAAGCATACAGACCAAAGAGATGTCCATTTGTGTCTCAGGAGGGAGTGAAGAATCTATCCTGAGCATCAGGTCCAAGCCGTGTATCCATCGGGCTGACATTTGCTCAGTGACGTCTCAGCCATCTCCCCATCCACCATGATAGGCTGCAACCTTCTTAAGGTCTAGGGTGGTATGCCCGTTACTGCTGTCTTCACTTCCACTGTCTAGCAGTGCCTGATGCATGGCTCTGACAGTCAAATACTACCTGATAAAGGAATGAGTGAATACGGACATTTACGTGCTCAGCCTCATTCTCCTTTTCTGTTAAAATAAATGCAAGGTACTGATAATCTCATGCAGTTGTAGACAAATGAAATGAGATCATACAACTCAAAAATGCAGCATACTTGCTATTTTAAGTGCCCTATACATGTTGGTTATTTTAATAATGGTAATTACTGCCCATCAAAGGGTTTCTTGACTAGTCGGCCTTTCTTTATATCTTCAAATCTCATTCTACTCGACCCTTCTCCTCAGGATTGCTCAGGGGTCAAGTTCAAGCCTCCTCCTTCTGAAACTTCCTTCCCTTCTGCAGCATCTTAGATTACATCTTACTACTGCTTCTCTTTTCTAACTCCCTCCCTGAAAGAGGTGCCCATACCAGCTACTTCCTCTTTCTCATTGCGCGCCTCCTGAGTTGCCATTTGGTTACAGGACCTTTGGTATTTGTGGAGCGCTTTACGTTCACCCCAGAAATTATGCCATGGTGTCCTCAAAACACCCAGACAAGCCATTTACCCAGAGGAGCTGAAGCACAGATGCTGTGGCCTGGAGGTGGTGGAGCTGGGATTCCAGGCTCTTCCTGCTTCACCATGGCTATGAAACTTCTTACAGTGGACTTTGCTCTATCTGGAGGCCCCAACACCCACCCCCTTTCCTGATACAATTCTCTCCCACCCTTCTTGAGTTCCTTGATTCAGTGGTCTCTCCCTTTTCTAACTCCTGGCTGGCCCTGTCTTTCCTACTGTCACTGCTCTAACTGTGTGTGTTCTCCTTTGAATTATAATTATTTGCTACTTGGGCTTTTCATCCCCATTAGCTTTGAAAGAATTTGAAGATACTTACCATCTCTTTTCTATCTCTCTTTCCTCCAACCTGCTTAGCAACAGAACCCGATGAAGCAAGGACTCCATATGTGCTTTTCACCAAAAATTTAGGAATAGAAACTTCCTTTTAGAACTGAGATCTTCAGTTTTATTTATTAACACAGATGTGCTGGTGGACTGGGATCATAAACGTTTTGAGTGTTGTGATGTTCTTTTGGGAATAATTTATTATTACTTCTTGGTCTTTCAATTATTATGAAAATGTAATGTAAATAGCCTGCTGTTAGTTAATTTTTGGATGAGAATACAGAGGAAGCTATAGATACTGACCACTCAGAAACATCAGAGAAGTCGTGGTTGAAACTCAGCCATGGGCTGGGCGTTGACTTTCCCCAAATCTGGACCCAGCTTCAGATTTTCTCTGGACCTCCTTCCTCTCATTTCCACGTCTTGACCTATCTTGTTTCTTTGCACCTCACGCTGGTGCTTGCCAGATGCATAATTCCCTAGCATTTTCTTTGTTATATTAAAAGGCACCAACTCCCTTTTTTTCAAATGATGTTGAACAGAAAACTCCTATGTAGAAAATGGACACAGAGAAGAGCTACTCGGGTTAAATCATGAGTTGGGGTCCTGAGCCTGGCTCAGTTGTCCTGGCATTTACCCTGCCCTCCTCTCCCCAGTGACTCCAGGTAGCATTCTAGGACCTGCACACCCTCTGGGTGAGAGTTGGAAACCCACAGCTCTGGAGTTCTTTCTTGACTCTCTTTAAAAATATGCAGTCAGCAATAAAACTGCCTCCCTTGGAGTTGACTTCATTCATAGCAGAACACTGGAACCTTTATCCCACCCTCATGAATCCTTGAAAGAACTTAGATGTAACTTGCTCTACCAAATAGGAAAGTATTCTGCACAGTTACGAAAACAAAAATAAATGCCAAGATCAATGGAACAATGTGTTGTCCCCAAATGGCCTTTGGTATATGACAAGTAGAAATCAGTAGAAAGAGAAAGAAAACAAGTATTCCACATATATGTACATATATACATATATGTGGAATACTTTTAATGTATAACATATTACATAGATATGCAATACTTTGTTTTCTTTCTTTTTCTTCTCATTTCTACTTTGTTTCTGGAAGTATTTACATTGATGGATTTATCATCATCATTATCATCATCATCATTATTATCATCATCTATCAAGCCAACCTTGGATAATTGATTCAGCTGGTCATAGAGTTGAGTCAGGCTTCTGAGAGAAGGCTGACAGCTCATCTGTGTCATTCGGGCAGGATGACAGCCACATGAATCATGCTGCTCTGGGTGGGCGGTTATTAGCAACCTTCTCCCACCCTCGTGGGTTGAACGATACAGAGAGAAGATCAGCATTTTTGAGTATGTGCTGGTTTTAAAAAGAAATCAAGGGACAGTGCCAATGTGGCTATGTCTTGTAGAGGAAGGCAGGCCTGGGTTTAAATCCCAATAGTCATGGTTGTCTGTGAGGTCCTAGGATGATTTACATAGACTACTGACGTCTGAGCTTCATTTTTTATCAGAGAGTGATCCTATTCATTTCATAGTGTTCTGTTCAGGGTTAAATGCAATATGTATAAGGAACCTTGCACAGGTGCTAAATAGCTAGCTCTACAGAATTAGAGTATTGGCTTAACATTTCATTTGCATACCTTGACATGGACTTGAAAACCAAGAGAAGTTAAATGTCAATCCTGAGGTCATGTTTAAATATGTTTGTGGTAATTTATTGTGTGTGTACTCTGCCTTCATCATGTCACTGGGCTTCTCAAATCCTCTGGAAAGGAATTTTTGTAATCTCTTCACTACAAAAAGTCATAACATCTTAGAACTGAAACAGACCTTTGCTGACATCTGGCTTTATTTCCTTATTTTACAAATGAGAATTGGTGAGTTGTTTCCTTGATGACCAGGATGCATCCCCAGCACCCTGGTCCACTTCCTGGCTCAGGTGTGTGCTTAACACCCCTGCATATCTCAGCTGCCTTGCAGTGTGAGCCAGGACTGCTGTCAGCTTAACGTAAGAGTATCCATGACTAATAGTGGCTTCAACTCCTGTTTATTTAACTAGCCTGGAAGTGACCAGTGACTGACATTAAAAAAAAGAAACTTATAACAAAGGATTAACTCCCTGTTTTTTAAATGAGCATCTGATCCTTATCTCACCGGTTCCCTTTGCTGTGGATTGGAAGAGAAAATAGGAAAACCCAAGCTGTCTGAATACAGGAGCTTTGGCTGTATGATGCCAGGCCCCGCTCTGCAGGAGTCTGAGCCCTACCTCAGTCCAGATCTGAATCAGGGTCTATAAAGAGCTGAGGTTCAGGGTGGAGTTATTCTTTGCCGTCCTTAGCTATTGCCTTGTTGTCACATTGTTGCAGTAGAATGACCACAGCTCCCAACGTCACATCTCTGTTCAGGGAAGAAGAAAAGAGGAGTGCAGCACCAGCCATTTTTCTTCCTTGTCTGTTCTTTTTTTATAGAAAAAAAAATCCTTCCAGAAGCCTCCCAGAATATTTATTCTTTTATTTCATTAGTCAAAATGGAGTCACCTAGAGGAGCATCCTGGAAGAAATGCTGGAGAATGAATAACTGTCTTCTTTTCCCCAATCTTAATAGTCTGAAGCAGGCACAAATGTATACTCTGAGGCATGGGGAGGCCTGAGAATAAACAGCTCTTGGGTTAGACAGTCCCTGCCATGTTTGGGTGAAGGCCCTGTTGGTGTGAATTGGCTCTGAGACCTTTGCCATGTCCCTTTATCTTCACTTCCAGGGTAGGTGTGTTTCACCCTCCAGGCTGCTGTTTTGCATTTGGAAGAAGGCTTTAGCTTCTGGGGCTGTGGGTGTCTCAGGCACTGCAGCATAGCACTGGGTTGTTGAACTCATAGGCTTTGAAGCCAGACAGTCTATGGAATCTTCCATTCCTGGCTGCACTGCTTACTAGCCATGTGCCTCTAAGCAAATTATGTCCCTTACCTGTGCCTCAGCGTCCTCATCTGCAAAATGTAGGTATTGTGTCTGCCTTCTAGTAATAAATGTGATAATGAGTGGAATGGATAATGAACAGAAACTGCTTAGCATGGTGTATCACCCAAAGAAAGGGCTTAAACTATTGGTACAGCAAAGAAACAATAGTTAATCCTTACAGGATGCTTCCTATGGGCCGGCCTTATTCACAGTGCTTTTGCATATATTAAATCAGATCATCCTTATCTCAAATTGAGGAGGAAAGTTCTATGGTTCTATTCATTTTACAGCTGATGGAGCAGAGTACAAGGATGGGTGAAGTAACTCCCTTAGGCTGCCTGGGATTTAAACTGATGCATTCTGGACCCAGGGTCCATGGCCAATCTCTATTTTAAAGTGACTCACAGACTTTCAGAGGGGGCCTGCTTCTTATCTCTCCAGTTCCCTTTGCCATAGCTTGGAAGAGGAAACAGGAAAACCCAAGCTCTCTGAGTATAGGAGCTTTGGCTGCACAATGCCAGGGCCCCTTCTGCAGTAGTCTGAGCCCTACCTCAGTCCAGATCTGAGTCAGGGTCTGGAAAGAGCTGAGGTTCAGGGTGGAGTTATCCTTGAAGAGGATGAGACAGAGAAAAACTGACCATTCATCATCATCATCCCGCCAGTTTGAGTATTGAATCAATACAGCCTGTGTTTCTCATGATCGCCTGGTCCTTGAGACTGTTGATAAGGCATTAGAGAGCTTCATGGTTGTTGATAATCTGAGGAACGCCCTCTCTAGTGACAGACTGTCACGGACATGGAGGATTTTTTGAAGTGCCTTTTCAATTTTATGAGTTGAGGATCCTGCAGCCCTGGAGATTTATAATTGTCCCTGCCACTGCTGCTTTGTGCCTTCTTCTAGTTTCTGCCTTGTTTATCTGGTTTTCTTCCCCCATAGTATTTTGGCAATTGTGAAAAGTGGTTCTGGAGAAGTACCAACAAATGCTCTTACTGCCCGAGAACTGACACTTTTGGAGGCTACTGATGTTTACGGCAAAATAGCCTGAGTCCTTTAATGTCCTTCTTTGATTGTTCTACCAGCTACGATTCCTGCAAATCCCTGTCATTCTTCATCACAAAGTTATAGAGGTACTATGATCATAACTTTCCCCAGTTCCTTTGGCTGTGGGCTGATTTGGGGGTGGGGAGTGGCAGTGCTGCGTGGATTCAGACGCCCAACCTCTGCTGTATTCCCTGGGCTTGCCTGTGTAGGGAATTTCACACACATGTACTGTGTGGCCACCAGTACATGCCGGCAATTTCACAAGTCAGAAATCCCACACTTCACTTTGCTTCTGCTTAAATTAGCCATGTGCTGCTGGAAAATTATCATTTGCTACTCCCTCTGAATTCAGCGTAACTTCTACAACAGCAGAGAACTAAATGAACTCCTAAATCAGCGGTCAGCGTACGTTTTTTGTAAAGGGCTAGATAGATGGTATATATTTTAGGTCATCCAGGCCATATGGTCCCTGACTCAACTACTCACCCCTGCTTTTATAGTGAGGAAGCAGCCACAGACAATACATAAATAAGTGGCTGTGACTGTGTTCCAATAAAGCTTTATTTACACAAATAGACCGTGGGCCAGAGTGATAGTAGATTTGGTACCAGGAAGGAAGCATGGAATTCTCTGGACACATGTACTCTCTTTTGGTCTAATGGCCATTCCTGCCAAATCCAGGAAATATTTTCAGATTCTTTCTACTCTGCTCCTTCTTCCCCATAGCAACCTTGACCATCTTATTTCAGGCCATAACCCTCTCACCTGGAGTATCCAAGTTTCCCACCTTACTTCAGATCTCCATCTTCTGATGTGTCATTTTGACTCCTGACAGACTACATTTATTTGTGAATTTGTTCACTTAATAAATATTGAATTCCTGACATGACAGATCACCACTGTGTTAACTCTTAAGGCTTTGAAGGTAAACAGAAAAAAGACAACATTCCCACCTTCACAGAGCTTGTAATTTAGTATGGAAATATGTAAGTATGCTACTATATGCTCATAAGAATGTATGCTTTGTTTATTTATTTATTTGAGATGGAGTCTCTTTCTGTCACCTAAGCTGGAGTGCAGCGGCGTGATCTCAGCTCACGGCAACCTCTTCCTCCCAGGTTCAAGTGATTCTCGTGTCTCAACCTCTCATGTAGCTAGACTATAGGCGTGTGCCACATCCAGCTAAGTTTTTTTCTCTCTCTTTTTTTTTTTTTTTTTGAGATGGAGTCTCGCTCTTGCCCAGGCTGGAGTGCAGTGGCGGAATCTCAGTTCACTGCAAGCTTTGCCTCCTAGGATCAAGTGATTCTCCTGCCGCAGCCTCTCGAGTAGCTGAGATTACAGGTGCCCATCAGGGCGCCTGGCTAATTTTTTGTGTGTGTTTTTAGTAGAGATGGGATTTTGCCATGCTGGCCAGGCTGGTTTTGAACTCCTGACCTCATCCGATTAGCCTGCCTCAGCCTCTGAAAGTGTTGGGATTACAGGCGTGAGCCACTATGCCTGGGCAAAAATGTGTACTTTTTATATGAAATGGATGATTGTTGTAAATCCTATAAAGCATAAAGGATGATGAAAACCCTTGTAAAGTGAAACACGAATGTCAGTTTCCTGCTGCAAAGCCTTCAGTGGCTCCCCTGTGACTGATGGAGAGTCACCAGCTCAGTGTAAACAAGGATCACCACTGGGAGTTGGTGATGCCATGCTCATCATCTACATTCTGTCTTGTGAAATTGCTAAGCCTCAGGGAGGGCTTGGGATCTGAAATTTTAGCAACCATCTGGGGTGATATTGAGGCAGTTGTATGAGTATCACACCTTGAGAAACTCTAGCCTAGACACTGTGACAATATGACCCTGCAGTGGCTCACAGTACTTTCCATGGCCTACACCATCTCCAGCCGTCTCTGCCACGGCTCTCACTCCTGCTCAGTGTTGGAGATGCCTGGTGCCATGTCCCGTTTCCCACACCTCCACACCCTTCCCTCCCTCTGTGTGTCGGCACACACTTACATCCCATGCCCCCTTCCTTTTCTTCTGGCTCCTGCTTCTCTTCCTAGGTCTAGCGTGGAGGGTTGCTGGCCATCCCTTATCCCTTCTCTTTTCTAGAGGCATTTTGCCTATTATTTTATCACCTATATTTTTAATTCCACATGTAAAGCTTTTTTTTTTTTGTTCCTTTTATTTTTCTTTCACATCTTCTTTGTTGTCCCAGTTTTGTTCTCCCCAAAGCTTCCCAGGATGATTTTCCTGGTCCTTCCCCCGTTTTATCTTTCCATGTCAGTGGTGAGAGGAACGGGGTATGACTCCAGGAAAGGAGCGTGGTTTCTGTCTCCACCATCCAGCTTTCCCTTCATTTTACTAAGTACTGATGTATATAGACCATACCAGTGAGGCCTTTGCTTTCCCTTACAATATGAATGTCCTTTTCATCTTCTCTTTGATAGAGAAAAATGTGCTTCTAAAGAGGATCAAGGGAATATGGGGAAATCACCATTTGGTATATATTTTAGTGAAGATGATTCCTAGGAAAACTTTAAAATGAGCTTGTTTTTTCCAGCTGGAGGCATAATTGTTACCTAGGAATTGATGGAGCTGCCTATAGGAGACTCAGATAAACCCACCACCCACGAGCCTCATGACCTTGTGGGCAGGGATTTCCCACTGAAGCATTAGATAATGCCTTCTCCCTAGGCTGGGAGCATGGATTATATTGAAGGAGCAAAACACAGAAGCTAAGACCCTGTCCTAACCTTGTAGTCTCCCAATGAAAATACTTCCTCCCCACTCCCTTCACCCTCTTCAGAAATGCACTTGTTTTTGGCAAATTGCAAATCTGCAGTTCAAAGATACAAAGGATTAGGATTAGGAAGATTACCTGACTTTGTAAATTGCAATTAGCTCTTAGTTCATTTTGGTGACTTCAATGTCAGTGAAGCCAAAATACTTCAGCTACATACCCAGTGATATTTGTGAGGATTTAAAGTATAAATCTGGGGATTTTCACAGTTTTGTTGTGTTTGGGTGATTGTGTCGTTCAAACCATAACAGGGGAGACCTGTTGAATCCCTGTGGGCTGCCAGTGATATGTTGGTGACTTGTTCACTCAGTCTTTCAACACATTTACTGACCACCTACTATGTGCTGACATTACATTTGGTCCTCACGTACACTTCTGAATAGATAATTTATTTTTCCCATTTGAGAGACAGAAATTGAGGCTCTGAAAAGTCATACACAAAGACAGACAGCTTGTAGGTCTGGATCTGGCATATGGAGGGTGTAGATCTGATTTCAGAACTTGTGCACATAACCACCATTCCTGGCCTTCCAAACCAATCCAGTAGGACTCAGCCACTGTAACAGCTGTCTACAGCATGAATTATGGATGAAGTCAGGTACTTAGAAACTGTACCACCATAGTGGTGATGGACCCTTTGCTGATTCCCATCTCTTTCCATCCGTTTATTCACCCATCCATCTGCCCACATACCCACCTACCCATCCATTCACAAGGAGAATAATGCTAGACAAGAAAGAACAGAGCCAGAATGTAGAAGCAGTTGATCTCTTGGGCCTAGATACTTATTTCTTCCTCAGTTGTCTCTTCCATAAAATGGGGGTTATTATAGTAATAATAAAAACCTACATTTAGGTTTGTTGTAAGGATCAGATTAGGTAATACATGGAAAGCTCTCAGAACAATGTCTGGCACTTTATAATTATTATGATATTGTTATTGTTTATTATTATTTCATCTATATTATGCTTCATTTTGCATTGTTGGCTAGAATCTTAAGAGATGCTGTCAGACCACGTACTTGGAACATGAAGAATATGAAACCCTGGTTAATTTGGACTTTAGTAACTTTGAAATCTATGACAATTGTGCAACCCAAGGTCCCAATGCAGTTTACATTTCTCCTATCCATGATGAAAGAGAATTTGCTGAGTAAACAGGCAGAGCTAGTGTAATGGCTTGGAGACATATTTAACCTCCAGAGTATTTTGGAAGGTCCTATGTGCCAGCAACATTGTATTTGTTGGATTTGAAGCAATCTTACTTTTACATTAAAATAGATCCCCCAAAGACTTTCTCTTTCTGAAGGTCACAAAATCACACTCAGTTCCCACATTTACACTCTGAATGGCTTGAATACATCTTTCTGTCAATTTCAGCTAGGTTCCCTAATTTATAAGTCAGTGCTCATCTGTTATCTTAAGATTTAAGTGAGATCATTGACTCAATACGTTTATTGAATGTCTACTACATGCCAAGCCCTGGGCTGAGGGATAATGACACGAAGGTGAGAAACTGTGGACAGAGTTCTTGTTTTCGTGGATTCTGCAGCATTGTGGGCAACATAGGCTGTGCATGAGACAAGGAGTAGATAGATGCCTGGTGCACAGTAGGTCCGCAGTAGTTAGTTGTTTCCATTCCTTCCGATTATAAGTTTAGTGGAGCTCTCTGTGTGTGAAGCCACACTAACACAAAAGTGAGACTCCTCTAGATGGACTGAAACTAAATCTATGTTTACAGAATCCTGCCTGCCTCATCAACTTTTAAAATTAAGACCTGAGTGATGGAGGAAGAAAGGGTGCAGAGTGAGGCTTCAGTACTAGCCCTGGTTCTGCACTTACTTGCTCTGCAGTATCAAGAAATATTAGAACATGTTTGGCCTCAGTTTCTTCCTCTGTTTCGTAGGTGGTTCAGATAGCTAAACTCTCAGGTTCTTTCCAGGAGAAGAGGCTGGAATTTGACAGTTATTTTGCAACCTCTGCCAGCCGCACTAAGACTATAATATCCCTCAAAAGCCATCACTTAAGGGAGGCATCTAGGGCAGTCATTTTCCATTTGACGAATGAAGGAGAAAATGGGTCACTGAAACATGGCTGTGTTCCAGTCATCCACTTCACGTGTACCTGATCCAATTTTTTGGCCGGGAGAATTGGCCTTTGAAGAGAACCTTGGCCAAGTCCATGGCTTAAACACTTAGGCTGCTTTTCAAAAGGCATTTTCAAAATTACTTTTTTTTTTTAATTTTAAAAGCAGTGGACTTAAAAGGAGTTTTTGTGCAATTACCTTCATTTTTACCTGCCTTATTCTCCTCTCCTGCATCCCGTCTGGACTAACTCAGTGACCCCCACCTGGTCCTGGGAGTCAGTGCATGAGTTGCACGCATAGCTCGACCATCTATATTACCTTGGGGAAAGCCACACACTCTCCCCAAGAGTCAGATTTCTCTTTCGTGAAATAAAGAGAGGGTAAGTTTGGCAAAAGCATAGCAAAGATCCTTCTACTTTATGAGGATTACATAATTTAATCTGACCTCACCTGATGGAGTCAGTACTATTATTATCTTCACTATGCAGGTACTGAGGCCCATCAAGTTTAAGTAACTTGGAAAATATCACAGAAATAACATGTAAGGTGCTGAGATTTGAACCTAGGCAGCCTGGCTCCAAGACCTGCTCTCTGAAAAATCATCTTCTACCATTTCTAAAAAGGGGGCTAAGAACAGCAATATGGACCCTGCTGGTTCTATGGAGTGACCTGGACTCTGGACCCTGACCCTTAACTGTATGTGGTACCCTGGCTTCTGCTTATTTTTTGGACTGGTCTGTAGCATTCTGCTACTTGAGCAAATCCCCAACTGCAAGAGAAAGCTTCTTTTTGTTTGTGGAGGTGAGGGAGTCCGGGACCAGCAGGGAATGGGCATATACTTCTCTTACGTCATGAAGATAGTCATTTTGCCTCTTTTTTTTTTTTTTTTGTCACTTGGACCTATGTGAGAGAAGACAGGGGCAGGAATTTGTTAGAGTGCCTACAGGAAATATTCTTGTATAAATAATAGGTATTTTTATATGGGATATTTATTGATAACCTATCAGCACTCCTCCAAAAGCAGCATCTGTTTGTAATGTGAACTTTTCGCAAGTGGGATTTCTGAATGCGGGGAAAAAAGCTGATGTCCCCATAGTAGGCAATGATGTTACAGAGATAATGACAACAGGCCTTAGAGTGTCTTAGCTTTTGGTCTTACAGACTTGCATCTTTCCTGAAGCTCATTTTTTACTTCTGAGTGGTGTTCTTGTGCTGTCCGGCTGCTGAGATGCCCCTCCATGATCCCCACTTCCTGATATTGTATTCTATTCATGAGCTACTAGTCTTCTCCCACATTAACCCACATAAGTCATAGGACATTGTGGAAATGACAGAGCTGAACTTCCGAGGGTAGCTCACAGAAGACGTTGTAGCTTCCTCCTTCTTCTCTTGGATCATTTCTTCTGGCCAAACCAACTGTCATGCCATGAGGACATCTAGGGAGTCTCGTGGACGGGTGCACGGGAAAACTAGGGCACCTGCCACCAACCAGCACTATCTTGCCAGACAGAGGAATGAACATTCTGAGCATGGATTCTCCAGCCCCAGTCGAGCCTTGAGATGACAGTAGCCCTAACTGACATCTTGACTGCAACTTAATGAGAGACCCTAGACTAGAGGATCCAGCTAAGCCACTTCTGAATCCCGTGTCCACAAAAACTGTGAGCTCATAAGTGGTTATTGTTTATAATTGCTGAGTATTTACATAATTTGTTAACCAGTGTAGATAATTATTACAGTGTAGTGGAAAAGACACAGAAGGATGTCTATGTAGAAGCTGAAGCTCGCGCCACTTCTTTGTGTCTTGGTGTGGACACTTTTATTTTTCCTGGGCCTCTCAATCCTACTCTTTATCTGTAGACTGTGGTCACCTCCACTTTGAAAAGCAGATTGGGGCCAGGCGAGGTGGCTCATGCCTGTAATCCCAGCACTTTGGGAGGCTGAAGTGGGTGGATCACCTGAGGTCAGGAGTTCGAGACCAGTCTGGCCAACGTGGTGAAACCCCATCTCTACTAAAACTATAAAAATTAGCCAGGTGTGGTGGAACATCTCAGCTACTTGAGAGGCTGAGGTGGAAGGATTCCTTGAGTCTGGGAGGTGGAGGTTGCAGTGAGCCGAGATCATGCCACTGCACTCCAGCCTGAGCAACAGAGCAAGACTCCATCTCAAAAAAAAAAAAAAAAAAAAAAAGCAGATTGGGTGGATGAAATAGGAAATTGTGGGTCATAGTATAATAAAATTAATATTGTTTTGTGACTTTTATGCCTACAAAGTGATAATTTTTTATTAGTGTATTTTGTCTGCATTTAAATGCAACTTAATTATAAAAATTATGAGCAAGGTGAAAAAGAATGAAGGAGGAAAATATGGGCTGTGCCATCAGCCATCATTTTTCTAATATGTTAAATCTCACAGACTATACCGCAATGTCTTGAAACATCTCTCATTCCTGTATTTACCCATTCATTTGTTCACCCATCCATCCATAAGTCCATCTTTTTACCCAATATTTTTGGACATTTATCTGTGTCAGGCACTGTTGGGGACCCTGGGTGTGGAGTGCTGAGTAGCACAGATTCCATGGCTTTAGAGGAGCACATCTGCAGTGAAAGCAAAAGAGGAGTCATTTAAAGATCAGTAAACATGCTCATAGCAAACTCTATTCCAGTTGACGGAGGAGTTAGTTGCCCTTGTACTGAACACCTCAAACCTCTATGTTCATTTGATTCCCTGTGATTTTTCACCATTCAAGCTTGTTCATAGGAAATTCTGCTGTAGGGGTTGTCCCCTTACTTTAAACATCTCCAGGTGACTCATAGGACACCTGTACTCAGCATGTATAGCTACTGTTGTTTCCTTTTCATCCTTCAAGACCTTCTCTATTTTTAGGATTTCTTCAAGTATCTTCTTGCTGTCCAAGTAACTGCCCTTTGCTAAAATCCAAGAACCATTTCAAAAACTTCTACCCTAATAACAATACGGCATATGCAACAAGAAGTGTGTCAGTCAAGGTTCTTGGTAGCAAACAAGAATGCAACTTGATCATCTTAAACAAAAAGGGAGTGGTTTGGAAGAATATGAGGGAATTGCTGAATTAGTAACATGGTAGAGATTTAGTTCAGAACTTAGCAGAAGCTGCAGGGACCCCTGAGGCTAAGGGGCAGGGTTTATAATTGGTCAAGGCTATCCCATTGAATGAGCAGGGCCTGTGTGCTAGTCTGCGGCCACTTTTTAAAAGCAGTAGAATGTCTTGGTCCAGACAGCAGACCCTGGGGCCAGACTGCCTGGATTTGGATCACAGCACTTCATATATTAGTTTTGTGATAATTGTCAAATTACTTAAACTTTATGGGCCTCAGTTTTATTATTTATGCAGTTGAGATAATAATAGTACCAATTTTATCAGGTGAGGTGTAAATTAGATAATTCACGTAGTTTAGCACAGTGTCTAGGACACAGACAGCACTCAATAAATGTCTGCATTTTTGCATCATTCCTTCAAGATTGAAGACGACTGATTGACAGAGCCTGAGTCAAATGCTAATGAGCCCTTGCTGAGTAAGGAATGAGAAGGATGTTTGGTGTCCCAAAGACCATAAAACTCAACAATAAGAAAATAACCAACCACATTAAAAAGTGAGCCAGAAATTATAACAGACACTTCACCAAAGAAAATGTAGATGGCAAATAACCATATGAAAAGAAGCTCCATATCATAGTTTATCAGATAAATGTAAATGAAAACAGCAATGAGATACCACCACACACCTATCAGAATGACCAAAATCCAGAACATCAACACCACCAAATGCTGGCAAGGGTGGAAAAAAATAGGAACTCTCATTTGTTGCTGGTGGGAATGCAAAATGATATAATCCCTGTGGAAGGCAGTTTGGCCATTCCTTACAAAACTAAGCATACTCTTACAGGCAATCCAACAAGTGTGCTCCTCAGTATTTACCCAAAGGAGTTGAAAACATATATCCACATGAAAACCTGCACATGTATGTTTATAGCAGCTTTATTCATAACTGCCAAAACTTGGAAGCAATCAAGATGTCCTTCAGTAGTTAAGTAGATAAATAAACTGTGCAGCACCCAGACAATGAAATATTCAGGGCTAAAATGAAATGAGCTGTCAAGCCATGAAAAGACATGGAGGAAACTTAAATGCATATTGCTAAGTGAAAGATACTAGCCTGAAAAGGCATAGCTTTTCCTTGACATTCTGGGCAAAGAAAAACTATGGAGACAGCAAAAATGTTAGTGGTTGTCAGCAGGTAGAGAGGGAAGAAGAGGCAGAAGGCAGGATTTTTAGGGCAGTGAAACTACTCTGTATGATACCATAATGTTGGATGCCCTCATTACCTATTTATTCAAACCCATAGATTATATAATATTTATGTATATATAGGGATTGAACCAATAGAAGATATAACATCTAGGGTTTGATGAAGAATGAATCCTAATGTGAACTCGGAACTTTGGAGGATTATGATGTGTCACTGCAGTTTCATCAGTTGTAACACATGCACCACACTGGTGAGAAATATTGATAATGGGGGATGTTCTAATGTGTGGGGACAGGGGGTTTATGGGAAATCTCTATACCTTCCTCTTAATTTTTCTGTGATCCTAAAGCTGTTTGAAAAACATAAAGTCTTAGAAAAAGAAATCTGAGCAGATTCCTCTGTAGCTTAAATAGGCTTCCAATGCACTTAGTAGAGTTTGAATCCTGAAGTTGGTCTTGGCCTTGAGTGGTGGGCCCATGACTGCTTCCCAAGTTTCCACTTAGATGACCACCCCTTCGTATTGGTTACGGCTCCTGTTTCACTACTGCCCCCCTCCCCACGTCCAGCCACTCTCACCTCAACAATTTGACAGCTCTGAGCTCCGTCCTCTCTCAGAGCCCTTCCTCCTCCTGTGGGCTCCTCTCTCTGGAACACTCCTTTCCCTCCCTT
This sequence comes from Homo sapiens, assembly GCF_000001405.40. Classification (NCBI taxonomy): domain Eukaryota; kingdom Metazoa; phylum Chordata; class Mammalia; order Primates; family Hominidae; genus Homo; species Homo sapiens. The sequence continues at coordinate 138,449,353 of NC_000008.11, read as the reverse complement.
CTTGCTCCTTGGATCTCAGCTGTAATCCGGGCCAGCCTCAATCCCTTTATGGCACTTTGGAGTAGGAAAGTTTCTCCAGCACAAGCTCTCTTAGCAGCCTGTGCTTGTCTTTTATTCTACTTAATACAGTTGTAATGAATTAATTATGTATGTGAGAAGCATTTGAATGCCTTTCTCACCCATTTGTAAGTTCTTTTTCATCCTGTATCCTTGGTGCTTAGCAGATAGCAGCTACTCAGATAATTTTACATTGTGAGTAAACCTGGGCCTGATGTGGCGTCAATTTATTTATAGTAAACATATTAGATAATTGTTTAAAAGAAATGACAATTGGACTGTATCAGCAATACAATGGAAGAGATTGAAATATGTATTTAGTCTCATGAGAAAAGATCTCCCAAACAAAGATTAGTGTATAAAGAGGGGTTCCCATAAAATATAGAAGATCATCTTTTAAATCCTGGTTTTCTCTCTCCCTCTGCTCTTCTTAGTAATCTCCATGGAAACAGCTACTATCTCCCAAGAACTTTTTTTTTCTGATTCCTAGCTTTTTTTTTTTTTCCCCCTGTGTTAGGTTTTCCAGAGGAACAGAAGAAAGGTATAGGCTTGTGTGATTATGAAATCTATTTCATAATATAATATGTTAGTTTCATGATATTATTATATGAGATCAGGGATTGGCTCATGTGATTATGGAGGCTGAGAAGTCCCAAGATCTTCACTTGGTGAGCCAGAAGCCCAGGAGAGCTGATGGTGCAGCTCCAGTCCAAGTGCTGACGGGCTCAAGACCCAGGAAGAGCCGATATTTCAGTTTGAGTCTAAAGGCTGGAAATAAGTGATACTCCAGCTTTTACAGTAAGTAAAAGATCCTTGCTAACTATGTCCACTCTTATGATCTAATCTGGTGAGCTGAACCAAGGTCTCAAGCTAATCTAAGGAAAAAATGACAGACAGAAGGAGTCCACCCTTATTCTTGGAAGGGGCAGTCTTTCTGTTCTATTGGGGCCTTCAACTGATTGATGTGACCCACTTACATTAGGGAGGGCAATCTGCTTTACTCAGTCCACCAGTGCAAATGTGCATCTCATCCAAAAGTCCCCTCCCCAACACACTGGGAATAAAGTTTGACCAAATATCTGGGCACCCCGTAACCCAGGCATGTTGACCCAGAAAATCAACCATCACACCTTCCCCAAACAATTCTGACACCCACCCCAAGTACTTTTTCTTTTTTTTTTTTTTCTGACCTCTGTTTCCTTTCTCTGCTCTGTGCCATATGACTTCTCTGCTTTCTTATTTTTTTTCCTTAGATTAGCTTGAGGCCTTGATTCAGCTTGCCAAATTAGATCATAGGATCTAGTAAACAATGATCTTCTACTTCCTGTGAGAAAAGGGTGGTTTGGAGACCTAAAGAGTATGGTCACGTATGATACAGAGGATGTTCTGTGATCACTGATATTCAAAACAGCTTCCCCAGCACTCTGTCCCTTTACCCTTCTTTGTCTTCATATAACCTGAGGCTTTATTTTTTCTTTTTTTTTTTATTATTATACTTTAAGTTCTAGGGTACATGTGCAAAACATGCAGGTTTGTTGCATATGTATACATGTGCCATGTTGGTGTGCTGCACCCATTAACTTGTCATTTACATTAGGTATATCTCCTAATGCTATCCCTCCCATCCCCCAATCCCCACCCCACAACAGGCCCCGGTGTGTCATGTCCCCCTTCCTGTGTACAAGTGTTCTCATTATTCAATTCCCACCTATGAGTGAGAACATGCAGTGTTTGGTTTTTTGTCCTTGCGATAGTTTGCTGAGAACGATAGGTTCCAGCTTCATCCATGTCCCTACGAAGGACATGAACTCATCATTTTTATGGCTGCATAGTATTCCATGGTGTATATGTGCCACATTTTTTTAATCCAGTCTACCATTGTTGGACATTTGGGTTGGTTCCAAGTCTTTGCTATTGTGAATAGTGCCGCAATAAACATATGTGTGCATGTGTCTTTATAGCAGCATGATTTATAATCCTTTGGGTATATACCCAGTAATGGGATGGCTGGGTCAAATGGTATTTCTAGTTCTAGATCCCTGAGGAATCGCCACACTATCTTCCACAATGGTTGAACTAGTTTACAGTCCCACCAACAGTGTAAAAGTGTTCCCATCTCTCAACATCCTCTCCAGCACCTGTTGTTTCCTGACTTTTTAATGATCGCCATTCTAACTGGTGTGAGATGGTATCTCATTGTGGTTTTGATTTGCATTTCTCTGATGGCCAGTGATGATGAGCATTTTTTCATGTGTTTTTTGGCTGCATAAATGTCTTCTTTAGAGAAGTGTCTGTTCATATCCTTCGCCCACTTTTTGATGGGGTTGTTTGTTTTTTTCTTTAAATTTGTTTGAGTTCTCTGTAGATTCTGGATATTAGCCCTTTGTCAGATGAGTAGATTGCAAAAATTTTCTCCCATTCTGTAGGTTGCCTGTTCACTCTGATGGTAGTTTCTTTTGCTGTGCAGAAGCTCTTTAGTTTAATTAGATCCCATTTGTCAATTTTGGCTTTTGTTGCCATTGCTTTTGGTGTTTTAGACATGAAGTCCTTGCCCATGCCTGTGTCCTGAATGGTATTGCCTAGGTTTTCTTCTAGGGTTTTTATGGTTTTAGGTCTAACATGTAAGTCTTTAATCCATCTTGAATTAATTTTTGTATAAGGTGTAAGGAAGGGATCCAGTTTCAGCTTTCTACATATGGCTAGCCAGTTTTCCCTGAACGATTTATTAAATAGGGAATCCTTTCCCCATTGCTTGTTTTTCTCAGGTTTGTCAAAGATCAGATAGTTGTAGGTATGCAGTGTTACTGCTGAGGCCTCTGTTCTGTTCCATTGGTCTATATCTCTGTTTTGGTACCAGTACCATGCTGTTTTGGTTACTGTAGCCTTGTAGTGTAGTTTGAAGTCAGGTAGCGTGATGCCTCCAGCTTTGTTCTTTTGGCTTAGGATTGACTTGGCAATGCGGGCTCTTTTTTGGTTCCATATGAACTTGAAAGTAGTTTTTTCCAATTCTGTGAAGAAAGTCATTGGTAGCTTGATGGGGATGGCACTGAATCTATAAATTACCTTGGGCAATATGGCCATTTTCACGATATTGATTCTTCCTACCCATGAGCATGGAATGTTCTTCCATTTGTTTGTATCCTCTTTTATTTCATTGAGCAGTGGTTTGTAGTTCTCCTTGAAGAGGTCCTTCACATCCGTTGTAAGTTGGATTCCTAGGTATTTTATTCTCTTTGAAGCGATTGTGAATGGGAGTTCATTCATGATTTGGCTCTCTGTTTTTCCATTATTGGTGTATAAGAATGCTTGTGATTTTTGCACATTGATTTTGTATGCTGAGACTTTGCTGAAGTTGCTTATCAGCTTAAGGAGATTTTGGGCTGAGATGATGGGGTTTTCTAGATATACAATTATGTCATCTGCAAACAGGGATAATTTGACTTCCTCTTTTCCTAACTGAATACCCTTTATTTCTTTCTCCTGCCTGATTGTCCTGGCCAGAACTTCCAACACTATGTTGAATAGGAGTGGTGAGAGAGGGCATCCCTGTCTTGTGCCAGTTTTCAAAGGGAATGCTTCCTGTTCTTGTCCATTCAGTATGATATTGGCCGTGGGTTTGTCATAAATAGCTCTTATTATTTTGAGATACGTCCCATCAATACCTAATTTATTGAGAGTTTTTAGCATGAAGGGTTGTTGAATTTTGTCAAAGGCCTTTTCTGCATCTATTGAGATAATCATATGGCTTTTGTCTTTGGTTCTGTTTATATGCTAGATTACATTTATGGATTTGCATATATTGAACCAGCCTTGCATCCCAGGGATGAAGCCCACTTGATCATGGTGGATAAGCTTTTTGATGTGCTGCTGGATTTGGTTTGCCAGTATTTTATTGAGGATTTTTGCATCAATGTTCATCAAGGATATTGGTCTAAAATTCTCTTTTTTTGTTGTGTCTCTGCCAGGCTTTGGTATCAGAATGATGCTGGCCTCATAAAATGAGTTAGGGAGGATTCCCTCTTTTTCTGTTGATTGGAATAGTTTCAGAAGGAATGGTACCAGCTCCTTCTTGTACCTCTGGTAGAATTTGGCTGTGAATCCGTCTGGTCCTGGACTTTTTTTGGTTGGTAAGCTATTAATTATTGCCTCAATTTCAGAGCCTGTTATTGATCTATTCAGAGATTCAACTTCTTCCTGGTTTAGTCTTGGGAGGGTGTATGTGTCGAGGAATTTATCCATTTCTTCTAGATTTTCTAGTTTATTTGCGTAGAGGTGTTTATAGTATTCTCTGATGGTAGTTTGTATTTCTGTGGGATCGGTGGTGATATCCCCTTTATCATTTTTTATTGCGGCTATTTGATTCTTCTCTCTTTTCTTCTTTATTAGTCTTGCTAGAGGTCTATCAATTTTGTTGATCTTTTCAAAAAACCAGCTCCTGGATTCGTTGATTTTTTTGAAGGGTTTTTTGTGTCTCTATCTCCTTCAGTTCTGCTCTGATCTTAGTTATTTCTTGCCTTCTGCTAGCTTTTGAATGTGTTTGCTGTTGCTTCTCTAGTTCTTTTAATTGTGATGTTAGGGTGTCAATTTTAGATCTTTCCTGCTTTCTCTTGTGGGCATTTAGTGCTATAAATTTCCCTCTACACACTGCTTTAAATGTGTCCCAGAGATTCTGGTATGTTGTGTCTTTGTTCTCGTGGGTTTCAAAGAACATCTTTATTTCTGCCTTCATTTCATTATGTACCCAGTAGTCATTCAGGAGCAGGTTGTTCAGTTTCCATGTAGTTGAGCGGTTTTGAGTGAGTTTCTTAATCCTGAGTTCTAATTTGATTGCACTGTGGTCTGAGAGAGAGTTTGTGATAATTTCTGTTCTTTCACATTTGCTGAGGAGTGCTTTACTTCCAACTATGTGGTCAATTTTGGAATAAGTGTGGTGTGGTGCTGAGAAGAATGTATATTCTGTTGATTTGGGGTGGAGAGTTCTGTAGATGTCTATTAGGTCCGCTTGGTGCAGAGCTGAGTTCAATTCCTGGATATCCTTGTTAACTTTCTGTCTCGTTGACCTGTCTAATGTTGACAGTGGGGTGTTAAAGTTTCCCATTATTATTGTGTGGGAGCCTAAGTCTCTTTGTAGGTCTCTAAGGACTTGCTTTATGAATCTGGGTGCTCCTGTATTGGGTGCATATGTATTTAAGATGGTTAGCTCTTCCTGTTGAATTGATCCCTTTACCATTATGTAATGGCCTTCTTTGTCTCTTTGATCTTTGTTCGTTTATAATCTGTTTTATCAGAGACTAGGATTGCAACCCCTGCCCTTTTTTGTTTTCCATTTGCTTGGTAGATCTTCCTCCATCCCTTTATTTTGAGCCTATGTGTGTCTCTGCACATGAGGTAGGTTTCCTGAATACAGCACATTGATGGGTCTTGACTCTTTATCCAATTTGCCAGTCTGTGTCTTTTAATTGGAGCATTTAGCCCATTTATCTTTAAGGTTAATATTGTTATGTGTGAATTTGATCCTGTCATTATGATGTTAGCTGGCATATAACCTGCGTCTTACCTGACATAAAGTATATTTCTTTGTTGATGTTGTTGTCTCCACAACAGGAGGGTTCCATACACCCTGTCATTTGTTTGCTCTCTAATTCCCAGTATTGGGAACAGCCCTTGTCCCTCAGTCAGTGCTTAGTAAACACTTGCTGAGTGAATTAATTTGATGAATGACAATTTTGAAAATAAGGATGTCTTGGATTAACTAATTAGCAATTTTATTTGTGTGAGTTCTGCCTTTCAGGTTTGGTGTAAGATTTTGAAAAATGTCCTTTTTTTTGTTTGCTTTTGGTTTCCTGCTTTTGTGCTTCATAGTGAAAGACCCAGGTATTTAAGTGGACCCCATATAATACTGATTTCAAGAGTTCAGATCATATTTTCTGGCTCCTTTTTGGAGAATGTCTTTGGAACCCACAGGATCTGGTAAAAAGAAAGAAAAAGAGAAAAAGAAAAGAATATTTGAATGGATAGACCAGACTTCAATTTCTGTCTCAATAACCTATTATTTCTGGGATATTAATTTCCTATTTTATTTGGGGGGATTGATAAAATCTGCTTTACCCAGATGTGATGAGCAACGAGGCTTTTATGGCCTGGCATCAGGGTGGATCATGGGCTATTTCTCTCCTTTGCACACAACTCCACAAACACACAGCCTTGAGATAGGACCTACTGGGGTCTTTACATTCCATTTAATGCAAGCCTTTGGGTGAGTCCTGACTCATCAGTAGCAGCAGCCTCACTGGGGTTGTAATCCCCTGACTTATTAAAGACAAGCCATCCTCGCACACAGGGACGAGGAGGTGCAGGGATGTTCTCCTGACAACCATCACGTAGTCCTTTCTGATTTGTCAGTGGCATTGCATTAAAATTGATCCATTTCCCAAACTCCATTGCTGTCCTTGTCTTATCAAATTATAGACACAGCTAGAGCCCATCAGTCCTTCCCCCTGGGAGTGGGAACTCCTCAGCACAGCAGGGCTTTCTGATACAATGTGGTTTGCTTGGAATTCATTACTAAGGGGACTTGGTGAATTGGAGATCTATTACTTTTTACATTCTGCTTTCTGTGGAGTGCCTGGGATAACATCCTGGCTACTCTCCAGAATGTTTTTGATTGTTTTTGTGCTCCTCTCTTTCTTTCTGTTTTTATTTGCTTTGTTTTATTTTGCTTTGTGTTTGGTGGTAGAGGTCAGGTTGAGACAACACAGTAGAAAAAATAGTAACTCTAGATCTGCGAGGTCTAACCTAAGTCTTAGCTACATCCTATCACTTGACATTTTTAAACCCATTGAAAGAGGATGTTAAACAGCATTCACTTCAAAGGATGTTGTATGTGCCTGACACATAGTAGTACGTGCTCATTAAATGTTTCATGTTGAACAAATAAAATAGTAAACACAGAAATATAGACACACAACCAAACATATACATTGTGCCTATAAAAAGATATTCAACTGCCAAGGTTTTTCATATATATATATATATATATATATATATATATATATATATGGTGTCCATATTCTTCACGTTAAATTTTTTTATTTCCAAATTGAAGATGCTAGGCTAAGACAAGCTGTATTCTAGTTCTATTTCATATACCTTGGACAGATTATGTAATAGTTTAAGACCCTCAGTTTCCAACATTTGTAATATTAAAGGAGGAGATAATACAATGGTCCTTCACATCGTTTGCCTGCTGCATAAGGACTTACAGAACTTGACATACAAAATATTCAACTAACACCAATCTGCATCACTCGGTGTGTGTGTGATTTCCCAACACTTCTCTCTTTTTCCCCCTTATTTCCTCCTTCCTTCCAAATTTCTCTCTCTTTTGCTCTGTAATTATTTATTTGCTGTCTCCTCACACAGCATATTCTCTGTCATCAAGACTGCACTCTTTGAGTCTTCAGACTACCCCCTTCTCACAGCTGCTGAGGGTAAAATATCCTTGCTTCCTAGGTCCACTCATATGATCGAATTTGAATCAAGGTCTCAAGCTAATCTAAGGAAAAAAAAAAAGCAGAGAAGCTATATGGCAGAAAGCAGAGAATTGGAAGGGAAGTCACAAAAGAAGAGAACATACTTGCAGGCATTGTTTCAGGTAGTGAGTGAAATCTGCAAACAAACAGAAATTCTTTCTCTCGTGGAATGTATGTACTAACTGGAGAAAGCATTGTTTAAAAAATAAGCAAATAGGATGTCAGGCTGTGTTCAAGAGAGTGTATTTAGTTCTTCACACAATAGTGATGCTGATGGATAAAGATTTCCAGTTTGGTCTCAATCCAATAAAACACCCCCATTCAAAGTGTCATTGTCCCACTCTTTCCAACTGATGCCCTAAAGCTCACAGAAGAGACTTGTTGGGTGTGCAAATTTGGCTTTCCTCATAATTCTGCAACCTGCATAAGAAAGTTTTAGTTCTGATTTTCAGCCTTATCTTCCCTGTGACTACATGAAATAAGAGATTATTTTAGGGCTACCCCAGAAACAAACTTGTTCTCTCATCAGAGCTGAGTTGATAGACAGTCTGAAGGCTAGATCTTGTTATTTTCCTCTGTTTACTCTCCAGTGCTGTAAAAAATATCCATCCCAGCATGCTTGTATTCATCATTAACATTGTAGCCACGTGGAGCAGCCACTCGGTCATCCAAGGCACTTGCTAGAGTGAGCACTTCCTCCACTGAGGCTGGAGGGTCTACGATGACTTCACTCACATGTGTGGGGGTCTTGGTGCAGGCGCTAACTGTTCCTCTCTTTCTTTAAGGTCTGTGTTTAGTATTCTAGTGTAGGCTTTGTTACATAGTGGCAGGAACACTCCAAAATAGCAAAGTAGAAGGCTCAGGAACTCACACAGTTTCACTTCTGCATATTCAGTTACCACCCAGACCAAGGGGCATGGAAATTGGCTCTACCTCTTGAGTTGCATGTCATGAAATATCATAGCCACTTTTTCAATCAATTAGAGGAAGCCTACAGTATGAGTATATCTCAGAAATGTGATAGATTTTAAATTGATCTTGCCTTTCTAAAGATGTTTCCCATCTATACTCTGTGAGAGACACCTCTAAAATATCTCATGTCAAAAAAGTATTGGGTAAGGTGTCCAGTAACCTAGGTTTGTGGTCTGGCTCTGGAACTGATTTATGTTATCTTGTAATGATAGCAATGATGATGATTTTGGTGATGACGGTGATGGTGATTTTATTAGATATGATTTAGACAATGCAGTTAGTACTTTCATGTGCATTATTATAAATATTTAAATTCTAATTTTACCTTTTTTGGACTTTTGTATGTATTATCTGTTAAATATAAAGCCCATATTTTACTTTTGTCCTAGATATTTGTCACTATCTTGCACCCATTTCTCCCTCCTAATAGCACCCAGACATTCCTCTAGATGAATTGTCTCTTGAATGTATGCTCTTGGTTGAAAGTAACCCCAGAAATATGCCTTCTTCTGGGGTGGCTTAAGGGTTCCTGAGACATTTATTTGCAAGAGCATAGCCAAAAGCTGGGGCGATGACCTTAATATGGCCAGGAAGCTACCTCTCACCTGGAACTTTAAGTCTTAACTGAGATGAGTCAACACAAAAGAAAACATTATAGTTCCTGCAGCCCAGTGGTGGGAACCTGGTGAGCTTGTCAAGTTCTCACTGATGAGACTGGCAAGAACACCCTGATAGCTCTTAGTTCTTAGCCTTGTTCATCACACTATCTTCCCTATGATCCTCGCACCTGCACTCCAGTTCTCCAGTGGGTCCATTCTTGCACAGGTAAGCCAGGATTAGTGTTGGCATCCCAGGAACCATGACTGCTTCAGTTATCTATTGAATTACTTTAGAAGTACCTGGAGTGATGGAAAGTGCTTGGCCAAAGTTTACAAAGCCCTGTAGCCAATAACTGGTTCCAAATTTCAGGTCTGCCTTTTCTGCTCACATTTCAACATTGGACAGTCAAACTTTCTAAGCACGAATTTCTTCAGTTGTAACATGGGACACAATAATACATCCCTAGCAGAGGGGTTAGGATTAAATTAGAGAGCAGCTGTGAAGCACCTGGGAGAGCTTCTGGCACACAGTAACAGTGGAAAGTTCTGGCACTACAGTAGAAAGTTCTTTCCCTTTCTGTTAATGTTAATGCTTCATCCCCATTCACAGAGACTGGAGTATCCCTTGACTACTCCAGTCAAAGGGAAACCCAACATGACATGTTCCCTCCCCCTAGGAAATGTCCTCCTCTGATGTTATGAGGTCGGCCTATGAAGCTTTACCTTGGAGTTTGAAGATGAGACTGGTGTTTGTAACCCATGAGGACTACTGAGGTCACATGGTGTAGTGGAATGAGAATGGGATTTGGGATCAGGCAGGTCTGAATTCATACCTAATGATGACATATGTGATTAGCTGCTTAATCTTGAACGTCATTTATTGTCCTATGTGCTATGATTCTCTCATATTGACCACACAGGGCCATTATGAAATGATAATTGGTAATTTACATGCAGGTTCTTTGTAACCTAGAAGAATATTATCTTTGTACTGGAGCCTCCTCAAAGATTTTCAGGTATATACACACCAGAAACTTTGCCTTGTACAGCTCCTGGTGGATAAATGAAGGCCTTCAAATGGGCAGGAAATAATCCAATTTCCATGAAAGTTAATTGAGCTCTGTGTTTTCTAAAGGCTAATAGCCTGGTGAGAGATGTCCTGAGTCAAGCTAATGTGATGACCCACTTGTTTTTTTAGGTACCAGTTATGGAACAGAAGCCACATCTGTCACTGATAACCTGTTTGTATAGTGACCTCTTCCACCCCACCCACAAGGTTGCCATGGCAATTTTAGGTCAAGAAGATCATCCCATTGAAAGACAGGAAATGCTAAGGAGTAAAATGCAGTCCCCAGGAAACCTGGTTTTAGTCCTTGCTACATATTATTAAATGGCTGGTCCAGTATCTGGTTGGGACTACTGTGCCAGGCATCATCCTCAGGTGATGTCTGATCATCCTGGCCTGTCTTTGGCAAGAATCCAGTTCAGTGGGTTTTGCCAGAATCCTTTTACTTCTGAGGTTTTCTCTTAGTTGTTTTCCATCCTCTGATCCCTCTCTTGTTCCTTGGTTATATATTTCCCCTTGCTTGTGCTGTATTCAAAATTGAACCCAGTTTTATATTGAAGCATCTTTTCTCCTGTTTCAATAATCCAGAATAGAGTCTGTTTCTACCACTTTAACTACTGCCTAGCTCTGTTTTTTTCTTTGATAGAGCTCAGAAGTGCAATTCAAATTTGATTTGTAGATGTAGCAGCAATCAAGATTTAGCTGGTATTTGAAGACACTCATATTATCACTCTTTCTACTACCCTTTATTATATTTTTTGATTCTGCCCCACATTATTTTTGCTAAGGAAGGAGAGTTCCAGGAACTCTCATGGAGTACTTGAGACATGGCTCTTCAATAGCCACCCGGCACCTTCTCTTAGATAAGAGGTGTGAAATTATAGGAGCTCCTTCTCGCTTGAGAGCCCCTTGAGTAATAATTATTTAAAAAAAGCTGTTATAATAAAACTTTGCATTTAAATTGCCTCTTATTCTTAGGATGTCAAAGTGCTTTACAAACATGAATTGCTAGAAACCTTTTAGGTTAATTAAAATGAGCAGGTTTCCCAGACAAAGAAGGTGACTGTTTTTGTACTCTCGGGTGTTTTTACAGGTGAGCGAATTGAAGCACAAATAAGTTCTTTGACTAATCAAATAGAGATGTTCTGAGAACAGGTGATTTCAGCATTAGCACATCAACCATGCTACCAAATTTCATTGCCCTTCGGAATTATAATGACAATAATGTAGTGATTCCTGAATTCTGGTATTCTTAATAAGAATATTTGTGCTACTATTTACTGAATGGCTGCAGTAAGCCATGCATTATGCCTGGCACTGGGTTTGTGGTAGTGTGTTGTGTTCTCACAATGCCACTGTGAAATAAGTCTTATCTTCACTTTATGCTGCTGTAAGATAGGATTTATCCTCACTTTACAGCCCTGGACACTCAGTTTGAAAGCAGCTGAGCCACTTGTCACGGGTCCTGCAGCTAGGAAATGGCAGAGTGTATTAGTCCATATTCACACTGCTATGAAGAACTGCCTGAGACGGGGTAATTTATAAAGAAAATAAGTTTAATTGATTCACAGTTCAGCATGGCTGGGGAGGCCTCAGGAAGCTTACAATCATGACATAAGGGGAAGGAGAAACAAGGCACCTTCTTCACAAGGCGGCAGGAAGGAGAGGTATCGAGTGAAGGGGGAAGAGCCCCTTATAAAACCATCAGATCCCATGAGAACTCACTCATTACCACAAGAACAGCATGAGAGTAACTGCCCCCATGATCCAATTACCTCCCACCAGGTTCCTTCCATGACAGGTGGGGATTATGGGGATTATAATTCAAGATGAGTTTTGGGTAGGGACACAAAGCCTAACTATATCACAGAGCTAGGGTTTTAACCCATGTTTGTTTGATTGCTGTGTCTATATTCTTCTTCTCTACCAATATCATTACCAAACGTTATTACTTTATTCTTCTCTATTTCTAAACCCCTGAGGAATATAACACATTCCTGTCATTAAGAGAAGCTGCTGACTTGAAATGGGAGTTCAGTAATGGCAGTGAGAGGAGATGAAGTAACACCGTTGGAGGAGGTCAGAGCACAGGGTGCCTTAAAAACAAGCCACAGCATTTGGACTTTATTCTCCTTATTTATGCCATCCTGTTTATCAGTATTGATCTGCAGCACTCCAAGGTCCAAGGGACAAAGGCAAGGAAATCTCCAACCTCTCAGAATATGAGAAGATACTATAGTAAATATGTCAATAAATTTTATTCTACAACAGCTCTATGTGGCAGGTTCTCATCTCCATTGTACAGAACAAGAAATTAAGACTCAGAAATCTTAAAGGATTTGCTGAAGGTTGCATGGCCCTTATAAAATGTTACCAGCTCATTTAACTTCAAGACCTCTTCCTGCTATGCTCACACTGTTTGGAAAGTCACATTCTAATCAGACTTGATGGCTAAATCAGTCAGAATCAAATATGCCCACCTATGTTGACATGCTGTGTAAAGATTTTCTGTTCAACGTGAACACATGGTTGCAAACTGATGCCTTAGAGTCTTTGATTGTGGGAGGAGGTCCCTGGGAACACAGACTAGCCTGTCATTGCAGTTCACAGAAGGCTGGACTCAGGACCTGGTGTTCACTGGCAAAACAAGCAGACACTTTGATTCCTGCTGCCCAGTGTGAATGAATACATTTCTACAAATATTTCTGTAGAGTGAGCCACCTTTCCACATCATATGATTGTCACCCTCTCATATCACAGTGCCGCTATGCATTGCATAAAAAAAAATGCTCAGGGGTATTTTCCAGATAAATGGAAGAAGTAACCATATAAGTGTGATTTTTTTCAGCAATTTATATCCATTGATCTTACCGAGTTCTTCCCAGAGAACATCTCTTGCAGATCCGGGTTCTCTCATCGTTTTAGCATTTGCTTAGCCGCTTGTTTGCCCTTCCCAATGCCCAGTTATCACATGTAAGATAAGCATTAAATTGCATATTCCCTGTATTTCACAGTGAGTAAAAGTGAAGGATCTGGTCTCCACCTCTCCACCTCTTTTACGACACTGTTATCATAACATGAGACCCAATGGAGCACATAGGCTGTCACAGATAGTATAGTCTGAAGGTCAGGAAGGGCAGGATGGTAGAAAGCTGAAATAGCCCTGATCAAAAAGACAAGGAGAACAAGGTGGTTTTGAAATATCTGCTAAATCCAGATCCCCAGTCTTGAATCATGATTGGAATTGCTTACTTCAGTTCTATTGATAAATCAGATTTGAAGTCTCCCCTCCTTTGCTTAAGTCACCCCTTAAACAAAGGGGTGATAGGATAAAATCTGCAATTTAGAAAGACAATTTTGAGAGCAGACCAGAGGGCAAGTTGTGACCTTCAAATATGTGTTTTGATTCATTTGTATGTGTTTTTTTTAGAAATATTTATTGTAGACCTAAATTTTAGAGAATATTGAGGCCTGATGAGATAATATAATTGAAAATACAAAAACTGTTCTAAAACTATACATAACTACTTATAGATATTGCTATTGTATTTGATAAATAATAAAAGTAATATTATTGCATTCTAATAAGTAATGTAATTCAATACACTAGTAGTCTTATTGCATTTAAATACAGCAAGGCTACTGCATCATAAAGCAGTACACCTGTGGACATGTCAACATTCAGAACTTCAGCTTTCTCATCAGTAACCTGAGGATAACACTCCAAGCTTCACCATTGGTTAGGGGCATCAATGAGATGAGGTGCATTGAGGCATCATCATGGAGTTTGGCATGTGGCTTCTTTTTTTTTCTTTTTCTTTTTATTTTTTTGAGATGGAGTCTTACTCTGTCACCCAGGCTGTAGTGCAATGGAGCTATCTTGGCTCACTGCAACCTCTGCCTCCCGGGTTCAAGTAATTCTCTGCCTCAGCCTCCCAAATAGCTGGGATTACAGGCGCCTGCCACGACGTCTGGCTAATTTTTTGTATTTTTAGTAGAGATGAGGTTTCACCATCTTGGCCATAAACTCCTGACCTCGTGATCCACCCGCCTCGGCCTCCCAAAGTGCTGGGATTACAGGCGCGAGCCACCGCGCCTGGCTGGCGTGTGGCTTCAGCCACACTTGCAAGATTGAAAATATGTACATTGTCTGATAGTGGAGCAGGTAATGTGCCAGAGGAAACTTGTATTCAGTAGCAGGAGGGTAGAACTGCTCAGGGAATTACATGATCATGTCCTGGAGCTGAGAGGTGTCCAATCTGACTGGTGTCACTGTTATTAGTGACACAATACTGGCATGTACCCCCACCTACTTGAACCGTGTGCTTCATGTCAACTGTAAGAGGCTGGTGGGATTGGTATCCCCATTTCATAGACAGTGAACATATTCAGAGGTAAGTAGCTTTCCACTGTTAATGCAGTGTCCTAAGATGACAGTAAACAACAAATGACAAGGCCGTCTTGGGAAGAGCTTTGAATGTCATCTCCAAAGAGAACTGTGACATGCAGTCAGTTGGCCTAATACCATATTTTTACACTGTAGCTAGGTAAGCTGGGGAAGGGTCATTGGAAGCATATAATTTGGTGTCTGACACTCTTTAATTGAAATCCTACCTTGTGATGCTTACTAGCTGTGTGACCCCAAGCCAATAAATTGCTTATATGAGCCTTAGGTTCCTCATCTATAAAATAATGGGAACACTTACACCCACCTTGACTTTGAAAAGTGGAGAGCAGTCATGGACAGAGCAAATGCTCAGTGTGTGTCACCTTGTCACCTTCTTGTAAGCTTTCCTGATTATTCTCACTCCCAAAGAATATGAAAGCTCAGAATTGAATAAATCAAAGAGATTCAGAAACAACATTAGATTCATATTTAGACAGCAATTGATTTTTTTCTTGGGTAAGAAAAATTATACATCTGCTTCTAAAATATGAAGAGTGGTGATTATGATTCATGCACACATGATTCATAGAGAAAGCTGGAGCTAAAACACAGCTAAACTAATAATATTTTGTCCTTGTGACTAAAGCTTGTCTAAGCTTAGAATGTGTGCCCAGAGTTAGAGCAAGAATCCCAAGGGCAATGTCAATGCTGCTTTTATTTAGTAATAGTGGCATAAGCAGAAATGCTTGTTTTCCCAGAACCCATCTCCGTAAGGTGGATGCGTTTGTGTCTTCTGCAGCTGCTCCCTTCTCTTCATCCACTTGGTTTCTATGTATGGTTGATTTCTGATAATGATACTCAGAGCCAGACTTCACCCTCTCTGTCCTGGGCTATTGCCACGGGTTTTAACTAATGTCCCAACCTCTGATTTCTCTCCCTCTCCAGCAAACCCATTCTCTCTTCTTACTGGGTTGAGCTTCTTAAATCATTGGTCAGAAGTCAACTATGTGGCTAAGAAAACAAGTCATAAACTTGAACATCAAAGAGATTTGGGTAGAATCCTAGATTTATCATCTCACCATGTGAGCTTCAGCCACCTGATCTTCCTGAGCATGAATTTCATCAACTATGAAATAGAGATTACATTTATTTAATACTCTTTTAAAATTATTTTATTTATTTATTTATTTATTTATTTATTTATTTATTTATTTATTGAGACAGAATCTTGCTCTGTCATCCAGGCTGGGAGGGCAGTGGCATGATCTCTGCTCACTGCAACCTCTGCTGTCCGGGTTCAATTGATCCTCTTGCCTCAAGCCTCCTGAGTAGCTGGGACTACAGGCATGTACTACCACATCTGGCTAATTTTTGTTTTTTTAATAGAGACGGGGTTTCACCATGTTGGTCAGGCTGGTCTTGAACTCCTGACCTCAAGTGATCTGCCCTTCTCGGCCTCCCAAAGTGCTGGGATTTACAGGCATGAGCCACCGTGCCCGGCCTTAATAATCTTTTTAAATGAAGATTAAAGATATATATAAAATACCTTACACAGTTCCTGAAATATAACAAGTAATCAGTAAATCTTGTTTTCTTTTCAGTGACTCTTCATTGCTGGAAAAAGTCAGATCTAATTTTATTATGACTTTCTAGGCCTTCCACATGTGTCCTCTACCCTTTGCTATCTGTATACAGTGGACTGCTCTCCTGCCTCTTGCCTCATTGTTCTGTCTGACTTTGTATTTTCCCCGTCAGTCCTCTGGGAACAGATTTTGGATGGACAATGTTCCATTGTCATTCCTTCCTGTGTGCCTTTTG